>NC_000003.12:59706969-60010000 GCF_000001405.40 Homo sapiens
TTTTTTTTTTTTTTTTTTTTTCCCCAAGATGGAGTCTTGCTCTGTCACCCAGGCAGGAGTGCAGTGGCGCGATCTTGGCTCACTGCAACCTCTGCCCCCTGTGTTCAAACAATTCTCCTGCCTCAACCTCCCAAGTAGCTGGGATTTCAGATGCCTGCCACCACGCCCACTAATTGTTTTGTAGTTTTGGTAGAGACGAGATTTTACCATGTTGGCCAGGCTGGTCTCGAATTCCTGACCTCGTGATCCACCCGTCTCAGCCTCCCAAAGTGCTGGGATCACAGGCGTGAACCACTGGGCCTGGCCTGGAGCTTCTTATTTAAATCTGTCTTATTTGGGCACCAAACAGCCCCTACTGGATGCTAGACAGACCTGCCCAGAAATTTATGGATGGCAAGATAAATGACACACAGGCACTGATGGATGTGAAATCATGTTTATTAATCACACAGGAAACAGGCAAAGGGCTCCCTAAGGAGAAGGGTTCAGGCTCTCTGTTCAGCGTGAAGTGAGGGCCATGGGCAGGCAACATCAGGGCTTCGGGTTTTACAGAGCTCAGGGGCTGGGGCTGGGGTTCAGGTTTCCATGCACAAGCTGGGGTCTGAGTGATTTGAACCTCACTGCAAGCACAAAGGGACAGCATATCTGGGCTTCCTCATTGACTTGCCCAGATTGAGGTCAGGTCGGAAAGGGGCTTGAGAGTAGAATAGAGCTTGGAAGCTATCAGCAGTCAGACCTCAAAACAGAGTCAAACCCTTGACATCTTTTTACTCCAGTTTGGGGAGAAAACCCATAGAAGCCAAGGGTTCAAACTCTTGCCTACCCTGAACCAGCCTTGCCTCCCCGCATTTGTTTCTGATTGGTGTTGAAAAGGGATCCTGGGGGACATTCTCCAGGCTACCTTCTGTTAGCCAGTCTCATGATACCTGCAGGAAACAGATATGCTTTGCACACATGGGTTTCAATTGGCAAGCAATGGCAATGCATCTTTTTTTCAGAGGAAAATGGTTATCATGGAGGCAATGGAATAGATGTTGTTGAGTTCAGCGGCTGTGCATGAGGCACGGTGCTAGGGCTGATGTTAATACAAAGATAGATAAAGCATAATGTTCCCGTTCACAGGAGCAGGTGATGTAGTACAAGAGATGAGGGCCTGACTTGTAAGACAGGACATGTCATGAGTGGGTCCCAAGGGTCACATACAAGTGGTACAGGAGGCAGACATAGATTATATTTCAGACTGAGAGGACATATTGCTACCAGATGATGCTTTACAAAGATGATGTTTGAAATGATTCTTGAAAAAATAGTGTATTAGTCCATTTTCATACTGCTACAAAGACCTTACCTAAGACTGGGTAATTTCTAAAGAAAAAGAGGTTTAATGGACTCACAGTTCCACATGGCTGGGGAGGCTCACAATCATGGCAAAGGTGAAGGAAGAGCAAAAGCACATGTTACGTGGCAGCAGGTAAGACAGCGTGTGCGAGGGAACTGCCCTTTATAAAACCATCAGATCTCATGAAACTTATTCACCAGAATGAGAACAGCAGGGGAAAAAACTGCTCCCATGATACAGTTACCTCCCACCAGGTGCCTATAACACATGGGGATTATGGGAACTACAGTTCAAGATGAGATTAGGATGGGGACACAGCCAAACTCTATCAAACAGTAGTATATTTATGGTCAGGTGCTGAATGTATAGACAAGACAGGGAAACGCTAAACATAATATCAGACGGTGCCAAAAAGAACAAACTACTGCACTTCACAACCTGATTGAGTCACAGACATTATATCGAGTGAAAGAAGCCCGATACAAAACAAATACAGTATGATTCTGTTCCTATGACTCCAAGAACAGGCAAAAGTAATGAATGAAAATAAGCATAAGGCTAGGGATGACCTCCGGGTAGAGGAGGGTATTGATGGGGAGGGGTGTAAGGAGCTGTAAATGTTCTCATCTTGACTTGAGGGGTGGTTAGAGGGGTTCAAAATGTAAACGTTCATAAATTCTACCTTTAAGATTTATCTGTTTACCACATGTGCATTTTATCTAAATGAAAGAAAAAGGGCACAAAGGAATAAGCGTAATCGTAAAACTTATGTTTCCATGCATGGGGTAGGCTGAATAGTGGCCCCTAAGAGATGTCCGCGTCCTCAACCCTGGAACCTGTGAATATGTTACCTTACGTGGCATAAGAAACATTAGAGGTTATGACTGAGAATCTTGAAGTGGGGAGATTAGCCTGTATGATCCAGGTGGGCCTGATGCAAACACCATGGGCATTATAAGAGGGAGGCAGGAGAGTCAAAGGTGGAAGACAGAGATGGGATGACAGAAGCAGAGGTTGGAGTGATGCACTTTGAAGATAGAAGACGGGCCATGAGCCAAGTGACAAAGGTGGCCTCTGAAAGTTGGAAAAGACAAGGAAACTGATTCTCTCCCAGAACCTCCATAAGGAATGATGGTCTGCCAATACCTTGACTTTAGCCCAGTGAAACTGATTTCAAATGTCTGACCTCCAAAGCTGAAAGATAGTAAATTTGTACAGTGTTAAGCCACCAAGTTTGTGGCAATTTGTTACAGCAGCCATAGGAAACTAATATAGTGCATATTATTTGCCAAGGACAGAATTAAACCCTTATGATATGGTTAATCTCAATTCATCTTCATAAGTGCCCTTTGACTGAAGCTATTACCATTATTTATCCTCCTTTTATAAAGCAGGAAACTGAGACAGATCAAGTACCACCCCCAAGCAAAGAAAATAGTGAAGCCATGATTTGGGTCCAGACACTAACACTCGAGGTCTTCATCACTCAGCTTTGCCCCTGCCAAGCAGAAACGGCAGCTGGAGCACAGCCTCAGATGGCATGGTCTGGAGGAAACTGGAGTCCAGGCTGTGGCTTGTTCTGCCTGCAGAGCATTCCACCCAGCCCCCTCCAGGTCCCGTGGCCATGAGGAAGTGGTGTGGACTGAGAGGTTGCTGAAATAGCTTTGATGACAGGAGACTTCCTTCAGTGCAGTGTTGAGCATTGAAATATTTCACTTGTGCCCATTGGGCATCACATTTCACGAAGATGTGTTAACTAAGATCACTGAAATAAAACATAATTCTCTCCCCTGGATGTACTATACCGAGCTGCTGCTGTCACTGTGTGTGTGTGCATATGTGTGTGTGCATATGTGCAAGGTGGTGTTGGTGAGGGAGTTATACCAAGTTGTTGGCTCTGTCTCCCCTATTTCTTGGGGATCTAGCAGACTCATCTTTATTTATCAAATGGTAGTCAGAAGGTTGTACAACTAACCTTCACAGAGAATTTCATCAACAAACACAAAAGCCAAACCTGTGGCTCACTGGTTTCCTGAGCTCCACATTCAGCTCTACTGACAACAGGATGCTACTTGGCCAATTAACAGCAGGATGTGCACATATTTCTCTAAACCTTTTGGGTGGTTCTCCCAGTGAGTGGCTCTGCTCTCTATTTTTCCTTTGGACACAGAAGCATACTGGTTAAAACTAAGGGCTTTGGAGACTCAGAATACCAGCTCTACCTCTTACAAGCTGGGTAACCTTGGCAGGTCACAGACCTTCAATACATATTGAGTATCTGAAAGAGGATGTTTTCATTATCCCAAACCCAGAAGGTCAGATCTTTCAAGAACCTCAGAGGTCATCTAGTCCAATTTCCACATTTTATAGGTGGAGAAATTAGATTCAGAAAAGAGGCGAGTAGGCAAATGGCCAAGAGACAAGTGAGTGGCTAATCCAATTGTATGGATAACTGCCCTGTGTAAGGTTAGCTGATCATGAAAAAAATTAAAAAAAGCAGTACCATCAGAAGCATTTCTGGTAGACTATTAAGATCTATGATATGGTAATCATTTGAACAACTATGGTTATTAGTCTTATTTGCAGACACAGTGTTCAATTATGCAGACCACTCTAGTGCATCAGTCCCAGGGAACTTTCTTAGCCATCAGCACAGAGACAATTTTAAATGAATATATGCAGCATTTCCCCAGACCTACTCGTGATACCCAGGAGACCAACTACCCATGAAAAATCAGTTCACTACAAGAGGAGGCATGGGGGCTTTGAAGTACTTCTTATTGCATGGTAGTCAAGTAATTTTTTGAAAAAAGTAATTTTACTTTCTTGCATTCAGGGCTATCCAAAAGGCTATATGCAAATCTCCAAAAAAGCAGAGGTTAGTTTTTGTCTTTGTTCTAGAGAACATCCCTACATAGCAAAATCAAGAACTCATTGTCCATGGATCCTTCCTGATGCTCACAAACTGGTTTTATGTATTTATTTGCAACATGAAGGAAAGCAGACTTAAAATAACGTTATAAAAAGACCACAGCACATTGCACACATATATTTAATTCAGTAACTATGATGTATAGAAACGCTTCTGGAAACCTTAGAACTTAAACTATTAGGTCGGGTTTCAAACACCTGCCACTATTGGAGCAATAAAATATTTTTGTCCAAATTATTCTTCTCTGCCCCCTCCTCCTCTTCTCCTCCCCCTCCTCCTTCTCCTCCTTCTCCTCCCTCTCCTCCCTCTCCTCCCTCTCCTCCTTCCTCTTCTCCTCCTTTTCCTCCTTCTCATTCTTCTTCTTCTTTCTTCTTTCTTCTTCCTTCATTTCTGCCATGAACTGTGAGTAAGTCAGGACCCTCTGAGGAGTCTTAAATAAAACCACTGCCTCTTGGAAGCTTGTTAAAGTCTAGAGAGGTTTCACCGTAGCAAAAACTAAACAAGGCATCCTACCTAGAACTTGGGGAATTTTTTTCAAAGCGGTTCACACAAAACTGACTCAAGTGGTGCAAAGGGGTGGGGAATGGGAAGGTGGGTTAGCCTTTC
Source organism: Homo sapiens (assembly GCF_000001405.40). Taxonomy (NCBI): domain Eukaryota; kingdom Metazoa; phylum Chordata; class Mammalia; order Primates; family Hominidae; genus Homo; species Homo sapiens. The sequence continues at coordinate 59,711,847 of NC_000003.12, forward strand.
AGTTGGACAAGATGTACTCTGTTGATGAGTATGGCTCCAATAGAAGTCCAGAAGAAAAAGCTCTGGATTTGGCTTTGTATTTTAGTATAAAGGGTTTTCAGCTACCTGGGCTCAAAGACTGGAATGATGAGCTTTCCACACTCATGCAGTCAGCTGATGAAAAAGCAATGCAGCCAGAGCAAAAAAATTAGGAGGAACCTTTTCTTCAGGCTTCAGCCTTTTCTTAGCCTAGAAAGAATTTCATTCAGCAAAGAGCTCAGCAAAGAGTCCATGAATGGGAACTCTGGGATGCCCCTTGAAATAGATCTGGATATTCACACATAGCCTGTCCTTCGGGTAAGCCTACAAATAGATTTTAGAACCACCTTCACCATAAATATCATGTCTTTTTATGCCCTTACATTCTCTGTCCATCAGCCTCCTTTTTTGGCATACTGATTGCATTAGAAATCCTAGAGGTTTTCTTAGCAAGTGAAGAATGGTAGATAGGATGCTTCCCATTGCCCAGGAGCTTGTCTGCTTTATTGATATACTACTTAGTTTGAAAGTATCAGTTGACTTTTCAGTCCTGGGGAAAAGGCATGGGAATACTTGTTATTCTAAGGACAATTTAAAAATTTAGTCTTGCAGTTGTTCTGTCCTTTAGGAAAAGTCTTGTGCTCAAAGTCTGCCTCCTATTTAATATATGAAGGCAGCTGTGGGATAATGGATAAGAATGGTATACTGCTGTTAGAATGGAAAAGAATGCTATACTGCTGTTAGATTGTGAGTTTTTCACTTATTTATTTAGTACCTATTCTTACACAGAATTTACTATATGCCCCTTTCCTAGGTCTAGGGATATAGAATAAATATCAGAGTCATCAGGAGTGCTGTGGAGGAGGCTTACTTCAGTGAACAGAGGAAACCTTTTGGAAGAGGTAGAATTTCAGCTGAGACCCAAGCCTTGAGAGAAAATCACCTAAGACAAGAATAGAAACATTCCAGGCAGAGGAAAATAGCCAATGTAAAGGAACTGGGGCAGGATACAGCTTATTGTATTTGAGACTTAAAAAGGAAAAGCCATCAAATAAAATGGAAATGTGGCAAGGAAAGAAGAAAATGAGGCTTAAAGAAGTAGCAGGCACTAAGTCCTGGAAATGCTTATATGCCATAGACAGGCATGTGGGTTTTATTCAATGTATAGTAGAAAGTCATTAAAAGGTTTGAAGTAAGAAAATGATGAACTCTAGCTGACACCTCTCAGTAAGAATCTGGCTAATGTGTAGAGGACAAATTTAAGAAAACAAGCATAAAAAATGAGAGAGGGAACCAAGAGCTGCTACCAAAGTCCAGCAAGAAATGATGGTGGTTTGGCCCAGGGTGGTGTTACAGAAGCAAGAACAGAGAGATGGACGGAGAGAGAAAGGGACAGTTCCTGAATCTGGAGATATACTAAAGGTAAATGGTAGATTTGGTATGGGAGGAATCCCTATATGTTAGCACAGTGGATGGAATAGGTACTCAAAAGTTTTCTCAGAAGTGAACTAAATGTGGAGTTTAGGTTGAATTTCAACTTTTGCCCTTTATACACCTGTGGACAAATCCCTAACCTCTCTCAGTGAAGGTTGGAGGGGATTTCAGACCTCCAAGTCCATTGTAAGTGGGTGTCTTAGTCCACTTTCTGCTGCTATCACAGAATTGGATAATTTATAAAGAACAGAAATTTATTTGGCTCATGGTTCTGAAGGCTGGGAAGTCCAAGAGCATGGTACTGACATCTGGTGAGGGTCATCCCTTGGAGGAAGGGTAGAAGGTGGAAACAAGCACAGGAGACAGAGAGGGAAGTAGGCCAAACTTACCTTTTTATGAAGATCCCACTCCCATGATAACAGCATTAACTTCATTCAAAAGGACAGAGCCCTTGCGGCCTAATCACCTGTTAAAGTTACTACCTCTTAATACCATTTAAGTGGCAATTAAATTTCAATGTGAGTTTGGGCAAAAACAGTCAAACCAGAGCAGCAGCCAACCACCCAGATGGAGGGGTCATAATGAGGATGGACATTTCTGGAGATATCAGTGTCCATATTGGTTTTACCAAGGCTTCTTAGTATTCACTGAGCAGGACCTGGGCAGGTGACCAGGAAAACCTTGCATTTTATTTCTGCCTCCACCCTGACTTTGAGCTGAACTTACCGTGGACCCTTCACAGGGCAGAAAAGCAGCTAACTCTCCTTGACCTTCTGTGATTGACTTTGGATGAGTTTGTCCAGAAACTTGTCAGTTCAGATGCTCATTTGGCTGATGGACAAGAAGCTTGTGGGAACCAGGCTGCTACCACAGACCCAACTCAGGAAAATCAAAGAGCAGCCTGGGGGCTTTTAGAGGCTTACTCATCATAGAGAGCATTTGGGTATATGGTTAATTATATGCTTTATTACGGATGCTAATTTGTGCTGGAAGCTGATACAGTGTGTGTTAGCATTTAGCTTTAGTTAATGAAGTTGGGTTAAGCATTCAATATATCACTGAGCTCACAATTTCTCCTCTTGGCTAGAACAACATGGTGTGGAAAACTGAGGGGTGATGGTGTTGGGGAAGAGAAAACATTCACACAGTGAGTTCCTTCCCTGTAACTCTAGAATGTCTTCAGTGCTGCATTGTGCTTGCACCATTTTAATGTGAGATAATTTTCAGTGGGATAAAACCCTGGGCATGTGTTAAAAAAGAAGTATTGTTGTGATTACTTATTAGCATAATCAGAAAAAGCCCCTGTGTGGGCTCCAATGAGGCCAACTGGAGCCCTGTTGTTTCTTTTTTAAAAGTCTTCATATTTTAAGAAGAAGAAAAGGATGCTGACATAAAAATGCCTTCAGTGTGTTTCACTCAGCTCAGTACCTAAGTTAAATCATTGCTGATAACTTTAAAATACAGAGGATAAACAAACGTATGTTTGACCTTCGCAATAAAGAAAATCATGTATTTGCTCTGCTCCCATTGGTGTTAAGAGAAGCTACGTATGTAAATCTCTGACACATCAATGAAATAATAAACTCCTGGATGAGCCATTTAATTTCTCTTTCATAGCTACCTTTCACGTTTGGCTAAAAGAAGGGGGAGAAAACCAATGTCCTCGATAAAAACAACTTAGGTTGACCCTGATTCTTCGGCATTCTTCCTTAGAGCCCAGCTTCAGAGACTGGGAATTCAAGAGGGTCTGACAGGGAAGGAATTGAGCTGCCCACGTGGGGACTGTCACCAGAGACCCAAGCCTTGCAGAAAGGCTGGTTTGATAGCCTGCCTGAGTCCTTTTGCCTCCCTGCTTCCCCCATCCAAGGCTTCAGTTGTACCTATCTGTCCTCTACTGGGAATTAACACAAGCTCCAGCTGCTTTGGGATGTTTTATAGTCTTGATGGGTCGAATAAGAGGCTACTTTTCCTTGAGTACTTACTGTATTCGTCCATTTTCATACTGCTATGAAGAAATACCCGAGACTGGGTAATTTATAAAGAAAAAGAGGTTTAATGGACTTACAGGTCCACATGCCTGGGCAGGCCCCACAATCATGGTGTAAAGTGAAGGAAGATCAAAGGCATGGTGGTAGGCAAGAGAGCGTGTGCAGGGGAACTGCGCTTTATACAGCCATCAGATCTCATGAGACTTATTCACTATCATGAGAACAGCACAGGAAAACCCACCCCCATGATTCAATTTCCTCCCACTGGGTCCTCCCATGACACATGGGGATTATAGGAGCTACAATTCAAGATGAGATTTGGGTGGGGACATAGCAAAACCATATCACTTACTAAGTGCCAGACACTATGCTAGGCATTTGAATGCAATATCTCATTCAATCCTCGCAAGAGACTTACTGAGGCCAGTGTTCCTAGGACTCATGAATTGCAGATAAGAAAAATTGAAGGCACAGAGCTGGTAAGGGGAAGTGACTGTTAAGTCACACTGATTCCAAAGTTTAATGTTCTGAATGAAGAGCTGGCAAACTTTTTCTCTGAAGGGCATAGAATACATATTTTTGGCTCTGCTGGGCATTATGGTCTTTGTTGAAATAACTTACTTCTGTTGTTATATAGGGAAGGCAACTGCAGACAAAATACAAATAACATGTTCTTTCGGGGTAACCAGCCCCCAAGATTTCAACGTAGATTCTTTTCTATTTTCCCTAAGTGTCGGCCAGTCTGAGAAATAAAGGGAAAGAGTATAAAAGAGATAAATTTTAAAGCTGGGTGTCCGGGGGAGACATCACATGTCGGCAGGTTCCGTGATACCCCCTGAGCTGTAAAACCAGCAAGTTTTTATTAGCAATTTTCAAAGGGGAGGGAGTATACGAGTAGGGTGTGGGTCACAGAGATCACATGCTTCAAGGGCAACAAAATATCACAAGGCAAATGGGCAGGGCAAGGTCACAAGGCCAGGGCAAAACTAGAATTACTAATGAGGTTCCCGGTCCGCTGTGCACGCATTCTCATTGATAAACATCAGGAAACAGGGTTTGAGAGCAGACAACCAGTCTGACTAAAATTTGCTAGGCAGGAATTTCCTAATCCTAATAAGCCTGGTTTCATCCCTATTTACAACTGCATAAGGTAGACACTCCCAGAGTGGCCATTTTAGAGCCCCCCCGCACTACCCCCCTGGGAATGCATTCTTTTCCCAGGGCTGCTAATTATTAATATTCCTTACTGGGGAAAGAATTCAGCGATATTTCTCTTACCCGTTTTTGGCAATAAGAGAAATATGGCTCTGTCCTGCCTGGCTCCCAGGCAGTCAGACCTAATGGTTATCTCCCTTGTTCCCTGAACATCGCTGTTATCCTGTTCTTTTTTCAAGGTGCCCAGATTTCATATTGTTCAAACACACATGCTTTACGAACAATTTGTGCAGTTAACGCAATCATTACAGGGTCCTGAGGCAACATATATCCTCAGCTTACGAAGATGAGGGGATTAAGAGATTAAAGTAAAGACAGGCATAGGAAATTATAAGAGTATTGATTGGGGAAGTGATAAATGTCTATGAAATCTTCACAATTTATGTTCAGAGATTGCAGTAAAGACAGGCATAAGAAATTATAAAAGTATTAATTTGGAGAACTAACAAATGTCTATGAAATCTTCACAATTTATGTTCTGCCATGGCTTCAGCCAGTCACTCCATTCGGGGTCCTTGGTTTCCCACAACAATGTTCCACTAAAAATACATTTACAAAAAGTGTGTGTAGCCAGATATGGCTGTCAGGCCCTAGTTTGCCAACTTCTGTTCCTGAACGGTTGTCCTTTCTACTTCCCCAGGCTCTTTGGTGAAGAGTTCAGGTTTTGGAGTCTGACGGAGCCAGGCTCACATTCAGTCTCTGCCACTTGCTTGCTGTACTCTGTTGGAGAAATCTCTTAACCTCTGGGAGCTTGTTTTTTTCCATCTGTGAAATGGGCAGAAGACCAACCTAAGATGGTAGTTGTGAAAATCAAATGCAAAACATGTGTGAAGTGTGGAACACAGGGCTTAGCATTGGGATAGCTGTTGAATTGTGGACTCTGGCTACTGAGAGGTGGTTTAACAAGGGTGCTCCTGCCTCTGGGAAGAGAGCATAAACCTAGGCCTGTCTTCAGTGGCTGAGCAGCCCCAGACCAGGCAGAGGAAGGTTCTGGGTCCATGCAGACTTCAACTTTAGTCTTCAGTGTTCATTCCTTGTTTCTGCCCCATAAGAATACCTTGCTATCGGGGAACCAAAGTCAGGAGCTTACAATGGAAATTCAAGCCCCTAAGATCCCAGGGTACATGAGCTCCAATATTAAAGCACAAAGGAGGAAACCGAGACATTATTTAAATGCTTTTTAGAGTAAGAGATACAAAGAGTCCCTCACTGTTTTACACTTGTAAAGAGACCCCTGCTGGATTCCCAGGTATAATCTGCAGTAAAAAGCTACAGGGCTACAACAAGGCCTCTGGTTCCATTGGCTCACTTCCTTTTTCCCCATAGCCTCTGGCATAAAAACGCAAACCAGAGAGACACTTTAGAATTCACTTGTGCAGTGCTTTTTCTGTCAATCAGCTGCTGACAGTGGAAACACAAAGAAGGTGACATGACACAATTGCTGTTAATATCTATACTTCTGATATGATCATCCTAGAGGAACCACAGTCATCAGCTCTCTGCTCATGGCTCCCCAGGGCACAGAACACTAGGCAATTAAATGACAGAATTAGGTTGAAATAATGCTAATGGTGCTGATGAGAATGCAAAGGACCAGGCAGGCTGGGGTCCTAGCTCAGCCTCAGGCAGGCAGAGTAAGTAGGGTTGGGTGTGGATTGTTTTGCATAACAATAGTGTTATGCACATTTATCTTTTTTCCTTTACTGAGACAAGCAGAGAATGATTCATTCCTTTCTCTCCTATCATTTGCTTAGTAGATTAAACTCAAAAAAGCATTTATGTATTAGCTCACATAACTGAAAAATCCAGAGGTCTATTGTCCTCAGGTGTAGCTGGATCCAGGGGCTCAAACCATGTTGTCAGGACTTAGTGTCTCTCTCTGTCTTCTCTGTATCTCTCTATATATCTCCTTCACTCCTGGAATAGATGGAAAAAAAGTAGAAGTTCCCAAGGGCAATAAAATCTTATAACTAAGGTGTAGAGTTAGGTAAGGGTGGTCAGAAAAATTTGCAGGCTAAGGAAATGTTTGAGTTTGAAAATACAGCCTCCAAGGAGGGGTCCGAGGCAATGTGTTTTGACCTGTGTCCTCTGAACACCTACAGAAGAGTCTTCTGGGATTGGTTGCCATGAGACAGTTTCCTGGGCTTCACCTCAGACCTGCAGAATGTGATTCCCAGGAAAAGGCCTTGAGCTATGCATTTCTTTAGCAAGTTCCCTCCAAATCTTGTGCACACTTCTGTTTAGAACAGTCTTAGGTGTAGCAGCCTCTCATTCTGCACAATTAATAAAATGTAATTTAAGGATATACACTGAAGCTAGACCAGGAAATATATAATATGTAGGGTGGATACTTTAAAAAAAAAAATCAGAACACTGACTCTGGAAGGCTGTTGGATCCTCCTGCTCTCCAATCCCTTGAGTAACATACATAGGCAATCCTGACTTGCAGGTGAATTCTGCTGTAGGCAGAGAGCCTCCCTGCGACCTTAGAAGGAGGCAATAACTTCTTTTTCATGCAACAGTGCAGAAAGTATGGAAATCTTCTGAAAATCCCATCTCTAGCTGGCTTTTGCTCTGTATGATTTACTTAGAGAAAAGAGCCTGGTAGATTCTAAGGCCCCAGGACATTTCCATGAGCTCCTTTCATCCATCATTCCAGTCTTGGAAAGGGAAAGTGCGATGTCCCTAATTCTTGTGCTTCTCGATCAATCTTCCTGCTACACCAGATCCTAACATGGGATGTGTAGTCTACAGAGAGATGGCTGGGTCATCATTCTTGCTCTGCCCCTTACAAGCTGAGTGACCTTGAACAAGTTATTTAACATCTCTGAGTCTTAGTTTTCTCCTAGGCAGCACCTGTCTCACAAGGTGGTGGATGAAACTAAGAGAGAATGCATGGGAGTGAGTCGGAGGCATTTAGCATAATGTCTGGCACCTAATAAGTGCTCAATAAATATCAGCTACTATGATTTGGTTAGTTCTTATTAGTACTTAATCTGTGATGTGCGCAGAGAGGAGAAATAAGATTTTAATATAAGAACGCTAGCAGGCTTTCACATCTTTTGCAAGCCAATAGAGCCTTGGGGAAAGGTTTGGCTTCTATTAGTTTCTCCAATGGCTTTAATTATATATAATTACACAGAAGGGATAATGAATACTTAGTTCATTTCCATTAGGGTCTCAACAGAGCTTGGTAGTTAAGACCATGACCTTTGGTGCAAAACAGATTTGGGTGTGAGCCTGGCTCTGTCACTAGTTCTATGATTTTGGGTGAGTTACTGAACCTCTCTAGCCTCAATTTACTAGTCTATAAAATGGGAAGACTAATAGGATTCATATCACTGTGTTCATTGGAGGTAAAGTATCTGGCATAATGTTTGCTCCATGGAGAATGCCCCACCACCACCACCTCATTATGTTCATAGATCCTTGTCAACGGAGGAATCTCTGTATTTCCTATACTTTACAAAAAGACAATTCTGTTGGGTTTGTCTTTTTTCCCACTTAAAATGGCTGTGCAAAGTATTGTGAATATGTTGTAAAACTTCTTACTCTGTACACTAATTACATCACCAAAGAAGGGCTCTACTCAGCTAGAAAGGAGAAGCTTGGATTAGAAGAATGGAAGAAGGGGATTTTAATGCCTTTCTAAGGTTACTGAAGGCTCTGAATATTCTAGGATCCTTGGAGCTGAGGGTAAGGAGTGCATTATGAAACCCTCTTTGCCGGATTTATTTCTCTTCCTTCTCTTTGTCTCCTTTCTTTCTTTCCCCTTCTCTTCTCTTCCCTTTTCTTTTGTTAGATGGATATGGAGATGGAGACATAGTGATCTCTCACCACCCTTGAAATTGGGCCGTCCCTTTTTTTTTTTTCCCCCTTTTTTTTTCTATAGCAGATGATCCTAAAACACAAAAGTACCCATTTGTTTCTTCCTGCTTATTCATTCTTGCAACAGAATAACAGGAGGATAGAGGAAGGCACTATCAAAGGCATTTCTGTTCAAAAGAAAAACTCCTCAATGATCACTATTACTGTTGGAAGCTCCTTTTGCTTCTTTGACAGCATAATCACTTTTCTCTCCTTGATTTTTGCCTGTATCCCTGAGGCACCTGAACATGAGATAGTTTTCCCTTTTTCAAGATGTGTCTGATGCACAGAAAGCAGCAGACGAAGCTCATGATGGCCCTGGGGCATAGCTAGGGCAGTGGCAGGCCATGCACAGCTGGGTCTGTGTTGTCCCTGGTGGGAGGCATATCACTACTGGAGCACAGGAGGATTTTGGGAGGCCCATGGACAAAGCATCCAAAAAACCATCAGATCACAAGGTGAGAAGTTATTCCCTCTCCACTTCTCTCTCCAGCCTCAAGAGCAGGACTCTGTCTGGTGCTAGGGTATTTTAACGCCTCTCTAACACTTACTAATGTCCCTTTGTAATAAAGTGAGAAGGCAAGCCTCTGAACAGGGCTTTCAGCAGGCAATGGTACCCAGCTAGAATTTAATAACTTTTTTTCATGATATTCATGAAATATAGCTTCTATATTTATAGCAAGGGATACTGGTTTTCTATTTGCTGCAGTAATTATGAGTTTCCTTTTCATTGAACAATGTAAGAAACATAAAAATTAAATGAAAACATAATAAGTAAACAACATAGGTATTATGTAGATATGACAAAAGTGTTGAAGGTTGGGAAGACTGAGGAGGACTGAAGTTTGGGAAAACCACCCTTGGTACAGTGACAGACCTTTTCCCTTTTGGGCTTACTTCCAAAGTAGATCTACCTTCCCTTGAAGCCAGATGTCTGGATGCATTAGTTTGTGAGATTCTCTATGAATGCACAAAGACAAGATCTCCACAGGGATAAAGAGCGTGCTAGGGAACATTTTAGCTTTAGTCTTCAGTCTTTAAGTAGCTTTATGAGAGAAAGAGGCCCACTAGGTTCTTTCCATAGGAGAAAGTTCAGGGCAGCAGGGAGATGGGGCTTTAGAGTTTGGTTGACTTGGGTTTTCATCTCAGCCAGAAAGGTACCATTGTGGACTCTGGATTTATATCATCTGGATTCAAATGAAAGCTCTGACACTTACTAACTGGGTAACCAAGGGAAAGTTACACATATTTCATGCTGTAATTCTCCTATCTGTAAAATGGGATAATAATAGAATTTACTTAGAGGGTTGTTGTGAAGATTGAATAAGTTAATAATGTAGACTACCTAGAAAAAATGTCTAGAACATAATCTCATGGTAAGTGCTCAATAAATATTAGGTGCTATTATTGTCATTGTCATCATCCACCACCACCACCACCACTACCACCACCACCACGGGTGACATTCTCTCTGAGTCTCATGTTCCTTTGTTTGTAAAATCAGACTGGTACTACCTGCTTCAAAATGTCATTGGTGCATGAGGCTGATGCACAATAAATGCCAGCTCCCTACCATTCACTTTCCCTAAAAATGTGAAACTTGTAAGGTGATGCAAACTTCCAAAGCTATGGGTCTTTAGCCTTTGAACCTTACTGAATTGTGAATGAAGCACCACCTCAATGGGGTTTATGAGTGCTGAGGCACCTATACACACCCATGCATGGAGTTTCTGGCGATGCTTGATATCCAGTTGTGGGAGACATACATGAATGTCAGTTGTTCAAAATGGCACTTTTGGCTTTTAAGGAAGTTCATTGACCAATCAAGCCCAGCAACCGTAACCATAGATCCAGCTGGAGCATGGATGAGCTCCTTTTCCCTGAAGATAGATACATTAAAGTCTTTAGCAGCTAAGACCAATTTTAAACCCATGCTACTTCTCTCGGCTGAAGTGAGCACCATTTTATTAAGTTGGTAGTGAGCTGTAGCTGCCCCACTTTCTTATTGTTCATCTACTATTGATCTAAACTAATCACTTAATTAGCCCAGACAAGAAGGCTTCTGCAGTGTTAAATAACTCTAAAAACCTACTGGAAATGCTTGAGTGGCCTGATTGGATTTAACTTGCAGTTCATTACTTTTAGACTAAGATATGTTAAATACAGGGCCTGAAAAACAGCTAGATTCTGCATTAAGAACACATTTTATTTACTTAAAAAAAAATATTCCTTTAGGCCAGTGGTTTTCAAAGTGTGGGCCCTGACCCACCAGTATCCATGTTACCTGGGAACTTGTCAGTCCCTGGACCCACTGCAGACCTACTGAATCTGAAACTCTGGAAGTAGGGCCTTGCAATCAGTTTTAACAAGTATTTAAATATCAGTATCTTGGTGATACTGATGGAGGCGTAGGCATGAGAACCACTGCTTTAGACTGTCTCACAAAGTTATGGACTTATTTTATTCTCTCTGGCAGCAAGAAGAAAAAGAATAAAGGAGAAAAAAAGAAAAAGGGTGAGGGGCAAGAAAGAAAATTAGAAAAGTGGGAGACCTGAGCAACCTGGATAGGAAGTTCATTTACTGAAGTGTGACCCTGGACCAGCAGCACGGGACTCTTTTAGAATCTGGGAGCACTATTTGAAATCCTTCCTTAGGAACCAGGCATATCAAAGGGAGGTGTTCACCCCAAGCCAGGGTGATGAGACAAAATGCTCAGAGAGTGAGCAAAATGCTGCTGTGCTGTCAGAAAATGAGAGGATAGTGTGACATTTGCAGAGTGAACTAAAGAATCCAGGAAAGTCCCATTAGCTCTCCAAGGCCTTCCCTGAGATGGGCACACAGAAGTTATCCAGTAAATGCTCATTGAACTGACACAGATTGAGACTTAGTGGCCTAAACTGCTTCACCTGCAAATTCTCATCTGAGAAAGTAGGTATGTTTATTGGGCCTGGTCTGTAGGGAAAAACAAGAGTTAGCCCACAGGACATCTACTGTTCTCACTCTTCCTGCCTTCTGAAAAACAGCTTGGCATAGGGAAAAGGGCAAGGAGTTCATATATAGACAGGCATTCTTATTTGTGTCTGACCTGAAGCAAGTTACCAACTCTTTAAGCTTTAGTTTCCTTGTCTATAGAAGGAGAGTAACAGTTACTTACAGATGATTTTGCTCAGCACTGAGTACCAGCACCTAGTACATATAGTATTTGGCATACAATAGGTGTTGCATAAATATTTGTTAAATAAAAAATTTTTAAAGGGAGGAAGAAAGGAAGGAAACATAGAATTTTTAAAGATTTAAATAATGCTTTGAAAATTCTTAGCATAATGACTGGTACACAGATATTCTTCAGTAGTATCCAGTATTATGATGAGGAGGATCCAATGTGATGAGGAAGAATAGATTTAGAAAAAAATCTTCTCAGTGCCTAGAATAGACTCTATATTCTTACTGAAACTAGGCCTGCTCTTCCCATTCCTCCACGGTTACTCTCTTAACCTGTTCAGGCTGCTATAACAAAATACCATAAACTAGGTGGCTTATAAACAACAGAAAATTATTTCTCACAGTTCTGGAGGCTGGGAAGCCCAAGATCATGGCGCCGGCAGATTACTTGTCTGGTGAGCACCTGTTTCCTGGTTCATAGACAGTGCCTTCTCACTGTGTCCTCACATGGTGGAAGGGGCAAGGCCACTTGCTGAGGCTCTTTTTTAAGAGACTCTGCCATCATGGTCTTATCACTTCCCACAGGCCCTTGCTCCTCTTAACACTCTCATTGGTGATTAGGTTTTAACATGGAATTACGGAGGGGAGACAAGCAGACCTTAGCAGTCTCTCCACTTTCCAGTTATGCCTTCAGGGCTGCCTCACCGCTGTTCCATGCATAGTAGGTAATAAAGATATTTTCAGGGCCTAAGTGAACTACATGGATGTGACAATGATTGAGGGTTGTTGGTCGTAGTCATAGTCATTCCAGGTAGGAATGACCCAGGTTTTATTCTGATAACTAAGAAGTTACATCTTAATTATTTTACATTGTTTTATTTCCAGGTTAGGTAATCATTAACCCTTTGATTAACACATTTGCTTTAGGGTAAAAGTAAACATGTTTAGAAACATCTCTCCCCGCCCCCACCAATATGTTATTATCGTATACAAATGCCATTATTTGCACTCACTTACATGACTAAAGGGAGGTTTTCACCTTGAGAATATTTGGATATCCCTTGCTTTTCTTTAACCATTCCTCCCCCTTTGTCTTTGTACATCAGCACAAAGGAGCAACTTGCCAACTCAATAGACTTAGGAGAGAAATTGGGAATGGTAAATTTGCTGAGAGTCCATGGTTACCAGTTCCTCTTCAAAGAACATGGGTTTTGGGGTTACACCCGAGTTCAAATCTCACATCCACCCATTACCAACTTTGTTACCTTGAGCAAGTTACTAAATCTTTCTAGGCATAAATTCCCATGTACATTGTATGAGGATCTTGTATAAATTAAATGACATCATTTACAAATGTATCTACAGCAAATATTCAACAAAAGTTCATTTCCTTCTTACCAGCATGTTGAGCAAGGACATTCAACAGATGGAGACACCCAGAAGAAGGAGGTACATGCCCAGACCTTAGTCTGGAGGTTGGATTCAGGGAAGGATGAATGGTAGAGGTTTCTGTTCAGTAAGACACATGGCTCCTGGTCATCATCTGAAAGAATTGGTGGGGGTTTAAAAGTATTGTTCTATAGCTTTGGGTCAACTGTGATGAAAGCAATCATGGAGGAAGATCCTTTAAACCTCCTTGCCAAAAATGGAGGATCATTCTTTTCCACCATGTGGATTTTGGTGACAGGTATAACAATAAAAATAGGAATGAGCTGAGAGTTGGAAAAGTGAGAACTCAAAGATAACGGGAGAATCTTCTTCGGAATGTCATCAGTACAAGGAGGGAGTAGCTGCCATGCTGTTTCTGTCTAACACAACAGACATGTGATAATGGAAATGGATGTTCATGCACACATCCAGTTACCCACTGCTCACCATAAAATTAGCAACACTCCAGCCCCTGTGCAAAAGAGAAACAGAGTAGTGGGTATTTGTGTCCAAGAAGAAATCAGAGAGAAGAAGGATTCTGCCAGGGACATTGTTCTGAATTAAGCATTGGTTTTCATTGCTTTTGGTATTTTCTCCATGTAGACCAGACCCACTTTAGCAAACAGAGTCATCATTGGCTTTTCCCATATTGGTATCATTAGGCTTTGTTTAGTTCTTGAAACTGCTACAGGAAAGGAGTCCCCATCCAGACCCGAAGAGAGGGTTCTTGGATCTCACACAGTAAAGAATTCAGGGCGAGTCCATAAAGTGAAAGCAATTTTATTAGGAAAGTAAAGGAATAAAGAATGGTTACTCCACAGAGCAGCCCTGAGGGCTGCTGGTTGCCCATTTTTATGGGTATTTCTTGATGATATGCTAAACAAGGGGTGGATTATTCATGCCTCCCCTTTTTAGACCTTATAGGGAACCTTCCTGACATTGCCATGGCATTTGTAAACTGTCATGGCACTGGTGGGAGTTAGCAGTGAGGACAACCAGAGGTCGCCCTCATTACCATCTTGGCTTTGGTGGGTTTTAGCCGGCTTCCTTACTGCAACCTGTGTTTATCAGCAAGATCTTTATAACCTGTATCTTGTGCCGACCTCCAATCTCATCCTGTAACTTAGAGTGCCTTAACCGTCTGGGAATGCAGCCCAGTAGGTTTCAGCCTCATTTTACCCTATATAATAATGATCTCCTACTCAAGATGGAGTTGCTGTGGTTCACACACCTCTGAAAAAACATCTCCTAAAAGGCTCTGGAAACAGTTCGTGTTTACAATGGCCTCATGGGGCCAGCATGGAAATAGAGTGTTTCAGGCTGGCCTTCCCCACCTGCAGCCTCCACAGCCTCCAAACCATGCCAGAATTACAGGAAGAGCCTGAAATGAGAAAACCCATGGATTGACAGGTAGGAATGAAACTCTCCCAGCATTTTAGTTGCATAGACAAAATGGAAGAAAAACTGCAAGTAGGCTTGCAATATGACTCAACTAACTGTTCCACGTGACCAAGCGTTGATTCATTTCTTCAATTCAAAGTCAAACAGTGAAATGTGGAATTAGCCCTGAAGGCAGGGGCCAGGCATTCTGGTGACATTTGCCATTACAACCTGAGAGAGGTTCAGTGTTTGACATCCTGGGTATAAGAATAATTGTTACTTTTAGGGCTGTTCTCTGGATCACAAATCAGTAACCCTCTAGCAGAGGGAAGATTACCAGTACTTGCCATCTTCTCTCACTGGCATTTTCTCTACTGAGCACATCCTGTTCAGACTGCAGTGCTTTTTACCTTCAGCTAAGAGCGAAACATCCTAGACCAGGCTTGGGAACTAGAGGGCTTTCCAGTCTCAAGGAAGCAGCAACAATCATTCCCAATAAACAGGGCTTTGGCAAAGGCATATAATAAGATTTTAAACAAGATGCCGTTGAGTTCTACTCAGTCTGTTGTCTTATACCAGATCAAAACCATCAAATGCCAAATGCCTGAAGTCGCTGTTTCAATGTTGGCTCCCAAAAATGATAAGTCTGCGTCAAATCCCTGAAATCTGTGTATGTGACATTATTTGGAAAAAGGGAGTTTGCAGATGTAATGAAGTTAAAGATATTGAGATCGTCAGCCTGGATTATTCAAGCGGGCCCTGAATCCAATGACAAGTGTTCTGATAAGAGTCACCCAGAGGAGAGAGACACAGAGCGAGGAGGAGGAAAGTGAGATCAGACAGAGACCAGCAAGATTCCAAGGAACGCCAAGGATCATCAGCCACCAGCAGCAGCCAGGAAAGAGGCATGGAATGGGTGCTGCCCCAGAACCTCTGGAGGGAGCATGACCTTGCTGGATTTTGGATTTCTGGTCTCCAAAACTGTGAGAGAATAAATTTCCATTTGTGGTCATTTGCTATGGCAGACACAGGAAACTGATACACCACATGTTGGTGATGGTACTGGGGTCTGGGAGTGGCCCATAAGCCTAAAGAGATTCTCAGAGTCTTTGTGTGAAAAAGAAAAATCCTGGTTTTGTTCTTTGTAGCAGTGCTATAGATGTGTTTTATTTTCCTGTGTAAACTCTAATCCCCACATTTATTAATATAACAGAGGAAAGAAAGAGCCCACTACCGTCATCTTTCCTTGAAGAAATTGACTATTGTGGGCAAGGGGCTTGCTTCCTAACACTCCTTACACTCCTGCCACTCAAACAGCTCAGTCTGAAAGGTCCCATCACTGCATTACATGCTTGTTTTGTTCCTGAAGCTGATTTTGCCATTTTAAGCTCTTGAGCTTTGCTTCTCTGCACTGAAGGCAGGAAGAGAATATAACCGAGGAAAGGTTGTACATTTCTTGTTCTATTATGTTACCTACCAAAATGGAAACTCTAAATCTTAGCCTCAACAAACCTTTGGTTTATAGGAAGCACACTAGTTCTAAGAGATCCACTTCCTGAGTTATGCCTTTCAGAGACTGTAAGATATCAATTTTTAGGTTAGCACAGGCTAAATATTTTAACTACCATTTTATTTCCATCCAGGCCAAGGGACAATTTAGGAAAGGTTCTATTCTGAGTACATAGCCAAGGAAGTGTGGAAAGGCTGTTGATGCCATTGTTTAGAAGTTAGCCTGTCATTCATCATGATTGAAACATAACCCCAATGGCTTCCACAAGTGTAATAAAACGCTTTGCAAAAGGTTGCAGAATTGCAGGATGTAATAAAATCTGCTTAGCTTCATTTCCAATGCCGCAGAGTTCTAGAGAACGAGACCCATTTCCTTATGCCTTGGGATTTGTTCAAGTTACTTTCATGCCTGAAAATGACGGAACATAAAAACAGACATTTAGTTAGAATCAATAGTATCTTTTGAGTCATGGCAATAAATAAAATATAAGTTTGTTTACTGCTAATCTTTTAGATTGCCATTAGCATTTTACAAGAGGCCCTGTTGATAGGGATGAATTATATAAAATAGATGGACTGCAGCCCTGCTGATGCCTGCAGTCACTCTGGATTCTCACATTTCCTGTGGTCTCTGGCTACTGCCCTTGTCACCAGAGGTCAGTGGCATGGTCTCTTAAGAGTGTCTGTTATAGACACAAATCTTACCTAGAAACAAGCCAATTCAGGTCTGTATTAATTAGGTGAGGACAGGATCCCAAACAGCCATTGTCAGAATTGCCTGCTGACCACTTGTTAAAAACACAGATTTCTGGGCTCTGTCTCCTACATGATGACTTAGCAGGTCTGGATAAAGGCCCAGGAATCTGTGTTTCTTGGCAGGTTCTCCACATCTGAGTTGTTCAACCCCTGGATGTTGAGGTGCTGTGCAGGAGGCAGAATGAGCTTTGCTTCAAGGCCAAGACACCTTAAGGTCAAGTATCTTAGGCCAGGCCTAAAACAATTTCCACTCATAAAATGGGAACATAGGGAGAAAGTCCTTTAATCTTATTTGGCAAGAAAATGAGGAAATCCCTTGGTGGTATAGTGGTATGGTGGCCCAGCTCCACATCCAGGAGAGCATGGGAATGCATCTCAGGGCTCTGCCCCCTCCACCCCCGTTGGAGCCTTAGCTTCCGGGCCTTAATCATTGGTATCAGTAAAATGAGTGTGGTGAGGAACTGGGCTAGCTGGGACTGCTAGTTTGGAGGACATTGAAAGCAGAGTATCATAGGAAAGAGAAAATTAAATAGGAGGGAAAAAAAATGAGGACTTCCTGGGTTATATTTTATAAAATTTGTGAAAGATTGCAAAAAGGGTGCTAGGAGATGTTTGGGGTAGCTCCTGAGGACTAAGCTCTGATTTTTTAAATCTTGCCCAAATTCCTCCTATCTAAGGGGTCTGGGGAGTCATGCCCTACAAACCACAAATTCTCATCAGATGGGTTTTATTTAATCCTATATATTATGACTTACTTTCCAGTATGACTCTGGCATAACATTATGTGATAAAGAAGAAAATCAAAATATTTTACCCCAAAACATGTTTCTTTGCCATATCTTGAAATGGCCCTGTAAGGCCGTCCTTTGTGGGGGGAAATGTGCATCTGTAAAGAATCTCTCTTAACGTAGCTAGATCTTTTTATTCCAAGCCCTCCCAATCCTGAGGAGATTAACTGAGAGTCTAGCATCTTTTAAAAGTCTGAATAGGAACATTTGTCATCTGTTCTAAGGGCAGCCACTATGAGACTGAGTCTCCACAATCTTTTATCTTCACCTGAACATTTCCTTTCTATTAATCCCAGGTCTTTAGACAAACTCAACCAGTTGTCAACCAGAAAATGTATAAATTTACCTATAGCCTGGAAGCTTCCCTCCTCATCCCCCACACCAATTGTCCCGTCTTTTTGAACCAAATGAATGTATTTCTCGAATGTATTTTGATTGATGTCTCATGCCTCCCTAAAATGTATACAACCAAGCTACACCCCAACCACCTTGGGCATATGTTCTCAGGGCCTCCTGAGGGCTGTGTCTTGGGCCATGGTCACTCATGTCTGGCTCAGAATAAATCTTTTTTAATATTTTAGAGAGTTTGACTTTTTGTTAACACTACCGTGGGTGTGATACATGAGGAGATTTTTGAGAAACATTGCTGAGAAACACAAATGGACTTCTCCTACGTCGTTTTCAAGGGATTTCAGTGAAGATTTAAATGGCTTTTCACGTACTGTTTGCTGTTTGTAGCTTTGAGTGCAGTGCTACAGGCACAGACCTGGGAAGCTGAGCTGAGAAGACCCAGCTCCCTGCTCATTTCCATTCAGAACCCAAGGTGAGTCCATTCAACCCCACCTTGGTGAGGACACACCAGCACCCACTTCAGCCTGTGGTATATGGAGATTTTTCTGTGTCTAGTACTACACTTTTCTTACAAATTAGTAACAAAGTCAGAGGTCAAAAGGCAGGAGATCCCTTTGGAATTCTAGTTTATCCCTTCTGGGATCCAGAACACAGAGGCCGAATCACTTCTGCTTCTAACCTGCATCAGGAGGCCTCATATCTGAGCTCAGGATCCCTTCCCTGCGGGCCCACTGAGGTCTGTAAGTGAGGGCTGGAGAGTGGGGTATAGGTACCAGTCAGTTTGCTGCCCCGGACAAGGGGATCTGTCTCATTCCTATATGGCGTTGGGATGATCCACTATTGTGCCAGCACCATCCACCTTGTCTGGAGATACAGGTCATCTTCTGATCATTTATCATGGCCCTTGTCCTTGAATAATTATTGACTTTGAGTCAGAAGAACCTGCGCAGGCCTGAAAATGGATGTGCCCTTTCTTTTCCTCTGTCTCACTTGTCTTGGGCAGATTTATGTCTTAGGAGAAGTTTCCCTCGGTTCTATTTTTGGTCTTCTGAACACTGTGGCCCTGTGTTCCTTCCCACCCTGACTCTGTCCAGCACCAACTCTGTAATTTCTGAATCTCTGTGGATGCCTCTATCCGTCCCTGAGGAGGCCTCTATTAGTCTACTTGCAATGCTTCTGTGACTCCTCTGTCACAGCTTTGGCCTGGCTTCTTAAAGCTCTGTCTTCAGCCGTTTCATTTCCCCAACTAGCCTGGAAGATTATGGGAAGCAGAGTCTGCCTTTCATTCTCAGGTATACTGGGTGAGCATGGCAGACTTTGAGGAGTGAAGGTTTGAGTCTGAAGTCCACTGCATCATTTACCAGCTGTGTGTCTCTAGGCAATGTGAACACACCTCGTGGGGGCTGTGGAGAGAACTAGGTGGGTTAATATACAGACAGCACTTAAGGCCCTGTCTAGCACATTATTATGCTCACTCAATGAGAGCCTCTGTTATTATCATTATCATCACTAATTCTTTGTGTTGCATTGCCAGCAAGACTCATGAGCGTCAAAGCAAGTGAAAAGTCGGTACTCAGTGACACTGTGGGATTCTACCTCATTACTGGAAAGGGTGCATCTGGGCAGTGCATGTGTCTTCCCATCTTCTAGTTGGATTCCTCTCACAATGTGTCCCTCTTCATATAGCTAGTTTCCTTCCATATTGCCTTTAGAATAGACAGTGGTGCTGTTCAGTGTTATCTGGGCATAGCAACAAAAGGATTTACTGAAATGCAATTAAGCCTCTGAGGAGGTACAAAAAGGGCCCTGAAAACAGGTGAATGGCTATTTCCTCAAGGTGCTTCCAACCCATTTTGGGAAATACTTCACACAGAGTGAAGCAAGGTGGTAGATAACTAGGGGTCAGGTGAGCAGTCTAGAATATGTGGGCTTCTGGAGTTCAGGGGACAAAGAGGGCAGGAGCCCAGAATGCCAAAAGTTTGATCTCTATGAACATGTATGCTTTTCAATTTTCAATTATTTCTAAGTTCCTAATCAACATAGTAGCAGATTACCTGCCCCTTACCTCCAGCCCTAAAAGCATGCTTGAGAAATAGTAGGTAGCGAGTACTGTGAAACTCATTATAAGGGGTTTGTTTTGTAGAGTGGTGAATGACGGCAGAAGGGGAGCTCTGTTGCTGTGGACAGTAGAGGAGATTTTTGGAGACGGCAGCTTTGAATTTGGAAGAAAAATGAAAATGTCTGTTAGAGGAACTTGAGGTTTTGTGTAAGATTTGCTGAGGGTTGTGGGCTGTAACTTTCTCATCCATCTCTGCCTGAAACCTACAGGAAAGTCTTTGAGGTTGGCTAGTGTTTTATTGTATGACTTAGTGGGCACAGAGTGAAAGCAGAAGTATCAAAGGGGTCCCAGCTTGCGTCCGAAGTGAACCACCCTGACTTCTCCTTGAACGTGTGGGTGTCATCAGGCCCAGTCTTGTCTTTCCCCACCACCTCTGTGTGCATTCAAGGCAACACTCACCTTTTTACCAAGCGTGTAGGTGAAGAAGGCTCCCACCTGTTACTCCTTTCCCCTAGACTTTCACAGACCTAGAGGAAGACAGCCTCTTCTGCTTTGAAGCTAAGAAAATAGATGAATGTCTGTGTCTTCTGTGGGTGAACCTGGATGGGAGCTGCCTATAGTCAATCTAACTTGTTAGGGTGAAAAAGGAAGGGTTGACACCACAAAAACTCAGCAGGCCTCCGCCTTCCTCTTGTTTCTTTAAGGTAGTGTTTCTCAACTTGGCTGCTCATTGGAATCACCTGGGAAGGTAAAAAAACCAAAATGCTATGCTGCCATCCTGCCCCCAGAGCTTCTCAGCTAACTGGTCTGGAGCGTGGCCTGCGCCTCTGGAGGGGAATCATTGACTGTGAGGGTGATGAGCTGCAAGCCTGCCTCCACTTTGACTCTGGTACAAAATATGCTCCCAATACATTGCCCCAAGTGCGCCGAAGCAATTCAGATGCAGTAGGTTTCAGTTGCAAATATTCAACTTGACTAAGGTTGTCTGTTTTTAGTACTCATAGCAGAACCATGTGAATAGGACAGTTGTCCTTTGAGGATGTTGCTCCTTGCCCACGAGGATTAATAAAATGGCCTGCTTTGATTCTATGCAAGGATTGACACAGACATGGTTTTAAAATGAAGTAACCACACTTACCAATAAATCAGTCTGGAGACACAAACATAAAACTCCTCTTTAACAACTCTCTTCTTTTAAAGTACCTGTTGTTCATTCCTAGCAGGCTAGAGATACAGGCTGAGGCAGCCACAGAAAGTCATTCTGCTCACACCAAAAACAAGGTGAGCAATTTTCCAAGGGCAGGCACCCCTGACCTCTGCTTTTCAGCTTTTTCTTAATAAACTGGTCTCAGAAATTGGACCACAGAAGCTGCTGGCGGCAATCTCTTCTAGTAAGTGGGTAAAGGGAAGCTGAGGGAGAAATGGCAAGGGTCAGAGAGCCACTCTGATGAGTATCTCTGAGGTGATGCAATTATACTTCCATCTAGAGATAGGAAGGGGTTACCCCCAAGTGCAGCAGCCCCAAACCCAGCAGTGTGAAGTTGGACTTAGGAGAACAGAGCGACTGCCCAGTGAGCTTTGTAACTCAAAACTATTCCTCCATGGCACGTTGTACATGTTCATGAATAACACAACTTCCTGCAGTGAGAAAGTGTGAATTCCTGTTAAGCAGGGTCTGTTTTCCAATCCACTGTGCTTGCCTCCTTGAGGGCACAGAATGGATAAAACAGCCCCACACACCATGTGGCCAGTCCCCTCAAGAGGAGAGGTGCAGACAGACATCTGTTTTGCAGTGAGGTGGAGGTTCACTGGTAACTGTGGTTTATAGAGCGACCACAGACTCAGCCTTGTCAGTTTTCCCTTTGAAGGGATAAACTCAACATGAAGAACAGCAAACGCAAGAAAGATGATCCCAAAGCTTGTGCTTGGGAGTGAGTGACCGCAGCCTGCAGGGCTTACCATCTCCTGGCAAATGAAACTGCTTATACTTAGGTGCAGAACCAGGCAAATCCACCCTTAGAAAACTTCCACTACCACTGGGGCATTCCTTTGCTGCCCACTTGAAGCCAGCAAGGCTTCTGTCTTCTGTGTTTGCTCCATTTACATCCACTTCCCCGTGCCTGTGCATAGCCAGGACGCCCCTCTCAACAACTTTCTCCTCCCGATGGGGCTTATGAAAGACGGGCTTTATTTGTCTTAAAATCTTCAGCTGATATTGCTCTTCTCTACAACACAGTTGAAATGAAAAAGGATTACTTTATATTTACTTGCATTTTTCGTGAGAAAAACTAATTTTGAGAAAGAAAGTCCCTACAGTGTGAAACAGTTTCCCTTCCTTCAAACCCTCTGAAGAGGCAAAGGCAAACCTAAAAGGCATACATGCTTTGTCATTGACTTTCTCTGACAGCTGCTTCTTATCATGTTTTTGAGGGTGACCTTCGTCCAGCATATTCCTTAGCTGTAAGTTGCACTCTCCTTTTATAATCGAATTTAGAGCCAAGCATGGACCAGGCTACCTTTGATAATTAATGGCTCTGTGAGTTTGCTGAGTGTGTTATTTAATTAATGGCGCTTGTGTTTGGAGTGTGTACAACTCTGTAGCTGAATAAAAGGCTTATTTGCTGAATTATTACAGACATATACCCAAGGATTGTCACACTGAGAATTTGTCGGGGTTCGACACATTTAACAGCCTAATGGGGTTATTTTTTTTCTTTTCCACCATTTAAAGGTACTGAATGGGTATAACTCTGTTCTTTTGCCTTTTATATAAGCTCATACTACCATCTGAGAAAATCTGTAGGCTAATGGATAAAAGTCTATTACCTGGAGCAGGACCTTTGAGAAAAACAAAAAGATGAAACCTTTAATACTATATTTTGAGTATGAAATTGATGTTCAAATAAGTTATAGTCTACTTCAGTTCCTCATAAATAGGTTAACTTGAATTATGTTCAAGTTCTACTTGGGATCAAAAGATCACGGGTTGAAACCTGGCAAGAAAACACGGTTGAAAGCTAGTAAGAACACAGAGTATCTCACGTGACCTTGCTTTTCCTGAGACTCCAGTCCCAGAATAAAATGCGTATTGCGGCAAGACAGATATGCACATATACAAATGCCTTCTAAATATCCTGTATGGAAGCATCAACAGGTGAATCTCTATGGACTCATCTCTATGTGTTCAGTAAGAGACTGAAAATATAAAAGGTCTGGTTTTAAGCTGTGTCGTTTCTAGGCTTTGTCATTCTGTGTGTCTGGGCAAGTTTTATACCCTCTCTGGGCTATAGTTTGTTTCTTTGCAAAGCAATAGGTTGAACCATGTGCTCTTTAAACTCCTTTCCAACCCAAAGAGACTCAAAGTCTCTAATTTTTCCAAAGAGGGATACAAAGTCCACTATCCCAGTGATAGAAGAGTTAGTTGATTGCTTACTTTGGCGACCTGAGGTTCATTTTTTCCCAGAAGGGACCTTTGAGTATGGGAAAAGCCATATCCATATGCCCTGCAAGAGGGCTAGGAGGCTAGTCCATTCTCTAAAGCCCAGCCGTATGGTCCAGGAGACAAGAACTACAGCCAGGGACCTGCTTTCTTCCATCCCACTGGAGACCCCCACTGACGGAAAACACTGGTTAAAGCATAGAAGGAAAAAAAAGCACTATTGTAGACTGGGTACTTAAGGAAGGCCTTTCTGAGCAGGTGACATTTCAGTCAAATCCTGAATGGAAGAAGGAAAGAAGGGAGGACGCTCCAGGCATCAGGGGACTAGAAGTGCAAGGGCCCTGAGATGGGCCTAGTTTGACATTCTTCAGTAACATCAAGGTAGCGGGAAGGCTGGAACTGAGAGCCTGAAGGGTTGCCATAGGAGATGAGACTGGGCTTGATTCTAAGTCCTTTACTGTGCTGTGCAAGGCCTCATGTAATCAGGCCCTGGCTGACTCTCCAAAGTGTAGAAGAGAAGCATGATCTGGCTTCCATTCAAAAGGATTGTGATTTTAACCCATTTTCTATTTTAATGTGTTCATTCTCTTGTATGACCTTGGGTGAGTTTGAGGGTATAGATACATATTTTAAGAGTCACAGTCAACAGCTGATGTATAATATTCTATATAAGTTATATTTTTAACTGCAATATCATAAAGTCTTGCCCAGAACCAAGAGTTACTAGGTTTTGCTGAAAATGTTTTTCTTTTACATTGTTGTACTACTTTTACTTTCCATTGAGTCTTTTTCTTCAAAACGATTAAAGAAATTAAAACTAACCACATACAAGATCTCCCACTTTAAAATTTAAAAAGTGCCCTGATAGATAGATTTTTTGAGAGGAGAGTAATAGAACAAAACTTTGATAGGGGTATCCAAGAGAAATGCTGATTCACTACATTAGGTATATTTCTTTTTCCAAACTCATGACTCCAGAATCTGCAGGAACCACAAGAGATTGGATGAGAAGCTGGGGGCAGAGTTCTAACAGCAGCCCAAGCCTCCACAGTGCCAAGATGGGCCATCTGCCTGTGAGAAGGGAAAGCTTCCACTTCTCTTAGCAATGACTCTGGCTTATTTCTAATTTAGCAGAAAAAAAAAAATGATTCAAGCAATATCATGTGCTTCTATATCTTCAAAGCAATACCACACCATCAATTAGCAGCTCAGCGTACCAACAGTTCTAAACTTTTTGCGAGCTTCTTGGAAACAAGATGTGGAGCTTCAGCAGAAGAAAATTGGTAAGAACATCTAATTACATTAAAAGTCATTTTTGCCTGTCTTAAAGGAATGAAAATGATCTGCCGGTTTTTATAGACCTTCTTGACCCAAAGATATCTGCTGGCAGAAAGAGAATCCTCAATTGGGTTCTTTTAATGCTTTAATTATTACATGATCTATCATCTTACGCACTGACTTGTACACTTTGAAAAATCCTTTAAATACGGATTAAAATTGATTGGCTAATCCCAGACCTTAGGGTGGAGCTTGGAGGGCATGTAATTGTGTGTGTGGGCTCAGGGGGTTAGACAGGAATGACACAGAGTCAACTACTTCATAGTGGGATAAGGTGAGAAATCAATTTGGTCACAGGTACAGTTGACATTGTACTGCCAACTTGCACAGAACTCAGTCACACGCCCACTTGTTCTTGAATCAGTATGATTGCTTCAACTTCACCATCGGCTCCTACAAGGCAGGGATGAACTTCACCTAGTGTGCCTACAGTGTTTGGCATCTCCTGCCTTAAACTTCTCCAAATGATGAGCAAGATGACTTATAGGAACTTCAAATCTACCTCACCCCAGTCAAGGGCTTCTCTCTATGTTCATAGACTAAATGGTAGGGAAGAATTCTGATTGGATGAGCTGGAGTCACATGCCCAGAACTGTAGGTTTTGGATGGGATTGACAGCTCCAAATTCAAATGTCTACTACACTCCATCCTGTACTCTGCTTGGATCTCTCGACAATTTTTCAAATGTTTTGGAATCTAAGAGCTAACTGCAAACTCTTGGTGGAAAGCCCTATCTCTAGAGCATGTGCTCACTGAAAGGTCTTGCATGAAGCCCTTGAGAGTCCTCACTGATCCCAAGAGTGCAGTATCTAATGCGTTACAGTCCAAGGTTGATTAGCCGTGATTCACTCCTGCTCATGGAATGCAGTTTCAGCTTTCAGACACATACTCAGTCTGTAACTGTTGCTGCATAAGGAAACAAGGGATAGCTCTGTTTCCTAAAGGGTTAGGAATAAGGACTAGGCACTACCCAGCTCTCATAACCACTTCTAGCAGGTGGTTGTGACAGCTGGATAAAGTGATCCAAAGCACAAGAATCATCAAATGCTGGCTCTTTTCCTGAAGTTAGTGCAGAAGCTAGAGTAAGGTATACCTTGCACCCCAGCTGCAATGGACAATTCTTGCCTTTGGTTAGCTAGAGCTTATGTGAGGGATGATGTTTCTAAACAGAGAGCCACCATTTTTAGTGAAAAGGTAAGTGTGGGCTCCAGAGGCAGACTGCCTGGACTTGAACCCTGACTCACAAAGTATAACCTGAGAGACCTTGGGGCAGGCAAGTCACACAGCTGCTGTAAGCCTCAATTTTCACATCTGAAAACCAGGGCAATACTGGAGGGTTGTTGTGGGGTTTAATTGAGTAAAGTCTGTAAAGTGCTTGGTATAACTTGCCCATGGTAAGCTCGTCAAAAGTGGTTTTATTAAGAATTATTAATAATATAGCCTCTTCTCTGTGGTGATCTCCATTGCTCACTTCCTGAAATAACGATTTGTTTGGCCAGAGTGGCCTCTTCAAGTCAGGGAGGATGGTCAGGAAGAGGAGTGCCACCTCCCTGATGTACTGGTAGTGTGTCTGTAAAGATTATACACAGCAATTACTCTTTTTTTGTTTAAGCCTGTTATGAAATACTTGAATATTCAGCCAGCAACAACATGTCAATCTCTTTCTTTTCTTCCTTTTTTTTTTTTTTTTTTTGCCTAACTGAAAAATTTTCATTTATCTGATGTGCTAGTCCTTTTGATGGTGAAATATAACACACATACAGAAACATGCAGGAAATATGTACATGGCTTACAGAATTAATATAAAGCCAACACATGTCTTGCCAACACCCATGGCGAGGAACAGAACATCGCCAACCCTTCCACTTTCCCACCCCACTCACTCCACGTTCCCTTTCCAAATCACGGTTCCCTTCTTTCTTCCCCCGCAAAGGTAACCACGGGCCTGACTTTCATGGTGAGTGCTTCCTTGCTTTCCTTATAATTTTACCTTCTAAATGAATGTATCTCTAAGCACTGTAATTGAATTTTGCCTGTTTTTGAACTTTATGTAAATGAAATCACACAGTATGTGTTCTTTTGGGTGTTTCTATTGTTCCATATTCTTGCAAACACTTGATATTGTCAGTCCTTTTACATTGTGACTATTCTCGTGGGTGTGTAGTGGTACTTTACTGTGTTTTAAGCTTATATTTATTTCCCTGATGACTAAAGATTATTGGCCATTTCAATATCCATTTTTTTGTGAAGTGCCTGTTCAAGTCATTGTGTATTTTCTATCGGGCTGCTGACTTCTTATTAAATATAATGTGTTTTTCTTTGCTTCCTTTTTCATTTTATATTGTCTTCTGGACACTAGTCCTTTGTTGATTATATATGTGGCAAGTACTTTCCCCTCCACCGCAGCTTGTCTCCTCTCTCTCTCAATGGTGTATTTTGACAAACAGAAGTTCTTAATTTGAATGTAGTCCAATATATCAATCTTTTTTTTCAGTAGTGCCTTTTGTGTCCTGTTGCAAAAGTCTTTCCCTATAGCAAGATTATGAAGATATCCTCTTATAATATCTTCAAAGCCTTTAAAATTTTACACTTCATGCTTTGAACTACAATCTACCTGGAACTCTCTTTTGCATGTGGTGTGAGGTAGGGTTTCTTTTCATTAGTTTTCTACATGGGTATCCAATTTTCCAAGAACTATCTATTGAAAAAAATCTTCCTTTTCTCATGGCTCTGTAGTGTCATTTTTATCATAAATCAAGTGTTCATATATGCCTGGATTTGCTTCTATGTCCTCTGTTTTGTTCTATCAGTCTATTTATCTTTGTACCAATACCATGCTCTCTTAACTCTTATAGCCTTGTAATAAGTCTTGATATCCTGTAGAGTGAGCCCCTCCAATCCTTCTAATCTTGTTTTTTCTAAGTCTCTGGCTACATTTCCATACGCATTTTAGAATCAACTTGTCGATTTTTACCAAAACCTATGGGAATTTGGAACTGAGTTGCTGTGGGTTTATAGTCAACTTGAGGAAAATTCAATCTTTATATTAATAAAATTGAGTCATTTACTTCTCCATTTATTTAATTTCTCTTTAATGACTTAATATTTTACATTTTTTGTCTATAAGCTTACATACCTGTAATTATTCCTAGGTATCTGATTTTTGATGTTAAAAGCAAACTTTAAAACTTTTCATTTTCTAACCATTGTAGCTGATACAGAGAAATTTAAAACATATATACACACACACACACACACACACACACACACACACACACACACCCCTTAGATTCAGAGGCCTTGCTAAGTTTACTGATTAATTCTACTTGTTTCTCTATAGATTCTTTTGGGTTTTCTGCATATATCATATTGTCTACAAATAATGACAGTTTTATTCCTTTATTTCTAATCCTTCTACACCTTTTGTTTATTGTTCTCACCTTTCTACACTAGCTAGGACTTCAAGGACATTGTGAAATAGAAGCGTTAATAGTGAATATCTTATCTCATTTACAATCTCAGATGCATAGTGTTCATTTCATTCCTGAGTATAAAGTCCCTTCCACTTGTAGCTTTCCTAGACCTTTTGAATTTAAGTTAGATGTGTAATTTGATCAATAATTTTATTTGCATCTACTAAGACGATCCTATCATTTTCTCCTTTATTAACCCAGGGAAAGACATCATTTGAAAGTCTAATGTGAAAACAAAGTTGTATTAGTCATGATGTCTTATCCTTTTCCCAAATCGTATATGTGCGTGCATGTACAATCTGTCTGTCATCTGTCTGATATCTCTTAGAATTTTGACATTTGTGTTTCCAAGTGCAATTAGTCTATAGATTTCCATTCTGTAATGTTCTTGCAATGTTCATTTGTAACATAAATCATACAACAAACTGGACAATTAAAGAGTTTCTTTTCCCCCCCCTTCTCTTTGGCAGAATTTGAATGAGATTCTTATTTGTTTCTCAAGTACGTGGTAGAATTCACCAGTAAAGCTATCTGGGCCTGAAAATTTCTTTGTGGGAAGGATTTTATTTCAGACTCAGTTTTCTTTAATTAGAATCCAATTTTATTCATATTTTCTTTTTCACCTTGTGTCAGTTTGTGCTAGTTGTATTTTTGAGAAGCTTGTCTATTTAATTCAAATTTTCAAATGTATTGCTCTAACATTCCTTTTTAATGACTATAGTATCTATACAGAAGTTTGCCTTTTTCTTTTTAACATGGGTTTTTGTTTCTTCACTCTTTTCAAAGACCCTACATTTGGCTTCATTGATCCTTTCAATTGCATTTGTGTTTTCTATTTTATTACATTATGATTTATTGTTATTTCCTCCCTCTTAATTTTGTGGTTCTCTTTTTAACTTCTCCAGAAAGATGTTTAGCACATTAACTTACTTTTTTTATTTTTTTAATTTTAATTCTTAATTTTTGTGGGTTCATAGTAGGTGAATATATTTATGGGATGCATGAGATGTTTTGATGCAGGCACGCAATGTGAAATAAGCACATCATAGAGAATGGGGTAGCACAGTAACTGTTGACTTTTCTTGAATAAGGGCATTCAAGTCATAATTAAAACTAAATTACCCTCTAAACACACCTTTAGTTGCATCCCCAAGTATGAGTTTTCTTCAGTCAGTTCAAAATAGTTTCCAACTTCCACTTGATTTCTTCTTTAGTGCAGTGGTACAATCTTGGCTCACTGTAGCCTCGACCTCCCAGGCTCAAGCCATCCTCCCGCTTCAGCCCCACAAGTCGCTGGGACTACAGGTGCATACCACCATGGCTGGATAATTTTTGTATTTTTAATAGAGACAGGATTTTGCCATGTTGCCCAGGCTGGTCTTGAACTCCTGAGCTCAGGCAATCCACCTGCCTCAGCCTCCCAAAGTGCTGGGATTACAGGTGTCAGCCATCACACCTGGCCCTTAGAATTCTTTTAGTGTAAGTCTATTGGTGACAGATTCTCAGCTTTCATCAGAAAATGCATGTATCTTACCTTCATTCATGAAGTCATTCATTCATTCATATTAACTGGGTATGGAAATCTAACTCAGTAGTTCTTTTGGCTCTCAGACATATCCTGTGGTCTTCTGATTTTCATTTTTTTGTAGTTGTTGTTTTTGGTCTAATTATGACTTCTTTGAAAAGCCAGTGATTTTTTTCCTTCTTAAGTCTGAGTTTCTCTTTGTTTTTGCTTTTCTGCAATTTTATTGTAATGTGTCTAAGCATGGAATCTTCACTGATGCTTTGATTTTGCTGTGTTTCGGATTTTTGGATTGGTAGCTTTTCCTGGTTCTGAAAAATTGTCAGCCATCGTCTCTTTAAATCTAGATTCCACTGAAACTCTGTTTTCTCTCCCCATGGAAATATGAATAAATATCTTTCAACTTTCTCCCTGTATTTTGTCTTCTGTCCTCTTTTCTACTTTTTCCTCTACTCTACCTCTTCATGTTTCAGTCTGGTATTTTCATATGGCTCATCTTTGAATTCACTAATTCTCTTTCTGGCTGTGAATAATGTGTTGCTAAATTCATTCGAGTTCTAGAATTTTTATTTGGTTATTTTTCTCATGATCTGTGTCTTTTCTTTGTAATAAATTCTAGCTCTCTGCTAAACTTAAAAAACAATCTTGTCTTTTCTCTCCATAAATAAACATAGTTAATTTAACATCTATGTCTGATAATTCCAATTTCCAGGTAACCTGTGGTTCTGATCTTGTTTGTATCAATTTCCGTCTTAAGCAGCTTGAGCTGCTATGACAAAATATCATAGACTGGGTAGCTTAAACAATAGAAACTTATTTCTCATAGTCCTGGAAGCTGGGAACTCCAACATCAAGGTGCCAGCAAGGTCGGTTCATTCTGAGGCCTCTCCTCTTGGCTTGTGGATGGGCCACCATCTTGCTGTGTGCTCACGTGACCCCTTCTTTGAATATGCATAAAGATAGAAATCTGATGTCTTTTCTTATCATTGCACCTACTCCACCCTGAGGGCCCCACCCTTGCGACCTTATCTAAATCTACTTACCTCCTGAAAGCCTACCTCCTAATACCATCACATGGGGGTTAGGGCTTAAATGAATTGTGGAAGGACACAACATTCAGTCCACAACAACTTGTCTCATCACAGGCCTTCTGTGTTTGTGTGTGTGGGGAGGGCACTGTGGCATTGGGGGGGACAAACATTCACACATATACTGAGCATTCTGTTTGGAAACAAATGTGAGAAATAATTTCAGGTCTTGGTTGGTATTACTTTCTTCCAGAGAGGATTTTCTGGCTTCTGCCAGGAGTTTAATGGACTAGCAATTTGAGATCACCTTAATTCAATTTCCAGTCATGAGTTTCTCACCTGCCCAGATGATTTGAAGTTGGGCTGTAGTTGGTGTAAGGGCTCACTCTTATTCCAAGGGTATAACTCTCCCAGATCTTTGAATTCCCACCCAGAGGTGGAGGTTTAGCAAGGAATCTACCATTGGAAAACTGACTATTGCTTTATCTCCACTTGCCTCTCTGAGGCTCACAAATGCCCTTAATGGAAAAGCAACCTCAAACATGGGGCTCACTTCTATGGATTTCTGTCTTCCTTGGCTCTTGGTCCTATAATCTTTTGCTACCTTCCTACTTCTAACAGATTTTTAGAAAGTTCTGTGTAGTCTTTCTAGTTGAACACAGTGGGAGGATTGAGTCAAATTATTTGGCCTTTAGTAACAAAAGCAGAAGACACACTTTTTTTTTTTTTTTTTTTTTTTTTTTTTAGTGGTCTGAAAACCTCCTGCCCTACAGATTTAATTCTTTAGTTACTGCTTGAACTAATTTCTCATTACCTGAATATCCCTATAATTTATCATCTTCAAAATATACTAGAAATCAGAAAAAAATAATGTATTTATACTATTGACATACTGGTTTCCCATTCCATTATTTTGTGTTTTCCTTATAATAACCCTGGGATATAAGTAAAATGCTTTCTCTATCATTATAATTCAGAGATTAGGAAATTGAGCACAAAAGAGCGACACGTCCAGGTTCAGAGAGTAAGTGTAGTGGCAAACGTTGGTGGGGTTCCACTTTAAATTATTTAAAGATATTTGCACTGAGAGTAGAAACCAAACTGACAAGACAATTCAGATGCCATTCTTAGGAGACTGCAGAGTGTCTTTTTATACTTTCAGTCGGTGGTGTATATGCCTGGTGCTTAGGACAGGGGATTGGAAAACAGGTTTCTTGTTGGGAGAGAGAGAGGCGCTGGGACATAATTTTCACCAAACTGTAATGTTCATTTTATCAGTCTTTTGTTTTTAAAGCACATTTTAAAAAGTTCTGTGTAAAACACAAGACAAACATTTGCTCTGGAGGACACATTACCTGCCACTTGACTTTTTCTTTTGATTCGGTATCATTTACATGAAGCTCTAGTACAGGGGGTAACCCCATGATAGGGTTGTAAAATCCAGTGCAGTGAGGGCTGGGGAGATAAAAGAGGAGGTGGCAGACATTCGTCCCCTGAAGGAGTTGGGTATAAGACAGGAAAAGTTTATTCCCAGGATGGCTTCCTTAGCACTCTCTTCCCCTGTCTTTGTATGGTTCCTGACCTCTCCAAAAATCATGTTCTGCCTCAATTATCTGTGTAGGCGAAAAGAAGGAAAAACAGGTTTCTGGAGGAAGAAGAAGTGGCACACACATACATTTAGTCTGGGGTGTAATTTTACCCCACTTACACCACTGGGACAAGTGGTGACATTTTAATTAACAAGATGTTCCCTACTTAGCTCTATCCTCTCTTTTCCTCATTGTTGGGAGGACTTTAGTTTAATACATAAGACACTCACAGTCTCAATTGCCCACCACTCATGATGAATTTGAGGTGGTAGAGTACACTGAACTGCTTCTTAGATAATCAGAGAAGTATTAAAGCCAGAAGGAGCACAATCTAGAGCTGACTTTGCTAGTGTACCCTGTATTGATGATCCCGGTTAAGTATGTACATAATACTTGATTGATGCCCCAGCGTGTCAAAATAATGGAGCATTTATTATGTAAGAAGTGGCTGAGGGACATTTTAGGCACAGGACCAAATGAATTGCATAAATATTAGCTATTATGAAGCAGTGGGGTCAAAGGTTATAAATGTGAATTTTCATAGCCTTTCTTCATATTAACCTTCCACACTGTCTAGAAGAGTCTTCATTCTCACCCTCCTTTCAGGCAGAGACAGACAAAAAGGCAACACTGAAAGGAGCACACTATGGAGAGTGGAGAGAAGCAAGTACAAAAAGAAAAGAAATGTCTTAGGAGAAGAAAGATTTAGAAAGTTTTTGCTATATAAGAGTATGCAGATTAATATGCAGTTATCCATTGCTGGAGATGAGGATAAAAATGATGAGGGTGACAATGACAAGCTTTATTTTATTGTATTACAATTTGATGGTATTACCATTTTGCAAGATGTAAGTAAGTAAAGCCTGAAACTCTTAAAAAATTATCTTTGGCTATTTAGATTATACTTTTCTGAAAAGGACTCTGTGGTAATGAATCATGTGGTTTCAAGATTCACATGCGTTAAAATTACTTCAGGACACTAGTCATTTTTCAATTACCAGTAGAAGTAAATCTCAAAGGAAGAGTTCTGCAGATTCTTGAGCCATCAATGGCCTGTAGGAAATCTTTTGAACAACTGGGTACATGTTGGAGAAAGTAGGGTCTTGTTAAAACATTTTAAAAATAACTAAACTAAGCCAAAAATCCATTTTGGATCCATGGGGTAGACTGTCTCATAGAATGTTTCTAAAAGGAGGTTTTTAAAGTGTTGTTGGATGGTCCCTCTTTTGAGTTGCTGGAACATAAATCATTTGAGACATTTGATTTGATGGTTTATAAAGTTTCCATGACTCTGTGGTTTATTATTCCCAATTTAGGCACAGGGAGTTGGTTTATATTTATCTAATCCAGGTAATAGAGTATTTAATTTCCTGTCACTAAAACCAGATTCTAGAAATGTAATCATCTAAATAGAATGAGAGGAGAGGCAGCCAGATCCAACAGAAATTGGACTGGAGAAGAAGGGGAAAAAAAAACAACTGAAATCTCCCTTCTGGCTTCTTTTAAAACAATGGGTCCTTTGTCAGGCAAAGAGCTTTTTGAACACACTAAGATATCTTTAGCCTTAAAAGAAGTATCTTCTCTTGTACCTGTAGCCTAAAGAAAATCTATTTTCATAACAATCTGGGAACGGCTGAAAGAGTTTCATAATTGTTCTGAAACTTGGGGATGGCTGAAACATTTACATTGGTACTGAGCTCCTCACATGGGGTTTATCTAGTGGGTTTAAGATTAAATTGGTGATGAAGCTGAATTTAAAATCCACCTTTCCCCCAAGAAAATATGAGAGTACTATGATCAGCTTCCTGGGCCTTTCTCATTAGAGGCTTCTGTGCTGACAGTGGAACATCTCTGAGGTGGTTGAGATTTGGGGTAGATTTCAAAAGGTACAATTTACAGACCAGAACATGTGCTAAATAGGCAAACCTGTCCTTTCTCAATCACCTTGACTATCCACAATTATGATATAAGGGTGATCCAGTGGCAGAAATTATGGTGATTTTTCAAAAACGCCAGTGTTGAAATTTTGCCTTGACAGTACATCTATAACTACTAATAATGCTGTATTGGGCTGACTCAGTTGCTTTGAAATTGCATGGTCCCATTATGAGTAAATGAGAGGCAACCAATTATCTATAAAATAACGACGTGCACAGAGAAGAGCTTGATGAATTACAAGTGAGCTCTGCTGACACAACAGGGTGTGGAAACCTGCCCTGCTCTGACTTTCCATCAGAATTAGGGGTGATGCTTGCATATTTTAACAACATATCCCCCTCAATTCTAATGTGGAATGGGAGAGGGGAGGATGGGGAGATGGCAAAATCTTCCCCCCTAGTCACTAGGACACATGCCATTGCTTTAAAATTAAGTAGAAAAACTGCTTGGGTGTATAGTGGCAGCAAATCCAAGTATCAATACCTGCATAAAGAATTACCATCCTCCAGGAAGAAGGCAACATTAGATAAGAAATGCAGGTCTCCTGTCATCTAATGTGATTTAGAACATAGACTAAAAGAGCCATTGCAAATCCCTTGTCCCGGAACTCAGTCCAGTGTGTAGGGAGCAAATGCATAAATTCACCTATGCAGAGAGCAGACGCTGAATTCCTGGAACGAAAGGATTGCCAGCCTCATCAAGGATCTGTCACATGGTGAGTGAGACAACTGCAGCTTCATTCAGCAACCCTTGGGCTGTTGAGCTCCTTGTGCATGGTGAAGGCAATAACCCTTTCTCACTACTGCTCAAGAAACTGCAATTCAAAGTCATTTTCTGGTAGGCAAAGGATACAGAGAGAAGCTAAAACACCAAAATGCAGGTGCATATAACCCTGGAGGGTTATATGGGAAGATAAAGAGAGTTCTTTTACACAATTAATCTGATGTTGGTGTCTTGATGGCTTCAAGAGGCTGAGGAGTCAGTACATAGTTTCAGAATGTTTACCTTTGTTGTCCTAATGGTACTCTTGCTATGCTGAGGATTAATTCTTTATATGTAAGGAAGATATAGAAATAATACTTACCAAGGAGTTGCTAGGTGTATTAGTTTGTTCTCATGCTGCTAATAACCACACACTCAAGACTGGGTAATTTATAAAGGAATGAGGTTTAATGGACTCGCAATCATGGAGGAAGGCAAAAGAGGAGCAAAGCCACATCTTACATGGCAGCAGGCAAGACAGCGTATTCAGGGGAAATGTCCTTTATAAAACCATCACTATCAATCATGAGAACAGCATGGGAAAGACCCTCCCCCTTGATTCAGTTACCTCCCACTGGGTCCCTCCCATGACATGTGGGGATTATGGGAGCTACAATTCAAGATGAGATGTGGGTGGGGAAACAGCCAAATCGTATAACTAGGTATGTCCACCCCAAACATTAAGTCAAGAACATCTTTTTGGTCTTATAGTCTTTATTCTTATATAGGGCATCTCTGGATATAGGTGTTCACATTCTTCTTTGCAACCTGTTGGTTTTCAAGACAGACTGTCGGCAAGCAAAATGTCAGAGGCAAGCACTGAGATTTGACCCATCAGCCCTAGGGAAGCTGACTCTTTGGTTTTCCCCCATGCACCTTGTCTTCTTGATATGCCTGCAGGGGTTGGGGGGAGGTGGGTGGGTGGAAAGGAGTACTGGTTTAGGGTTGAAGCAAGTCTAAAGCCAGCTTGCTCTGGGTTTAAGATCTGGCCTCCACTGCTGTTTCTCCAAAGTTGGGAGTCAGTCATATTCCTGTTTAAGATAATCTTAAGTGATCTACATTGAATCTCTCAGTAGGTTATTCTCTTTAATCCTTCTGAATATGCCAAATGGAGAGTTTCGGTTTGGTGCTAGAATTAAATGCCCCTCTAATGGTGGCTAGCCTCACTTTTTAACACAGAGACTGAATCTCACTCCTAGTTGCTAAGGCAAGCAACTATGCAGAGCTGGAAATCATCAGCATTGTTTTTCTCTTATGTTTATTTTTATGCTTAACTTCTAATTACAGGTAGTACTTGTTTTTCTTTGAGGCTGAAATATAAAGTTTAAGATATATATACTAAAATTCAAAAAGTGAATCAAGTAAATAATGCTCTAGGTGGTCCACAAAGATAAGAAAAATCATGACAAAATGGGAATGAATGCAATTTGGGGAACACTGTATTCGCCCAAGTGATGTTTATTTAGGCATGTGGTCAGATGGTAAAGAAAAGAAAGTGGGAGGGTAGCCTAGGCAGGATTCAGCATGATCTGAGAATCTTGCAAGTAGAACCAAGTTGGTTGGGGAAATCCAGGCCCATTTTGGTTTCTGCTACCTGGCTGTAGTGTGACCAGGGAGGCAGGTGCTGGGCAGGGTTGTATTAACAAGGCAGGTAAGGAAGAAGTCCAGCAGGCGAGGAGGTGGGAGGTCCTCAAGGCAGAAATAGGCCAGTAGATAAGGTGAAGAGGCTAAGAAGACTATTTGGAGGGTACAAGGGGAGATGGGACAGGGAGAAGGAAGTGGCTAGAGAGGTGAGCTCTTTTAGCAAGGAGGGCAGTACACAGACTAAGAGAATGGCCTTTAGGGTGGGACTGCCTGGATTCAAATCTGAGCTTTGCCACTTACCGTTGGCCTTGAACTAATAATACTTAACATCCTTAAGCCTTAGTTTTCTCATCACTTGCAAGACAGGATAATAACAGGGTCTACATCTTATAAATTCTTAGCAAGTGTGTTGGCTAGTGTTATCAATTCCAGGGCTGAGCCCTATCATGTCTGCCTCTGTGCATGTTGAGAATTGTGCAGTTTTGCAGAGTGAGCACCATGAATGTCTTTAAACTTGCTCTGCCTAAGACTAGCTTGCTGCTGAGGGAATAATCACGAAAGCTGGAGAAGGCCAAGTCTATCTGACCTTCAGATTAACAATTTTTAAAGTCTAGCTATGTCCAAATATTTCATAATTGCCCTATTTACTAACACATTTCAGGGGTTTCATGAACCACTTAATGTATAAAAATTCAATATGTAGACATTTTTTTTGAAAAGGGAAGAAATAAGCAGGTGGACCAATCCAACGATTGAATTTCCTTTAAAAAAGTAACTGTAACTGTAATAGGTTTGTTGCCTAATTCATGGCAAGTCAATACACCGAGACACAGGGTTGCAGCAGAGAAGGAAGTTTAATCATAAGGCTGCCGAATAAGGAGACAGGGGGAAACCTCAAATCTGCCTGTCTGAGCCGTTTAGGTCTAGGTATTTTAAGGGAGTTGGAGTGACCGAGGTGGGGGATCACTGGTTGAAGAATACAGGATGGTGAGATGAAGAAACTGCATTTTCATGCTGATTCAGTTCCTCTTGGGGAGAGGCGGGGGGCGGTCTTCAAACTGGTTGGCAATAGCTCTTTTGCTGGAATTCAGGATCTGAAAAACATCTTAAGCCATTTTTAAACAAACAAAGGCCTTATGATTCTAACATCAGAAATCTTCTCTGTAGGAACAATGAGGAGGCAAATGGTTAGCATCTGGTGCTCTGGGACTTTTGGTTACGAAGAAGTGGGCCAAAGTGCAGCCTGATTAATGCTTAATTACAACTATATTTCTGTCCAGAACCCAGCATCTAATTCTTGTTAACCCTGTGAGGATGGTTTCAATAGAATGTTTCCATTGTCCTTAAAGGGAGGTATAGTTAGTCCCATTATACTCCAGGTAATGATGACAGTCTTGGCAAAATCTTAGGACCCTAAGTTGTTTGCCACCTCACAACCTATATTATCCGTCCTAGTCTTAGTTACCACATCTGACTGCTGGGAAGACTGAGGGTGATTTGTTTGGTCTGTGCACAAAACCTTTAAAGAGAAATACACATGTTAGTTAACTTAAAAATCCACAGGTACTGTGGCAATAGTTTGTGTAACAAGTTAGGGTAAATATCTTTCTGGTAAGATGTACAAGGGAAGTCAATTTACCTGGAAGACAGGAGGTGTCAGGCCTCCAGGCAAGACAGAAGCAAAAACTGACAAAACAAAGCCTACAGGAAATTTGGGTAATAAGTTTGAATCTTCTTAAAGTTCTTAAAGTGTCTAGAAAAAGCATTCTAAGACAAAACTCCTACAATTCAGCAAGCCTTGGGAAAAAGGCTAAAGCTTTCTAGCCTCTACCTGAAAATACCCACTGCATAGAAAACCCAGGAGAAAAAATTCAACCTAGGCAGTCAAGTCTGAGGTATTGTCACCCCATTTAAATTTGAACAGGGCACTCTAAAATGACATACTGGCCTTCATAAGAGGAACAGAAAGAGGTTTGTAGTCATGCCCATAGGCCTATGTTCTTAGGTAAACTAAACTAGCTTGATCCTTAAAAAACGAGAGAGAGATGGTGAACAGTGGAAAAGGTTCAAAATAAAATATGAAAGACAGCCTCTGTTATAGCACTTGCCATATCCCCCCAGGCAACTGAGTGCAGAGCTGACAAACTTATGACATGGGAGAATGAAATAAGCTTTCTAGAATGCAAGGATCTGAGTACAACACCATATTTGAACAACAATAGGGGGCAAGGTAGTCTGGGTCTTTAACTATTTAGAATACTCTAAAAAGAGGGCTGGGGAGAGAAAGGCCAAGTGCACATATATTTAAAGCTATCCAGTAAAGACTTACTTACATTTCAAGGTGAAATCAGAATACAATGAATGTGTTTTCTAGCTAAAAATCATGATCACTAAGTGGTTGATACAATTTTTTCCAATCAATTGCTAACAGCATTTATTCACTAATTTTGTTTTTTATTTGTGTCTGATCTACTTCTGCAACTTATAACATGAACATATTTATTCACAGGTCAGATGAAGAATTGCCTAATTTTAATTTGGAATTATCTAATTCTAAAAACAAAAAAGAAACTATTTATAGGAGAGGATCTGTAACTGGGGTCCATGGGAGTTTATTAACAGGTTTGCCAGAAAAAAATACAAGATACCAGTTAAATTTGAATTTCAGATAAACAAGTAATTTTTTTAGTCTAGATATATGCCAGTATTGCATGGTAACCCTATATTTATAAACAAATTTCAGAGAGATAGATACATTTCTCTCTCTCTCTCTCCTGTTTTTTTGAAACTGAGTCTTGCTCTGTCACCCAGGCTGGAATGCAGTGGCATGATCTCAGCTCACTGCAACCTCTGCCTCCCAGGTTCAAGCAGTTCTCCTGCCTCAGCTTCCCAAGTAGTTGGGATTATAGGCATGAGCCACTGTACCTGGCCTTCTTTAACACTTTTTGTTTACAGGCCAAACATCACCCTCAGTCATTCCAGCAGTCTACTATGTGAACTGAGACTAGGAGGGATAATATAGATTGCCAGATAGATCTAGGCATGAGCTCGTTAGACACTGCATAAAAATTTGGAGTAGAAGCATTTTGACAAGGAAATTGGCTATAGCTATCTTTCTACCAGAGTCTTAAACCTATGATCTCTCAACAGTTAGTCATCATTAAGACAAAGATTAATTCTATCAAGCCTTGACTTTTCCCTGTGGCCTGAGCTTCCTAGGAGCCGAACATAAAGGGAAACATGAAGGGCAATTTACCAAATAGCAACTGAAGAGAAGAGTCCACTCAGTGAAAGCAGAGGAGTTTGCCCGGGGGCGTGTTAGGGAGGCAGAGAAAGCTGGTTTACAGGGCTTTGCAGACAGACTTGAGCCTAAGGGCCATGTCACACCTTTAAGTTAAGTTGGGGTTGACCTTTTAAACAAGAAGTTGTGCATGACAGAAGGTCTGCTTTGTGAACATTGGATTCTGGAGGAGCACCACCGCAGGAAAGACTGGAGAAAGGTGGTGGTGGGCTGGGGGCACTGGCTTGGAAGAAGAGAGTGAAGAGGCAGGAGAGTTGGAAGAGACTGGGAGGCTGGGAATACAGTACTCAAGGGCCAGGGTTTTCTCCCCTCCAGCTCTTTGTCCTTTGCAGCCACCACCCAAGGATGCTGGTGAAGGTGTTTTTGTGCATCCCCATTCTGAGAGTGCAGCCTCTTTCCTGAGGCCCACGGGAGGGTCTGGGTAATGACGAAATGCAGTCTTTACCTGTGTCACTGAAAGTAGACCCGCAGAGCTGCGGCTTCTGCTGCCATTTCCTCCTCTGATCTCCAAGAGGCAGGAAAGTCCTCCTTGTCATGTTTCTGGAGCTTTGGAGAAAAAAAAAGGAAGAGGCTCTTTCATGGGCCCTTGGGATCTCCTTGAACAAATTTCGGGGGGCTGGGGGAGACTGAACAAAATTTGCAAATTAGAGGCCAGTAGGTGTATCTTTTAATTGTTTCAGTTGCTACAACTTGCAAATAGGCTTTATACAAGAATCCACATTTAAAATAATCAGATCATTTGCCATCTTGTAATCATCTACTGAGGCTGAGGGGGGTG
This sequence comes from Homo sapiens, assembly GCF_000001405.40. NCBI lineage: Eukaryota > Metazoa > Chordata > Mammalia > Primates > Hominidae > Homo > Homo sapiens. The sequence continues at coordinate 59,752,554 of NC_000003.12, forward strand.
ATGATATGATATAGGTCTGTGTCCTTGCCCATATCTCATGTCAAATTAGAATCCCCAGTGTCAGAGGTGGGGCCTGGTGGCAAGTGACTGGACCATCAAGGCAGAATTCCCCATTGGTGCTGTTCTCATGATAGTGAGTTATTGGGGGACCTTATTGTTTAAAAGTGTGTAGCACCTCCCTCCACTCTCTCTTCCTCCTGCTCCAGCCACAGAAGACGTGCCTGCTTTCCCTTCCGCCATGATTGAAAGGTTCCTGAGGCCTCCCCAACCATGCTTTCTGTACAGCCTGAGAAACCAGGAGCCAATTAAACTGCTGTTCCTTATAAATTACCCAGCCCCGGGTAGTTCCTTATAGCACTGTAAGAATGGACTAATACAGGTGATCACAGATTGGGATGAAGTGGGGGAATGGGGAGCATTTGCCATTCCCAGAATCTCCCCCACACTCTTCTAATTTTCTTATGTTTAACAGGCATCATTCATTTATTTTACTTCCTGGATTTTGAAGGCATTGAGTTTGCCACCAACCCATAATCCCCTCCTTCAAGGTGGCCTGTGGTTTACCTCCTACTCTCTTTGGTTTAGACTCTCTTGCATGAGCTCTGAGCAGTTTTGTTCAGTGAACCAAATTTATGATAATGACACAAGGGCCATGAGAACTGAGTAAGTAATAAGTATTTCCATTAAAAGAGGGTTCAAGCAGGGAAACAGTAAAAAAGAGATTAAATGAGAAAACAACTTACAAAAAATTAACAATTTGTCTCAAAATTAACACTTGAATCATTTAAATTCCTCCTCAGATTACAGGCATATTTAAAAAATTGTGTGTATGTCTCAGATTTACATATAGAGTGAATACAATTTCAATTCTATCAGAGAGGATGTTCTCAGAACTCTCTTCCTTAGAAATGCTCAATTTTCTCCCTTAACCTCCTATTATGATTCAATTTCATTAACTAAATTTATTGTTCCTGTGTGTGGCTCTATACATTGTAAAATGCCGCAGGTTATCCGTTCATTCTTCATGGGAATGCACAGTGTAGTATTTTGTGTTATGTGTTAAAAGTCATTTGGGATTGAGACAATTTAATAGCACCAATGATAGCTAGCATTTATGATGTGAAAGGCGCACATTATTTCTTTGATATACATTATTTCGTTTAATCCTTACAATAACTCATAAAACTGACGCTACTTAACCCCATGTTACTGTGGAGGAAACTGAGTTCTGAGGAAGTTCATACCCCGGTCCAAAGATCACCCAGCTAGGTAGTGGGGTAGGTGCCAGTATTATCCCCAACAACTTTTGCCTTTTTATTCATCCTGAGGGATCTACAGTGTCCCTAAAGAGCATCCCACAGATACTGTTCCACTCCATTTTGAAAAAGGTCAACTTAACGATTAAAATATCGACTTTTTAAAAGTTGATCCTTTAAAAATAATTTTGCCAACTCAGCAAAAAGTCTATCAACTAATAAATGACTTTTGCTATCTCAGGCCCCAAACTCTAAATCTAACCTAGAGGCCTCTACCCTGGCAGCTTGCAGCAGATGGAGAAATTTCCCCATTTATTGCAGCTCAACATTGATACAGAAGGCAAAACAGTGAGGGAACCATAGCCTCGCACTCCCGCTGAGCTGTATTTCCACTCCTGGTAAGTAAGTTTGAGCCTAAATGAGGCTCATTAGCATATAACCGGGCCACAGATACATTTATGAGGGTCATGGATCTTCCCTTCAGAATTTGGCTGCCAGCACGCTGATTTTACATTTTGCCATGTAGATTTAATTCTCCTTAGTGAAAGAAAACCACATTAAGAAGTCATTTCCTTTCTTGCAGAGGCAAACATGCTGCAGTTGCTACAGGCAAGGCAAACGGGATTGCTATTCTTCTACTCAAGAACTAATTTTCATTTTGATACTACCTTGACGTCTGTTATAAATCCATCTTATCTTATAACAATTCAATAGGATGACAAAGAGATATGCAAAGCCCAGGAAATATGGCCTTCCCACTTCTGCTACTGCCATTGGAAGACACAGAAATAAAGCATTAAGTGGCCTCAACAACACAGATCATACCAGAGGAATCCAAATAATTTAGAGCCTGTGAATGTTAATGCCTTCCTGGTTATTAGGCAACCGTCTGTTATTGTCATATGCCTTACAGATGGCAACATTGTGCCAATCCTTAGAAGAAGTTTTTGGGAAATAATAGGAAATAAATAAAACAAAAACTAATCATCTTTGCAAAAACTCTGTTGTACCTAGCTTTTAAAAGTTATGAGATTTCCCTCCTAAAAGCCCCAGATGGAAGCATGTGGTTCTGTTTAGAACAGCGGCACTCAACCCTGGTTGGTTGCCCACTGTAATCATCTAGGAAGCTTTAAAAAATAAAACCCACCCCAGGGATTCTGATTTAATTGGTCTGGGGCAGCCTGGGTTTGGGGATTTAAAACAAAACTTCTCAGCCAATTCTAAGGTGCACTTACTGTTGAGAATCACTGCTTTTTGGGAGAAGTGTGTAGATAGAGCCCACACACATATAGAAAGAATCCGCTTGCCTTTAAGCACATTGCTTGTGATCCTATCAACAGTACTACTGCTGTCCTTTGCAAACCTTGCCCTAGAACTGCTTTTCTTCTGTTTATGCTCTGTCCATGGGATGTCTGGCCTACAAGGCTTGTCTTAGCAACACTAACATGCGGATGCAGTTCAGCAGCCTTTGAATGTTTTTAATCTCTGCAGAAATAGGGAGCCTGGGAAAGGCCCTGGTGGGCAAGACTTGTGTCCTAGAAGATCCATCCAGGTGACTTGAAGACTAAAAATGCTACAGTTTGGAGTAAAGTTCCATTTCCCTAAAGCAACCCAAGAACCTGGTGGCTGCAACTTCTTGCCTGGCTAACGGAGAGAAAGCCCTAATGATCTTAAATAGTAGTTTATCCAAAAGGCAGTATTTGCCGTGGGTGAACTTTAATGGAGGAGTTTCACTTCTGATAAGCCTTCTAGATTACTTTGGCTGCCCACAGGGGAGGGCGGTGACTACTTGTTAACACACAAGACAGTTGCTCTGTCTCTGTAATGCCAGGGGCCAGACCTAGCACTGGAACACTGAACCAGACAGACTCCTTTATTGTTCTCCTGGGGCACCCAGGTAGGGAGGTTACACACCAAACGGCTGATTCTTAGTGAGATGGGATTACAAAATGGGAAGGCTGCTGGATAGAGCTAGCCTCATTGCAAAGGCTTTTGAGTATCACCTTGGTTTCACAAAGAAACGTTATGAAAAACAGTGATGGAGGGAAAGAGGTTATCTACGGATCATCCAAAAATGGCTCTCCAAGAAGGCGAGAGTTAGTTAGGTCTGAGCTTGAACAATGAGAAGAACAAAAGTTCCTTTAATCTCTTTGTGTCTCAGTTTTCCCCTTTGTAAAATGGGAGTAGGAAAAAGAGTGGTGAGCAGTGCCGTGCCTGACACATAGTTAAGTGGTATTTAATATTCCCTGCTGCTGCTACTACTGTCAGTCATTAGCATTATTTTTAGGCTAAATAACACTGACCTAATGACAGCGAGCACTAAAAATTCCACAGAGGTTGTTTCTAGGAGTAAAAGTATTTTTCATCTCCATGGTTCCCCAGTGATCTGTATCTTTTGGACCTAACTAACTACTTTGTAGAAGGATTAAAAGTTATGATCAGAATTCAGATCCAAAACAACTTATTATAATGAGACACTCAAATCTGGGGAGGAAATGTACCTCCTTCAGCTCTAAAGTGACCCTCACTAATCCCTAATCCTCAGAGCTGTCCTAAGGAGTGAGTAAGGTATTAATCGAGGCTTCTCATGGTAAAAGCTAAGGTCCTATGGTAAAAGAATGTGGTGGAGGTCAAAGGTAGTCAATACCCCAGGAGTATGGTTGCCAGATTTAGCAAACAAAAATACAAGACACTCAGTGACTTGTTTTAGGATAAGGATGTCTCATACAGTATTGAGACGACATCCTGATATGAAACAATGATTTGTTGTTTACCTGAAATACAAAGTTAACTGGGATTCTTGTATTTTATTTGACAACTCAACATAGCAGACCCCTTAAAAAGGTGTCACAGGAAGAACTTGGCTTGCATTTGGTAACTAGGTTGTTCCCAAAGTTGCCTGGCTGTGAATCCTGGAAAAAACAGAGGGGATCATGTGCAGGAAGATAAAATTCAAGGCCATCATTTTGTGCACTCCAGGGCTTATTATTATTGCATGGTCTTATTGCACGGAATGCAGTGTAAATCAACCTGCACTATTTTAATTCCTTAGTTCACCAGTTCTAAGGTGCACATTTTTTCATATTTTAACATCTTTGAAATCAAAACATGTCCTATAACCAAAAGTGTGTCATAGTTTAATTGGCAGTGTTTTTCTTTCTTAGTAGTACATAAAATAACAGCACTTCCAACTGACTGTGTCTGGGATTCAGTGCACTATATTTCTCCATCTCTCCTTTCTGCAGGTAAGTCACGTAAGTTAAATGTGACTCTGCTTGCTCTGAAAATGCTCAACACCAACGCTGATGTATTACATACTGGTTTCCTTCTGATGCAACAACAATAGTCAAAACGGTTTTCACAGAAGCTTTGTTCTTTAGAGGAAAGTGCACGCCAAAGTGACAACGTTTGCAAAAACTTGAACCAAAGTCTTTATTCACATTCAACAGACTGAAGTCTGTGATGGCCTCTCCAAGCAAATTCTATTTCTGCACAGCTTTGAAAAGAGATTTAAAACAAAAAATCTATCTTCAGTCATCCCACTTTATCTGCTAGAAATGGTTTTTGGGGAAGGTAGTGTTAACAGGATTTCTGACTGAAGAACTGATACGTGTCGATTTTGACACTGTGCTCCCTCCTGTGCACTGAGTGTGTTATCACAAGGTATATGGGGTAATGATGAATTCCCTGCTGTATTGCTCAAACCGCCTTTGCTATTGACATCTTTAGAGTTCTGTAATGGAATGCAGTAGGAGGAATGGTTCACAATAATTTAAATGTTTTTCAGAATTTGGAACGAACCTGGAGTAAAATGCCAAATTGTCTTCAAACGGGGGAAAACTACTTTAATGCTCTTCTTACAGAAGCAAACGGCTGAATATAAACTTGGATGTTTTTATAAAAACATATTTCATTATTATCACTTTTATAAAACAACATACAGAAGCAGAGAGCTTAAATAAACCATTTCTTATGGGTTGACGGTTCTGTTTACACAGGGGTTTATATAAAGTCTCAAAAGGAAAATAACTGTATTGTTTTTTTAGATCTGATCCTCTCTTATTACTTTCTATTCAACCAAGTTTTGATGAACACATGATATATTCCAGGCTCTGTTCTAGGTCTTATGAAAGATGATACAAAGATAAATAAGCCCAAGATCTTTGCCTCCTCAGGTTCACCATGCAATAAGGCAGACAGATTCATGCATAGATAATTTAATACTGGCCTAACTACCGAACTAGAAGTTCCATCAAAGTGTTCTTGGAGTATCTGGGGCAGGGGGAGACAAAATAATTCTTGCTGGAATTCAGGTCTGAGATTGACTTTTAAAAATCAAGGACTTGGACTGGGCTTAAAAGATGGTAATGAGATTTTGAAGAAAGGGTAATTCTGGGCAATGGGAACAGCTTCGTTAAACACATGATGCGAGTACCAGTTCCCCAGCAAGGCAACTTGTACCCATGGTCAGCTTCACCAACTAATTACAGCACTGTTCCCTGATGAATCCTGACCTGGCTTCTAGGCAGCTACTAACAAACATGTATCAGAGTTAGCAAGAGAGCTGAAATTTGCCACTTTGAGAAGCCTTAACATTCCATTGTTTAAAGATGGAATAGGCACGCACAACAGGGGTCTAAAAGATGGTCTCCGGCCCTACAAATGCAAAGCTGCAAACAGCTTTGAATCTTACTGAGAGAAACTTATTCCCTTTTCAGTGATCTTTCAGTCCCTCTGACTGTTCAAGAATAAAGTCTCAGCGGACTAGTACGTCCTTGATAAGGCATCAACAACACCTCTAAGAGAAAGAGAAGAGCCATCCAGACTGGCTAGAATATAATAAGATTGTTTTGTTTAGATCATATTTATTTTTAGGGACATCTCTCATTTATGACAAATCATGTCAAGTCTCCTTTTAAAGTAAATTTAAGTTAAACATAAAAGAATCAATTTTAAAAATATATGAAATGAAATGGTGTGAAAATATGGCATTAACAGCTTGAGAAATGGCCCCTGGGGAAGGAAGTACAACTGAGGTGGGAAAGGGTGACTCAAGATGTGAGGGTGATGCATTGGCCTTTAATGCTTGTGGGTGGCAGTTTCTACTGGGCTGAGTTCTAGAAAGCTACATTTTTCATGGATGCATGGGAGTCAAAATAATTTCATGTTATAAGAACTCCGTCAAAAAATGGTATGGGGGATGGTAGAACTTTGGGTAGGGCAGGCTTTTAAAGGAAGGCTTCACTGAAGATGTAGCATATAAGTTGAGGTGTGAATAATGAGTATTTAAGTAAAGGGGCAGGAAGGAATATTTCAAGCAGAAAGAACAGCAAGTGCAGACCTTCAAGGAAGTGTGGTGGTTGGGTAACAGGCTGGAAGAGTGAGAGAGAGGACTTGGGGGGATGGCAGATCATTTGCACCCTGTGGGCAGGGCTGAGAAGTTTGGATTTTATTTTTGGTGTGATGAGAAGATAGGCAAGGAAGTAAAAGGACTAGAATAATTGCTCATAAAGAATGTCCTGGAAGGATAATGAATTAAAGGGAGAAAGTGATGGCAACAATCAGAAGAGAAAGTTTGGGAGAGGGGGCTCATTTGCCCCATAGGCTAGTTAGCGTCATGGCCACTAAGTGAGAGGACTTGGCCCCTCACTATAGATGGACCTTGTCATCTGGCAGCTTTCTCCCTGGTGCTTGTCTGTAAAGCACACAGAGATCCTGGCTTCCCTGCCAAGATTGCTCTGAACTAGTGTGAAAATCACTCAGTTTTTGCCCAATATCCATTCTGCCTCTCTTCTATCATTCACTTCTCAAAGTTCCCGAGAAGCCTTCCTGGACCATTCTGATTGAGTCATATTTCACGATTCTGGATGCTTTCATGCTTCTGGCACCTCCCTGGCACTGTCCTTTCAGTACATGTTTCCTGCCAGACATGGAGCTTCCTTTGTCTATGTGCTGGTTACTGAGCAGACTGGCGCCCACGCTGGACTTTCTTGGTGGCCCAATGAATCACCAGGTGCTTTCACTTGAGGCAGAAAATGGTCTTGGACCACAAACCTCTGCCTGCCACTTGTGATACCTTAGAACGCTGAAGTTCTTTGAATATTACTTAGTAGAAAAATATGTTCATTGCTTCCCTTCTCTATCCTGTGAACTGGACCTTGGACTAAGCACTAGACTGTGAGATATCTATGTGCAAACAAATTACCTTCAGGTCCTTCTACTTACTGTGAAAGTTCAAAAGCCCAGTTCCTCCTCCTTTTCTGAACAGAAATTCAAGTAATCAATGGAGCATTAATCATTTGATTAGTTGCCAAAGCTTTGACTTAAGCATAACTTACTTGAGTAAAAGCAAGTATTTTTAGTGCTGCCTGTGGGGCCAAAATGCTGAAATAAGCTCTTATATTAATTAGTGGCATCCCATTTTCAAGGGGTATAGAGTGTTGGATGTTTAAGAATTTGTAACCCCCAAAAGTAAGTATTAACTAGAAAATCACAGTGCTGGAAAATAATTATGCCAAACCACTGTACTATAACAGACCCCAATTGCTTATCCAATTATACATTGAAGTATCACATTGTCAAGCCGATTGCCAAAGCGGCAAATGAGACTTTGCTAGCATCATAATTTGGACCAGATATTACTCCACTAACTACACTATGAATAGTCTTTGGAACATGCTATGTACCCTATATAAACCTCCACGAACCAAGGTGGGCATTTCAGGTTTGTTGGAGTACGCCCATGCCATCAAAAAAAAAAAAAAAATCACTGGAATTGATTAGACATGAAAGTTCACAGTTTTCCATTGAAAGCCTGTTAGGAGCATCTCAGCAAAGAGCAACTGCAGCTCCAGGTTCTGAGCAGAGTTGATTTCAATTAAAATATCAAAGGTAGTCACTTCCTGTCAGGGAGACCATCAGTAATTCTATCCTCAAATGTGTATCTGAGAAAAACAACCCCAGACACTGCCTCCTGGATCTGCAACACTGCTCCCTGATTGATTGGCCACCATTTAGAGGTAATTTTTTTTTTTTTCGAGACAAGGTCTCACTCTGTCTGGAGTGTAGTGGCCAGCTCACTGCAGCCTCAACCTCCCAGGCTTAAGTGATCCAGCCACTTCCGCCTCCTAAAGTGCCGGGGTTATAGGCATGCACCACTGTGCTCGGCCTAGAACTTTCTTACAACACAACATCAGGACAGCTGAAGAACAGGAGCCTGGAACTGGGCTGTGAGGAGCTACTAAGGGGTTGATATTCTTAGGACACCCCATTGCTATGATTTTCTTCTCAACCTTGTAAGGGATTGGAACGATCTTGCCCAACAGTTGGGTCTGATATGTCAGACGAAAATCCCACTGTGGCAAGAGCCTGACTCCCAGGGTTCAGTAGAGAAATAATTTGCACTCGCCCAGTAGTTCTTTGCTTTTCAAGTAATAGTAAGCCCTAAACAATATCAAACTTGGTAAAAACAAAATCTTCCTGTCTAGTCCCCACATTGCCCAGTCAGAGTAACATCCATCTTCGTATCCTCTCGGCTAGCTGTATCTGATACCAGTATAGGAATCCCCCTTCTTCACCCAGTGGATGCCTGAAACCAGGGATAGTACTGAACCCTATGTATGCTCTCTGTTTTCTTCTACACATACACAAACCTATGATAAAGTTGAATGTATAAATCAGGTACAGGTACAGGTTAAGAGATTAACAACCAAGAATAAAATAGAACAATTGTAACAATGCACTGTTCACAATTGCACAAACAGAAGATCCCTGCTTGCAGAGGATCTTAGCAATTTATTTTATTTTTTTTTTTTCGAGATGGAGTCTTGCTCTGTTGCCCAGGCTGGAGTGCAGTGGCATGATCTCGGCTCACTGCAACCTCTGTCTCCTGGGTACAAGTGATTCTCCTGCCTCACCCTTCTCAGTAGCTGGGACTACGGGAGTGCACCACCACACCTGGCTAGTTTTTGTAGAGATGGGGTTTCACCATGTTGGCCAGGCTGGTCTCGAACTCCTGACCTCATGACCTGCCCGCCTCGGCCTCCCAAAGTTCTGGGATTGTAGGTGTGAGCCACCGCGCCCTACCAGCAATTTCATCATATAATTTGTTTTATTTCCTTATTAAGTCAGGAACTTTCACCTTTTCTCTTAAATACCTTATGTCCTCTTTTTGGCATATCTGAATTGCCAGCATCACTACTCTTATGCTTTGGGGCTGTTATTAAGGAAAATGAAGGGTTACTTGGGCATAAGCACTGTGATTTCATGACAGTCAACCTGGTAACAGAGATGGCTACTCAGTGACTAACAGGCGGGTAGTGTAGACAACATGGCTACACTGGACAAAGGGAGGATCCGCATCCTGGCCAGGACAGAGTGGGACGGCGTGCAATTTTGTCACACTGCTCAGAACGTTGTACAATGAAAACTTATGAATTGTTTATTTCTAGAATTTTTCATTTAGTAGTTTCAGACTATGGTAAACTGTGAAAAGTGAAACTGGAGATAAGAGGGGACTACTGTAGTAGGTTTTCAATAAGCATTGGTCAAATACGTCACTAAATTACACTTTTCCTCCCAATATACTGGCTATGCTAGCTCATCATCCCCATTTTCCACATAAAACAAGGAACTTAAATCACTCAACCAATGTAACATGGATAACTCAGAGTGGTATTTGTTTGGATGAGACACACAAACACTGGATCCACTAGTGGATCCAGACATGCAGCAAACTGTATGTCTCATCCAAACAAATTTGCTGTATGTCTAGTGCTCTTCTGATCCACTCTATAAATTCCTGGGAACGTTCTTTCAGTTAACATAGTTGAAAACATGGGTGGTAAAACAGCATAGAAAGCAAAACTAACACTGCAAATAGGGATCAACCTCTAAGCCCGGAGGGCCCTGCTGGAAAACCTCTTCTGAGGGGAAAATTGCATCTCAGGGCAGTTTTCAGGAATTAATCGCTGATCACCAACACCTCACCCCAGGCGCCATCATATCTGAACCCTTCTGGTTTTTCAGTGGGTAGAAAACTGGTGAGGCAAAAGGGACTAGAGATCTCTGCCAGTTTGATTTCCTCAGGCCTCTGTTTCTAAAAACATGCTCACTGAGAAATGAAATGAAACTCCTTCTGAAAAGGAGGTTTGTGATGAAGCAGACTTCGGAGAAGGAAGCATTTATTCAAAAAGCAATTTCCTTGGCCAGTCATGTTCTGTAAGCCTTTTTCCCCCCCGCCGGTGTTTCAGATATTGGTGTTTAAGCAAGACTGTTCTCCTTTAATCCTAGAGTGATGTCAACCCACAGTACTCAGAACAAGGAATGGGAAGAGGCATAGGGCCAATTTCTGCCTTTGTTGGAATCTCCTGAACATTTCATTTCCTATTTGCTTCTGCTACATATGGCTTCTTTTTTCAAAGGTACCTTGCAGAGTCTTCGGAAGCACAGTGTAGGCAAGGAAACTCTCCAAGGAGAAAGAAAAATCTGCACTACAAGATGCTACGCAAACACACAACTAAGAGAGGGAGGCAAGCACACAGCACGCAACCAATAATGCACAGCCACAGAATCCTTCTCAACACAACATTGCAGGCAGCAGCAACTGGGTTGTCAAGATAAAACCTATTTGAAGAAGCTGATCTAGCTGGGACCTTTGAACAATCCAGATCCCCAAGCATTTAAAGCTTGTTTCTCTGCAGAATTCATTCAATTATTCAACAAATATGAACATGTATTCAGTGTATTTTATAGTGTAATAGTAATCAAGCTGGACAAGGTAGTGCCTTTGGGAGGCTTACATTCTAGGAGAGAAGGCAGGCAGTTAGCAAGTAATCATCTATCACTGCCTTGGGAGGGAATAAAAGAGGGAGCTACCTGAGACAATATGGTCAGAAAAGACTGCTCTGAGGAAAGGACAGTCAGCTGAGGAGTGGCAAGTGCAAACACCCCAAGGGAAGAAGGAGGCATCTGTATGGTCTGTGCACTGGCTGAAGGCAAGTGTCTGAAGGCGAGTGAGGAAGTTCTCAGATAGAAGGTAGAAGATGAGGTGGAGAAGTGGGAAAATCTCCCTTCCCTTTAGCACTGGAGGCGAAAGGGCTAGAAGACGAGAGACTGAATGATTCTTTCAGTCACATCACTCTTTTCAAGCACCTACTTTGTGCTAGGCGCAGAAGACTATTAAACAGGCAAAGCTGTAATAAATCCAAACTCAGTGAGCTGAAGGTAGAAAGGCCGTCCCAGAACAGCTGGACCCAGCACTGCCTCTGAACATGGGCAATGACACTTTGGGGCTCAATGTTTGCTTACTGGGTCTCTCACACACCCTAACATCAGCCCTGCCTATAATGAACTTTCCCCAGAAAAGCAGGTGAGCAGCAAGCTATTTGCACATGTGGTGACTACCATGGAGCAGCAAGGATGCAGGCTGACCTCACAGACTTCTTTCTGAATGCATACCATATGTTTGGCAGAGCTAAAAGAGCTATCCCAGCACCATCTAGCCAGGTGCTTGGCACTGGATCTCATATGCTGGCAGATGAAAAATGACTAATATGAAAATCTATATTCCAACGGTACTCACCAGTCCACTGGATTGGTCACGATTCCTTCTTTCTACAATAGGATCATTCTGCTTCTGATTACAAAACTGCACCCTCTGAAGCTGCTACTCACCCGTTGGAAGTTACATGCCCTGTGCAGCCTACAAATCCATTAAGTTCTGATGGAGCTATTCCAACGCCCTTCAAAGAACCTGGCCCATGTGAGTTGCACAAACAAATTGGAGCCAACCTTTCCCAAATGCCTCTCTCTATTTCATTTAAAAACCCTCTTTAATGAAGACATAAAGCCTTGAATGCATCTGAAACGCTATGCTTACCATGCATGACAGCAGATCGTCACAGAGGATTTCAAATGCTTTTTTTTTTCTAACCAGAATACTTGAAAGAAACTGAGATTTCCTTGTTATGAGTTCAACTGTTCATTTTATATGCCCTATAATTGACCATTCTCCAGAAGTCAGCATAGGCAACAGAGATGTAAGGCAACTGCAAACACACACACACACACACACACACACACACACACACACACACACACACACACACACAGCTTTGGCACAGTGAAAAATTAAAATGCAATGCCAGGCTTGGGACTATTTTGAAGCCTCAGGCTAGGAAAGCAATACCCTCACCTTTCTCAGCTGCCTACTATGTACCTAACCTTCCAATTATTTATGGCTGAGATGCTTAAGATGTACTGGAGAAACAGCCATGGCTGAGAGATACACAAAGCTGAAATATTATAGAGAGTTATAACTTCATGAATGAAAAACCTATAAAAATCACTTAAGGGTCCTAATCTTTCAGTTAATCTCACCTCAGTGCCACTCAAGGGTTTAAAGGAGTTTCACTGATTGGTTTTTAAAGGACAACGATAAAAATGCTTTGAAATAACTAATTATAATTTCAGGTATCTATGTAAAGGTCCAGACACAAATATTTGAAAATGGACTGTTCCTAGAATCAGGGATTGACACAGATCTTTAAAACTTTCTAGCCCAAACATCCATGTGACATTTGTATCCCTTTGGCCATATTGCTTTCAAGGCTTCAATGCTCTAGGAAAGAGGATCTTACTGCAGTACTGCTAGATTTAGGTGGAGATCAAAATTACCAATGTTTGAAAGTGATATTTTTACATTAACTTGATCAAGAGTTAGAACTTGGACTTATTACTCAGACAGTCTGATCCTTCATTGACAAGCTGTGCTGAGAAACCATTCTGTGGGCTAAAGAGGATATGGACTCCCAGGATTGCTCTGGCATTGCGGTTGAGAAGATATACTGGAATAACCTCTTTTGAAAACAGTTTAGCATTACCTCCTAAAGTTGACATCTACAACAATATGACTGCCAGGTATATTACCAAGAGAAATTCTCATATGTGTACAAGAAGACATGCATGAGAATGTTCAAAGAAACTCTGATTAAAATAGATAGAATCTAGTAATGACCAACATCCCACCAGGGAGTAGATGAATAAACCCTGATATGTTCACATAATTAAATACCATGGCTCAAGCAAAACAAATGTTTGATAGTGACACACAGCTCATAGGGAGAAATCTTAACAATATATTAGTTTAAAAAAATTCCCTAAAGACAATAAAAATATACACACTTTAGGAATCCATAGAGATGCCTAAAACTATATGAAAAGTCACAAAGCAATGGTGAGCATAGATTGAGGATGCTGGACTGACTCCATGTGAGGAGACAAGGGGATGGTTTTTTGTGTGGGACTATCATACTGTTAGATGTGGGATAGTAGCAAAATCATAGGTTTTGTTCTGGGCAATGGGTTTGCAGATACTCATTAACATCATTAAACATAACTACTTACACAACTAAAGAAAAGGAGGCTATGATGGAAAACAAAGAGAAATGATCATCCTTGAGAGGCATGTAAGATTACAACATCGGATGACCGCAGTTTTCCTCAAGATAGGAATCCAGCTCCCATTCCAAAATGTCCACCAAAGTTGCAACATAGTAGCATTTGCCATATAAAAGTACTGGAGTTATTAACTGGATTCCAGATGTCTGAAACTGATGTATCCCTTCACTGAATCCCGACTAGGATCTATTTTGGGTATAGCACTTCACACAGGTTGCTGTTCTTAATTAAAACTTCTCTGCCTTAAGAGCTTTATGTCTGTGAGATAGTCATCCAAATGTTCTCCTCTCCATAAATGTGCTCTTATGTTTTATTTTCACAGCAAAATGCTTGCCCAGATTTTAATAAACATGTCCGCAGTAGTAATATACATTTCGCATGCTTTCCACATTTCATAATCTCTTTAGTCCTTTTGTTTATGTTGATTCCCACACCAAGAAGGCTGTTTGGAAGGCTTTGCAGCTCTGTCTCCATTTCTTCTGCCTATCATTGGGGAATGAAACAGCACACTGATTGCTATTTGGGTAGGAAACACAGACAAGACGTTGAAAGAAGTAAACTAATTTCCAAGCAATTTTGCTCCTTTCTCTCTTTTTGATTGATTTTGGCAATAACTCACCCCAGTTCATTGACATTAGAGTAAAGCCTAGTAGCCAATTTATTGCTTCAAAATCTGTGAGAGTTCCTAATTGGTTATCAGACTGTGTCTACCAGATGCCAAAATTAAATTTCTTTTAAATCAAGAAAAAAGTGATTTTCTGGCATCCCAGATGCAAAACAACCCCGATTAACTGTTCTTTCACATTGCAAATGGCTATTTGGGCCTTGGGTGGAGAGAAAACTCATCTACTTACAACAGGAGGGGGTCAGATTCTGGACTCGATCCTTCAGCCAAAATGCAGATAAACCACAAGGAACAAATACTACTCTATGAAAAATGGAGAGCTGGGCCGGGCGCGGTGGCTCACGCCTGTAATCCCAGCACTTTCGGAGGCTGAGGCAGGTGGATCACCTGAGGTCAGGAGTTCGAGACCAGCCTGGCCAACATGGTGACACCCTATCTCTACTAAAAATGCAAAAATTAGCCAGGTGGGGTGGTGGACACCTGTAATCCCAGTTATTCGGGAGGCTGAGGCAGGAGAATTGCTTGAACCCGGGAGGTGAATGTTGCAGTGAGCCGAGATTGTATCATTGCACTCTAGCCTGGGCAACAGAGTGAGACTTGGTCTCAAAAAGAAAAATGGAGTGGTGTTCCTGGCTGAAGGAGAGATGCCCTCGGTCCAATGTTGGGGAAATTTTTGCTCCCGGAAAGTGGAAACATCAAAGGACTGGAGCCCAACATTAAGGATGGAATAATTATGTTGTTGTTATTGTTATTTTTAATGGAGCTCTATTGAGTGCTTGCTGTCTGCCTGGCAATGTGCTCAGTGCCAAGTACAAACATGATCTCATTTACTCTTCATAAGAGTACCTACCCCATCCATGGTGCTGTCATTTCCATTTTTAGATGAAGAAGTTAAGGCTTAGAGATGTGATCTCATAGCTAGTAGGCAGTTGGGACTCCAGGGTCCCACTCCCTTTCTGTCTATTCCCCCTCCTCATATAACAATACATAGCATTTGCTAAGCAATACAGACTAAATTGAGGCTCTAACTTAACTTAAAGCTCTTTTGCATACAGAATGTTATTTGATGAACTCTAGGGTAGGTAGAGGCACAATATTATTATCCCCATTTTATAGAGAAGGGAACAAAGGCCCAGGGAGATTCAGTGAATTGCTTGAGTCTTCTGCCATGTTGGACTAAAAGCCTCAGTGTTGCTCTACTAAAAAGGTCCCTCAACTAAATATAACAGGGGTGGCCTGCATCTAGTCTCTGAATTGGAACATCACAACTGACAGAGCTTATATCGTGGGTTCTCTTATTTAAAAAGCAGAAATTCTAGGTAATGGTCCAGTGCAATTTCGACTCCATCTCCTAATCCTTTGACATCAAATGCTCTGGTCCTGACTTACTGGTCCTGGACATGGTTTTCTTGGCACAGTAGCAGGCCTTTACCATTTTACCTGCATCTCTCAACCCTTTGTCCTGTTTCCATCTCATGTGAGTAGGAGTTATTCTTTAAACAACTGCCTTGTATCTCACTACCAGCCCTTTGCACATACTGTTCTCCCTGCATGGATGGCATTTCTTCCCCTGATCCACCAGCACTGGACTTAGGTGGCCCTCCAAGATGGTTCCATTTCAGGACACTTATTGTACATGCCTTCTAATTTATCTTCCACTCTATAGGTTTCCTGGGGGCAAAATCATGTCTTTTCACAATAGCCAATCTTTTCTTTGACTTCCCAGACATCAATGTCATATGGTTCAATCTAATACCTTAACCATGACCTTATAAAACCAAAGCTAGGCACATAGGAGAGGCTCACTAAATACTTCTTGCCCAGATAAACTTATCACAGTAGATATTCAGAAGGATGACATAGTTGTACCCATCCTCAGTCCTCAAATAAGAGTTTAATTATGTTATGTAAACCATATGATATACTAGTGAGGCAGGAACAGATACACATTGTAAAAGAGATCCAGAACAAAATAAGATTTCTCTGTGGCCTTCGCCAATCTTAAAATGTAACTATATTTACTGAATCAAACTCTTACAGCATAATAAACTTACTTACAAAGAATCAGGGTAGACAGCCTAACCTTGAGTACCTCAAGTCTTTGCCCCTGGATCCCACATAACAATATCCTTCCCTCTTTTAAGGAAAGCTGGAAAGAAAACCACTCTGCCAGCAGAAGGGCAAATAAAAGGTATGTCTGTGCCTGCACACAGAGGTTGGCATCCTACCCTGATTTGTGACCCATAATTAATGTCAATTTCATAATTTCGGAGGATAGAAGATCAACAAGGAAGCTGACCTCTGGCTGTCTCACAGCTAATCATCTTTTGAGGCGGAAACTTGAGAGGAAACAGAAACGACAGGCTGGAGCACCAGGCTGTGGCTCGGAGTGTGTTTTGGGTGATCTGCCAAGCAGTGAGAACCCATGGTCACGTGCCCTCTCTGTGCTGGCCCCACAGTGACACCTGCTCACCCTCCATTGGGTAAGGTGGGAACCTGCATCCCACCCTGTAGAAGGCTTGGCTGGACGCCTGCTAGTCTCTACAAAGTTCCTTCTCATTGTGTGCACTCTTCTACATGGCTTCTTAATTATGTATGTGCACAGGCTGTGTCGAATGGAGTTGCCTTTGCCTCTGCTCACCACGTATTACATTTTTAATCAGTATATATAATTACTTACCGCAAGCTGCCAGGCCAGATTTTCTGAGCATTAGTCTAATTAACTTAAACTTGATAATTATGTTTCGGATACCATAGCAGTACACACGGAACGGCAGACTTTGCTGCCAGCTTATTTGATTCCAATAACGTGTTTTCTCAATACTGGACTAGTTTTGATTTTTTTTTTTTTTTTGAAAAAAATGGCCATCTGATAATTACTTTGGTTTCAAAATTTCCCCTCAGATAAACCCATTCTGCTATTTAGGACAGCTTCTCAAATGATTTACACGGATTGAACTGTTATAGTATGTTTCTGTGTATTTTTACACACACAAATCTGTTTTTACTAATATAAATTCAAACTGAGGAGAAATGACAGTAGAAGGAATTCTGATGGTCAAATGACAGAATTGTCCATGTTTCAACTGCTCTATGCATTGCCTTTTCCATTTCAATTTGGGTTGATGAAAAATGAGAGACAAGGAAAAGCAAAACAAAACTAAACAAAACACAGAAAAATGCCCAGACTTGTAAGGGAGAAAGGTCAGCTTCTGGTTGAACGAGGGCATGATAAGTTCCCACACTAATAAGGCTCAATTCACCTAGGGCTTACCATGTGCCAGGCACTGCAAAAAGCTCTTTTTTGTGGACTATCTCATCGAATCGTCCTAACAACCCTATGTGGTAATTAGTTATTACTATAGGTTGAATTGCATCCTCCTGAAATATATGTTGAAGCCCTAATCCACAATGTCTCAGAATGTAACTTGGTTTGGAAATAGGGTCTTTGTAGAGGTAATCAGGTTAAAAGAAGGGCATTAGGGTCAGCCTTAATCTAATATGACTGGTGTCCTTATACAAAGGGAAAATTTGGACCCAGCAGCTGCCATGCACGCAAAGAGATTAAGTGAAGATGAAGGCAAAGATTGGGGTGACGGATCTCTAAGCCATGGAATGCCAAAGATCATCAGCAAACTCCCAGCAGTGAAGTGGACACACTGAACAGATTCTCCCTTAGAGCCCTCAGGAGGAACAGCTCTGCTGACACCTTCACCTCGGGCTTGTAGTTGCCAGAACTGTAAAACGACAAATTTCCATTGTTTAAGCCACCCACCCAGGTTGTGGTACTTGATTACGGCAGCCCTAGCCCTCTAATACATATACTCTGGTTACCACTACTCCCCGTTTCACAGATGCCAAGGCTCAGAAAAGCTATGTGATGTGTCCAGGTCTGCACAGCTGTCAAGTGGCAGGGAAGGAGTCCACAACAGGCCTTTCGGACTCCCATGCTCAACCCTTGACCTCACCCATGCCTGTGCCACTCTGCTTCTGCCCAGGAGGCTGAAAGAATCAATACAACAAATCCCAGAAGTGGATGAAGCACTATGAACACTGTAATGCTTCTAAGGTAAAAGTCAAGCTTAGATGGTGCCTGTTTTCACATTTGCACATCGCCTCTTTTATTTAACACGTAAAATGACTGCTTGAAATACCTGCACTCTAGTTTTGGAGGGCAACAACATGGAATTTAAATTTTCTTAGGGTGAGGGTAGCGGGATTATTTTGTTCTCTTCTCACATAAGACAATAATGGACCAAAAATACCACTTACCAATTACAAAAGACAACAAATAACAGAGCACAACTCAATGAATCGAATTGCAGAAGGAAGAACAGGTGGGCTTTCCCAAGATGTCATAATAGATGGAAGGAGAACAAGAGAGAATGAACCTGCTCTATAAAGGCCAAAGACAGGAAATGAGAATCATTCTGGGGAAAAGATACAACCTTTATCCAGGAGGAAAAGCATGGGAATATGATAATAATTTTTAAAAAAGACAATTCTCCAAGAATATCTCCTGGAATAGATCCAACGGAAAGCTTGACACCAGATAAAGAAGGGAGGTCAGGTTCATTGAGGGCCTATTACATTTGGGGTATGTTTGAGGGTGAAACCCCCCATAGAGTGTTGTGAAGTAGAAGCTATCGCCTCCCACTTTGCAGATGGGGAAATAAAGTTCTAAGCAATTAAATAATTACTAAAGGGCAGCTACTCCTTGGCCCAGCAAATCACTGGAAATGCTGACATGGAAGAACAGCAGGAAGGGTTGTCCTAAGAAGAATTACTTTCCTTCTTCAGACTAGTAGTGTCTCTATGTCTGTGGGGAACGTGCACAAGCTCACACTCAAGACACAGACTTCTCGTCATAAAAAAATTTCACAAATTACCTCTAAGTTGCTCTAAAACGGGAGTGCTTATCATTTTTAGGCATGTCAGCACTTTTTAGAATCTGATCAAAGCTATGTATGACTCCTTTCCCTAGAAAAATGTGTGCACACACATAAATGCATACACTTTACTTGAAATTTCTAGAAGGTTTGTACACCCTCAGGGATCCATGAGTCACAGCTTTAAAGCCCACAAAGGATACATCTGCCTCCAAGGAGCCCAGCAACTTTATGACACACTAAAACAAACACATAACATGCACTCGCACAACCTTGACCAGGACAGTCCCCCTCCACAGTCACTGGCTTGTATCTCCATGTTAGCACACCCACCTCCACCACTGAGGGGGAGCTCTGCTGTGCTTCGTTGATCTGCATTCACTAATCTACATTCCAGGCCCCACATAAAGCAAGTATAAAGTGAATGTTAAGTGAATTTGAAGTTAGAAGACCTGGACTTGAGCTCTATCACTCCCTCTGGGTCATGTTGTTTCATCTCCTTGAATCTCACTTTTATCACCCACGCTATTAGGCAGAAATCACCCCGGTTTGCCTCACCTTTTCTGAAGGATTGCTGGGAGGAACATATGCAGCAATGCAGGTGGAAGCCATTTAGAACAGTAACAGTGAACACTGACTGTGTGCAAACACTGTTTTAAACACTTTACATTTATTCATTAATCTTCATGACCATCTTATCAGGGTGGCAGTGTTACTATCCCCATTTCAGACATGAGGAAGCTGAGCACAGAGAGGTCGGGGAACTGGCCCAGGTAGGCACAGGGCTGGGATGCAAATGCAGGCAGGCTGGTGCCAAGGCCAGCTCTCGTAACCACTGTGCATAGTGCCTCTTCAGGAGAGGCAATGCCACAAAAAATGTCTAAAATTATCCTAACGAGAAGGCAAAAGAACCCTGTGAGCCTTCTATGAACATTAGTGGAGTTTGGAGGTGTGGGGTTTGCAGGGCTTTAGATTTAGACCACCCAGAAGAGCTCGATGTTACATATAACTGCAACTAGCTTGTGCATCCACAACTCCAAATTCAGCCCTGTGGTGGTCAGCGAATATCGAGGGAGAAAAGCAGCAGCCTCATGTAGGAAGTGTAGGGCCAGGGCCCCCTCTCAAAGCTCATTCACATGTACTTACTTTGACTGCCACAACGAACACATTTGTAGGCTTTCCGGCTTGTGGCTTACCTGCCTGTGACCACAAAGCTCATATGTACCACAAGTCCTCTTTTTCCTACTTCAAACAAACAATGCTCATCTCCCTCCTCTGAATTTTTTTGTTTGAGAGTTTCCACCTTAAGGTTTTCAAGGGGTCCACAATTCAGTTGTATCTTGAGTGGAAATCTTATTCTGTAAGGCCCCTGTCTTCATTCTCACACAGTCAAAGCACACTAGCTGACAAGCAGGCTTCGAGCAGAGCCATGATAAAGCTTCAAGCCCTGCCTGCCCAGAGCTCACAGCCCCGGTGGGTGACCCGGAAAATAAGCAGGCACCTGCAAAAGGCCTGTAAAGTGCTGTGATGAGGAAAATATGGGCAACTGTGGGAGTCACAGAAAGGGGGTACCTAATCCAGCATGGGGAGAGGGAGACACTAGAGGGTCCAAAAAGCTGCGTATCTTCTCTGCCTTTGTATTGTCACAAAAATCTAGGAGTCCTCATGAGCTCAATGTTAAGTGGTTGCATGCTTTGACTCACTTAATCGAAAATGTTTTTAAAATCCTGCTTAGACCTTTTTCCTCCCACTGTTCCCTGAGTTAGCTCCTTCTCACCCTCTGGGTCTCAATTTCCAATGTAATTAATTCCCTCTTTTCACGAAGCCTTCCTGGAGCACCCTACACTGCCTGGCATCTCCTGTGCCATCTTCCTGCACTTTCTTCCTTTCTTCCCAGGGAGGCAGGCTTCATCTTGATGTCCCGGGTGTGGACTGCAGACCAACATCACCTGGCGGCTTGTTAGAAAAGCAGAACATAAGGCCCCATCCCAAATGATTCCTCAATACTTTAAAGCTGCCTCGCCCAGGACCTTAGCCATCAGCCCCATGTGACTACCAGGCCCCTGTAAAACGGCTTGTCTGAACTGAGAGGTATTGCAGGTGTAAAGTACATACCAGATTTAGGAGACACTGTGAAAAAGACTGTAAAATATCTCATTAATAATTATTTCATGTTAATTACCTACTGAAATAATATTTATGATATTTTGGATTAAATAAAATATTACAATTAATTTTATCTGTTTTTTTAATATGGCTACTATAAAACTGATAGTCACATGTGTGGTTCCCATTATGTTTATTTTGGACAGGGCTGCCCTACAGCGTGAGATGCGCTGGTTTGGATAATGATCAAGAACAGGCATTGGCAGACGACAGCCACTGGGTCAAATCTGGCCAGGTGCCTGATTTGGTAAAGGGGCTTTTATTGGAACACAGTCACACTCACTCATTTACTGTCTTTGGCTGCTTTTGGGCTACAGCAGCAGAGCTAAGGATTTGCGACAGAAACTGAATAGCCTGAAGAGCTTAAAATATTTACCATCTGGCCCTTTTTAGAGAAAGTATGCAGACCCCAGTCAAGAACGTTCATTCCAGAACTGGACCGATTGACTTAAAATCACGTCTCTACCACTTTTTGGTGTGTGAGGTTCGGCAAGTTACCTCACCTGCCTGTGCCTCAGTGTTTGTATCTGAAAACAGAAGATGAGCATACATACCTAACAGAGTTGTTATGAAGATTAAATGAGTTGATATATGTGAACTTCCTTAAATAGTGCCTCATCCATAGTAGGTTCTCAATAAATGTTAGCCACCATTAATATTACTGCTAGCAGTTATCACAAATTGTAATGACACATTTTTGCTTTAACTTTTTTTCCTGTCTGTCTCCCCATCAAATTAAAGACCTAGGAGAGTGGCATCATTTTCTGTCTTGTTCCAGCTGTTTAAGCACAGTTAAACAGCCCACACGTGAGATTCAATACATATTTGTTGCATGAATCAAGTGCAGAGGAGGGAAGTAATTTTCCTAAGGCTCCACGGCCAGAAAGTGGCCAGGACTTGAATGTGGTTCTATCTGCTTGCCAAACTCAAATTCTTAACTTCTCTTGATACACCAAGTGTAGTCTATAGACCAGCGACATCAGCATCACTTGGGAGCTTGTTAAAAATGCCGGAGCTTAGGCTTCATCTCAGACCGACTGAACTAAAAACTCTATTTTAACAAGATCGCCAAGAAATTCATAGGCACATTAAGGTTTGAGAAGCACTGCTCTGGGCTATAATTCCCAGTTTCGACTCATGTGCTTATTTGTTCAACAAGCAATTAATTTAGCATCAATCATTCCACAGAGCCTTGTGTTTGGACCCCCTAATTCCAGAGCTGATGATTTCTATTCATCCCGATCAGGTCCTGGGGGTGTTTAGGGTTTGCAATGAACGGCAATGTGCTGTGTCAGAAGTGCCCTTTCTCCTACCAGGTTCAAACCACTGCAATGCTGGAGTGACCTCTCTGCACAGAAATCTGCTTAACATTCCTTACCCGCCTGTAGTGACCAGGCCACAGGCTCCGGCAGATGCAGAAGGTCTGAAAATCTAGTTGTAAGTAATTTTCCTCTAGGTGCCTACCTCAGTGAATTGGTTCTCCTGTGCATTTTATACATCAGTGGTCGCACCACTCAAACACACAATCCATTCCCGAGTTTAACAGCTCAGGCACCTTCCTTTTTGATTTTATAAATGAATGCAAATCATCTCCCACTCATATTATAAACCAATTAAAATTCTCCTCACACTTTTAAAAAAACTTGTTACCTGGCTCAAAGATCCTTAGCTCTTTTCTTAGAAACTGGCCCTTATGTGGCCTGTATGTGAGGATGAGGGTGTTTGAAATTAGCAGGAAATCTTAGAATGGTTTCCCCTTTGTCACAGCCAGAAGTTTCAGATTGTGGTCATCAGATGAACGCTTTAAATGAGAAAAAGACTGATTAGCATAATTCTTAAAGGTCTGAACTCTACACTCACAGATGGCCTCTGAGAGGATGGATGGTACAGAAAGGAGATTAGGATAAATCTAATTAGTTTGGGGGTGTTCTCATTTCTCAAGTGGTGAGCGATGGAGAAGAAGTGATGGATGGACAGATGGAGATAATGAAGCCCCATTAAAGCCTTTTTTGATTCTCATTCTCCATGATGGAGCACATTATCCCATTAATGTTTCTGTGAGCTAACACAGCCAAAGTTTGGCGCTGTCACCTCGAAAATGAATTCGAATTGCCTGCCCAGCTCCTTACATGTGTCCACAGGAGTTAAATGAGCCTGAAAACTGTATTCCTGCTGAGAAGCCCATCCTGGCAGCATGGGCTGGAAGCCCTCCCCTTTGGGAATGGGCCTTCCTCCTGGCTGGTTTCTAACAGCACTCAGGCCAGAGTCCCATAGCTTTTCTGCTCCGGGGTTCTACAACTAGAATTTCCTCTGAAATGGGCTGTGGCTTGCACGTATTTCCAGGGTACTGAGACAGACCGCTGCTGTTCTCTTCAGTGGAGGTGACAGCTACAAGTGCTCACCATCACACTCTGATTAGGGACCTGAGGGCAGGGTCCAAAAACAAAAAGTGGCAAGACAGGCCCATGACTCAGTCACAGAGATGTGACATAAATAATAATACAGGACATTGCACAGGCTATGTGCAAAGTAAGGGCCTGACTGGCTCCACTAGCTCAGAGAACAGTGAGACAGTGATGGGCCATCCAGGAAACAGCAGGGAAAGGGGAGAGACTCCTCGGGGTTTGAAAAAAGAACCATGTGCCCCCTGATGACAGCAGCCTCCTAAATGGACCCCTTGCTTCTACTCTTGACTCCCTACAGTCCAGCATCATTTAAGAACATAAACCAGATCAAATGATTCTCCCCTTCAATAATAATCAGAGCTGACATTTATTGAGCACTTACTTATGTGTGCTCAGCGCTGATCCAAGCACATTGCATATATTATTTCATTTCACAACAGCCCTTTGTGGTATTAATATCATCCTTTTATTACAGATGAGGAAATTAAGGCACAAACAGGTGACCTGGCCCAGTAAGTAGCAGAATTTATTGACAAGCTCAGGTTTCTTGACTTCAGAACTCCGATTCTTAACCTATAACTCCTGTTCCATGTTCATTCCATGCCCTCCCACCACACATGGAATAAAATCTAAACTCCTCTCTGACCTCATTTTGTTCCAGTGTCTCCCATGCTCACTGTGCTCTCGTCACATTCTTCAAGAACTCCAAGCACGGTCCATGTCTAGGCCCTGTGCACTTGTAGTTGCCTTTGTCTGCTTAGAAAGGATTTCCCTTCTCCCATATCCACCTTCGAAATGTCAGGGTGGCCCACGCTTGATTCTCAGCTCTCTTACTTTATTCTACTGCTCTTCCCAACCAGGTGGTCTCATTCAAGGCCATGGCTTTAAATACTATCTCCTATGACTCCCACATTTATGTTTCTAGCCTGGAACGTTTAATGAGTTCCAACCATGCGTGTTTAATGGCTCATCTAATCTTTCCTCTCGCATGTGTAGTGGGCACCTATATTTATCACCCAAAGATAAAAAAAAAACCCCTGACTTGTAACTCTCCTACCCTACTTCAGTCTGTAAAGTAAATAGCACTATCATCCAGCTGGTTACTCGAGCCAAAAACCAGCAATTCTTCTTAGCTTCTGAGCCTTTGCACCCAATCCATGAACAAATTCTACCTGCTTCCAAGGCACATCCCAAAGGGCCTATTTCTCTCCACCTCCACTATATCATCTCTGATATAAACCACTGTGATAATTTTGCTTGCACTTTTACCTCTCTTTAATCCAGCCAGGGAGTGACCCTTTTAAAAGTTAAATCAGATCATGTCATTCCCTTGCCTAATACCTTCTAACTCTAATGTCATGCTAGGCCCTGAAGACCTCTAGGCCACCGTCTGCCTCTTTAACCACAACTCCTCTGCCTGCTCACCAATGCTCCGGGCACACTGGCCTCCCTTCTGTTTCCTGAACATGCCATGCTCATCCTGGATGTATGGCTTTTGCAATCACTATTCACTCTGCTTAGAAAACTCTCTACCCCAGGTTTCCCCGGGCTTACAGCTTCTCATTTAGTTATCAGTTGAAATGTTACCTCCTTGGTGAGGCCTTTTCTAACCCCTCTAACCAAATTCATATGCATAAATACTTTCTTTATCATACCAAGTTTCATTTCCTTCTCACTCTCTGAGATGTCTGTGTGTTTAATTGGTTTTTTCTGTCTCTCCTACTAGAGTAATCTCTTTGGCGGTCTGGGTCTGATCTGGTTTGTTCACCCCTCTATCCCCCAGTGCCTGGAACTTTATCAGGGATCAATAAGTATCTACTGAATGAAGAGCACCATTTATTTAGAAGCTCACAAAATGCTAATGGAGGAGGTAAGATTGAAGACAGATGATAAAGCTGGGACTTCAATCCTATAGTCAGTGGGAGGGGAATGGATAAAGAGTAAAAGTGACGCAAACTTGTAGGGAGTGGGAGGAAGTCTAAAATCTTCCATTTGTTGAATGACCATAACCCAGGAGGCCCTGGTAATACACAGGTGAACAAAACCAAAATGGCCCCTGGCCTCATAGAGCTTGTATTGTAGCATGTAGTTTAAACTTTTTTCCCCATTTTAGGATGGAGCAGGGGTAAGCAAATGTTTTACTGTAAAGGGCCAGAGAGTAACTATTTCTGGCTCTTCAGGCCATATGGTCTCTGCCACAAATACTCTGCCACTGTAGTGAAAAAGGAGCCACAGATCATACACAGACTTGGCTGTGTTCCGATAAAACTTTATTTACAAAGACAAGCAGCAGGTCCAACTTGGCATGTGGGCCACAACTGGACAACCCCTGGGACAGAGACTTCTGTCCCTTCTAAAGAACTGGGGAGTACTTTAGGCTTGTCATGTAGAGAAACAGGCTTTGAATCATAAGAACCTTAAGGGTCTTGTGGAGAAAAACATAGATTTATTATTTACCTTAAGTTTTCTAAAGCGCTTAGAAAACAGTGAGTGGACCTGGAGCTGCTGACCTGGGGTTCCTGCTAGTCTTTTGTTTTACTCCTTCCCATGAATCAACTAGCTTTTGTAAGAAACCTCACAGTTACATGGATTTGAATATACTTAACCTGACAAAGACTAACTCAAAGTGGCTAATGCCTATACCAGATGGTGGACCTGCCCTTATTCCACTGTTAGAAAGGAAGAGAATGGGCACTACTGATTACTTGTACTGATTTAAGTTTAAGCTAATAGCTTGGCATTACCCTGACTTCAGCCAGGGAAGAAAATCACATCCAAGTTTGCAGACTCCATGAAACATTGGCCATATATTTGTTGGCTCATTAGCTTGGACATAAAGACTTTCTAGAAAGAGATGCCATCATTAGGTGCCACTCAGACTCTAGGGGTGCTTTTGGAAACCACTGTGATCAGAAACGTATATATTGTTAAGGGAAGAGAGAGAGTTGTTCTGGACAGGTACCGAGAGGCAGGTTCCAGGAAGCTGAAGCCAACAGAATCAAACCTTAACGTACATAAGCCATTCCTGGGCTTTGTCCATGGGTTGCCTTTGTGGTGGTTGTCTGCCTGGTTTCCAGGGAGCCTTCAATTAGAATTCTGAGCTGAGATGATTTATCCTGTGTGCTACATTAGCTCCATTTGCCATTAACATAAATAAGGCTTTAGTTACATGAGGCAGGCATAAAGGGTATGTATGCCTTCCATTCATGAAAACATCATTTTTTCAAAACACCAGTTTCTTCTTATAAGCTAAGTTACACTACCCAAATATGTAGTAATCAGTAATACAGAACAATAAAAGGCCTTGATACACTGATCCGGGCATACGAGGTTATCAGGAAATCCTCAAGTCAGTGTCTCTCCCCATGGGACCAATCCTGTACCTCTTTTTCCTTCACCTCCATTTTGACTTGAAATGCAGTAGACAACAGAGCCAGTTCAGTGCCTTGCCATGCTCCCAGCACTTAGCACTGTTCGATAAATACATGAGGGATAAACAAATTGTAAGGAAACTCCCATCCCATGAGAGGAGAAGGATTCTAAAGTGCATGACCACACGGACACACAGGTAACATCCATCTCTTTGGGAAAAGGAGTAAAATGGACTTTCCTGAAACAACTGCTAGGCAGAAGGTGGGTGAAAGCCACAAGCATAGCCTGCCTCATAGTAGTTCCACGAAAGTCCATTTTACCCCTCTTCCCATAGAAATGGACACTATCTATGGGTCCCTGTGTGTGGCTGTCTCCTGCCATGTCGCTGGATTTTCTCAGGATCCCTGACAAGTAGGGATTTTTGGTCAATCTTTCATAGACACTCTTATCTCCTCAAATGGAGACACCATCACTGGCATTGAAATGCTAAGGTGAGAACTCACCAAGACACACTGTAGGTAAAGTTCCAGCTCAGCTTAGGGTTTGATATGTAACGGGCCCAATAAATGATAGTGATTGGTATTAGGATTGCTTTGTTCTTGTTACAGATGAAGAAGTAGAATGTCAGTGGATTACAGTGAACAGTCCAAGCTACAAAATGTGTTGCAACTGGAATTTGCATTCCATGTGTCTGGTTCCTTCTCTATGTACAGGAATGAATCAGGAGAGCACACTGGCTCTACCTTCTTCCACTCTGACTTCTCAGCTTTAATCCCTGGAGTTCCAGGGTGGTATGGACTGAATGTGTGTGCCCCCACCACTTCCCCAAAATTCATTAACACCACAATCCAGTTAAGATATTTGTTAGTAGGGCCTTCGCAGAGGTGATTAGGGTTAGATGAGGTCATGAAGGTGGAGCCCCAGGATGGATTTGTGCCCTTATAAGGACATGAAGGACCAGAGCTCTTTCTCTCCACCATGTGAGGATACCTCAAGAAGGTGAACCAGAAGCAGGGTCCTAACCAACACCCCGACCATGTTAGCGCCCTGATATTGGACTTCCAGCCTCCAGAGCCATGAGAAATAAATGTTTCTGTTTAACCCGTTTAGTTTATATTCTCTTATAGCAGCTTGATCTAAAACACAGATACCTCAAGATGGCTACAAATTCTCCTCTAAGTGCTTCAGAGAGGATTAGAAGATAAATTATATATCTATTTTGTTTTCTATGCTAGGCCTCTATGATATAATATAAATATAATCATTTGTATTATAAACTAGAATATAATACAAATAAAATTGTATTATAAACTACCTTAAAGAAAGTCCTCCTTACACTGAACCAATGCTAATGTTGGTTAAGCCAATTTCCCTTAGAAAAAGGCATGTAGGATCTTGAAGGCATTGGTGGGCTGCATTCCCTGCACTGTGAGCAAGGCCTGACCTAGAATGACCTGTAACATCACCCCTGTCATGGGTCCCAAGCGCACAGCCAAAGGTCTTCAAAACATATGGGTATCCTTAGCAAATAAGAGCATTGCTAAGTGCATGATTAATAAGCCAGAAAGGCTATGGCACTTGACAGACGGATGAGGCATTTCAGAAAGATAAGTCAAAGTGCACTGTGAGGTGAGTGCCTCCCTTAACTTTCTTAGCTGTGCTACTCGGTTCATAAACCAGGGATTAAGTCCATTTTCATTTCAATTTTTTATTTCACCTTTAAGCAACTCCTAAGGCTTCCAGGAGAATTTTGTTTGACCTTTAGCTAAAGTTCAACTTCTACCAAGTTACGAATTTTGGATGGTCCCTAAATGATCACTTAAGACAGATTTCACTATAATTCAAAGAAAGGATAATCCCTGGCCCAAGAGTTCACAAAGGAAGGATTCCCAGTGGTCCCAGAGATGGCAAAAGTTATGGATTTCATCCTGCTAATGCATTTTAGTGATATTTTCATTGTGCAACATTAATTACCAATGTCAGCCTGGATGCATTTGCTGGGTATTGAAACCACGACATTTTTTTATCTCTACCTGGTCCCAGATGAAGATTAGCTTAGTGCTTCCTTGTGTCCTAGGCCCTAGAGAAAAGATGCAGCCTACGGGATGGGGTAACCTTGGCAAGTTGCCATTTGCTTCTAAAGTTATGATAGCAGTGTTGAAGCCGTCACTGAGACTCTGGTGCTCAAGCCAAGTAGGAGCCCTTTGCTATCATGACATATGCTCTAGATTTGCATTTGTCTAAAATCTAGCTTTTAGGAGACCTCTCAGAGATGTCTCAGGGAGGAACACTCAGAAAATGTGAAGAGGAGCAATGGACAGAGACAGAGACTTCCAATTTATAGTGAAGAACAGACCTTTGAAGTTGACTTGTTACATAACCTGACTTATCTACCAGATCTGTCTGATTCCTAAAGAAGTATATGAAAATCTCTCAATTTATATTTCAAACTCCTGACCTTCAGGTGATCCACCCGCCTCGGCCTCCCAAAGTGCTAGGATTACAGTCATGAGCTACTGCGCCTGGCCATCAATTTTGTCTAATCAGAGTTTTTTTTCCCTTGAATTTTGGATTTTGTAGTTAACTACTGGGTTGTTGTGTGCCTGTAATAAAGATAGAGTTATTTTTGTCCACAAAAGTTGAAAACAGAGCTGCCAGTTGACATGAAAGTACAACTCATTTCCATCCACAGCCTCTACATCCATTAAATAAAGAGAAACTCAGTGCTCATCTCACTCATGAATCAGAACAGGATATCTGCACATGCCATTTCTCTAACTTCCCAAATGCAGCAGGAACACCTCAGCCCCGCTCTCTCAGTATCTCAGTGGACTGGAAGCACGTTCATTTAAGAGGAAGGGCTCATAGCTTTCTGCAGACAGTTCAATACCATGATGCATCCGATTCAGTTTCGTCCATTCTATTTCTTATTGATCAGCATACCTCAGGCTATTAGTTTTATTAATTAAATGATAATTTTGGGGGGTGAGTACACAAGGAGATAAATGTCTCACAAACAGACTCCAAGCTTGCAGGCAGGAGGCATGCAGTGATTTACAAAGTATTTATCTTTCTGGCATTTTTTTTTCCCCCAGGAAAAAGTAATCATCACTACCATCTTCTAAAAACAGAGATGCTTGTTTTCTGGGCAGGCTTGGAAACTAGCCAAGACAGCAGGAAGATTGCTGGAATTTCAACACACTTGCTGTGGTACCATGGTGCTAGTGACCTGCCCTTGCAGATATACCTTGACTCCCCACAGAAGTCACCTCAAAGTCTCTGCTATTTAGCAAATCCCTAGGTGTCTGGGGAGTAGGGGTCCAGTCTGGGGCTGCTGCCTCTTCTGATTGGCTGCCTGGCTCTGACTCTGATCCCAGAATACCCAGAGGAATTTGTTTCCATCCTCCTGGCCCACAACTCACACAAACCTCTAATAGTACACAGGTTATTAAAAGCAAATAATAGCTGGGCACAGTGGCTCATGCCTGTAATCCCAGCACTTTGGGAGGCCAAGGCGGGAAGATCACGAGGTCAAGAGATCGAGACCATCCTGGCCAACATGGTGAAGCCCCTTCTCTGCTAAAAATACAAAAATTAGCTGGGGGTGGTGGCGCATGCCTGTAGTCTCAGCTACTCGGGAGGCTGAGGCAGGAGAATCGCTTGAACTCCGGAGGTGTAGGTTGCAGTGAGACCAAATCATGCCACTGCACTCCAGCCTGGTGACAGAGCGAGACTTGATCTCACAAAAAACAAAACGAAACAAAACAAGCAAATAATAGTGTCCCAATAGAAGCACTTGCCCTACCACAGCCCTCTCTCTCTGCCATCACCAGGCACTTTCTGACATTTCCATCTTTCTGACAGGGTTTCTCAACCTCAGTCTCTATTGAGGTTTTGGGTCAGATAATTCTTAGTTGAGAGAGGTGGTCCTGTGCATTGTAGGGTGTTTGGCAGCATCCTTGGTCTCCACCCACTTGATGTGGTGAGCACACACCTCCCCATCCACAAACATCTCCACACGTTGCCAAATATCCTCTGGGGGAGCTGATTTGCCACAACCCCCACACCCCACCAGTGAAAAACCAATGTCTTGGGACAAGTGGAAAGTGATGGGGGAAACTGAAACCTCCCTGACGCTTTGGTTCCTGTAAGGAACCACAGGAGACTACATCATTGTCACCTCTCCCTGGTTTGCAGACATTATTTCTGAGTCATGTGAATGAACTAGAAACCTTAAATAGGAAGTCAGAAGGGAAGCTGGGGAGGAGAGTGGGGACCGAGTTGAAAGATGATATTGACTATTTGTACTTTTCAATTAGCACAGGTGCAACGCTTCAGGATTCTTGGCCAAAAAATGATATAAAAATGATTGGACCGACCTGCTCTTTCTAGGGTAAAGGTCTGTGAGTCATATCACTCAGAAAACATTTTTGAGCACCTATGATATCCCTCATCCAGTCAATCAAGAGATTTAACAGATTCTTCTTCTCTCCCTCCCTGCAGCCATTCTTCTAGGTCTTGCCACTATTTTCTTCCTCCTGGATTCTCCCAAGAGCCTATTCTCTACCTTCTACCAGCCTTGTTTCTCAGTATCCATTCTCTCACTGAAGGTGAGTGGTCTTTTTGAAATGCAAATCAGATGGTGCTAGTCAGAGGGTGCTAGTCAGCCATCTGCTAGCTTCCCTGGCTTTCCATTCTTTTCGGATAAAATCCCAACTCCTTAACAAGGCCTAGAAAGCCATACATTGCCTTTGTTATTTCATTACTTACAACTGTGTGGTCCAACTCCACTGGACCAGTCTTGCCTGGTTCCTCCCAGAGTGTGGGACACTAACCACCACTGTGTAGGTAGGCACAGAAGGTGGCTTTACGTAGAACGCAGTCACGACCTTAAAAAATGTTGAATCACATAGTGATTCTTTAGGTTCAACATCCTTTTTCTTCCTTGTGCTCTCTCCTAGAGAAAGTCAGTTCGGTGCTCCTTTGTCCTTCCTGCACCAAGGCTTATTGATCAACCTTCTTGTGTTAGAAAAGAACAAGCCTCAGGCTCCAACATAGAATCTAGTTGGCATTTAATAATACTATTTTATTTTTGATTGTACTTACTTTTACAGTTACCTTTTGTATTAGTCTGTTCTGGCACTACTATAAAGAAATACCTGAGACAGGGTAGTTTATAAAGAAAAGAGGTTTAGTTGGCCCATAGTTCTGCAGGCTGTACAGGAAGCATGATGCTGGCATCATGGGGAGGCCTCAGGAAGCTTCCAATCATGGTGGAAGGCAAAGTGGAAGCAGACAGGTCACATGGCCCGAGCAACAAGAGAGAGAGAGGGGAGTTGCCGCACACTTTTAAACAACCAGATCTCATGAGAACTCACTATCACGAGGATGGCATCAAGGGGATTCATGAGAAATCTGCCCCCATGACCCAATCACCTCCCACCAGGCCCTACCCTTCAACACTAGGTATTACAATTCGACATGAGATTTGGTGGGGACACATATCCGAACCATATCACCTATTTATGGCATATTATAAATGTTTCCAGTATAACATTCCAGAAGTGATTAGTGATGCAATCTTGCCTTTTTTTTTTTTTTTGAGATAGTATCTCACTCTGTCTCCCAGGCTGGAGTGCAGTGGCACGATCTTGGCTCACTGCAACCTCTGCCTCCAGGGTTTAAGCAATTCTCCTGCCTCAACCTCCCGAGTAGCTGGGTTTACAGGCGTGCATCATCATACCCAGCTAATTTTTGTATTTTTTGGTAGACGTGGGGTTTTACCATGTCGGCCAAGCTGGTAATTCCAAGCTGAACTCCTGACCTCAAGTGATCCGCCCACCTTGGCCTCCCAAAGTGCTGGGATTACAGGCGTGAGCCACTACACCTGGCAGCATCTTTCCTTTTTCAGTGCATGTATTCAGGTAGAAAAAGAAAGTTTACTTGAAGAAACATAAATAGTAGTAGCAGTAGTTTCTAGACATGGCAAATACCAGGATTAATGCTTGGTATTTGGGAAACAAGGAGTTACTTAAATTTGCAGCATGCTCTCATATGCCAGACGTCCTTCAGCCAGGCTAAGAAGGTGGAGTGGGCAGGAGTAGGAGACATTGGATTGTTCCTTGTAATCTCTCATGCAATCTTTGGAGTTTGATGCAGATGTCACCCCGCCAAAATTTGAGTCAGTGCCCCACCTATGCGCTCCGCTAATACCTTCAACACCCCGCTTAGAGGATCTGTCATGGCGCCTGTGAGCTCTGAGATCATGTCTGTTGTGTTCACTGTTGTTTCTGCAGTGTCTGACATGCAGCATGGCAGAATAAACAAGACACCAGGTAAATATATCTTGGCTTGATGGGTGAAATGGGGGTAAGGAGGGAAACTTATCATCCTTTTCAGCCAGGTCTGGGCCACACCAAAAGTGAAAGGCAGAATGAGATGCCTAGATAATCCGTGCCAATAAAGATGCTGACCCACCTCCTCCTGGACAACAGAGACAAAAGAGTTAATAATGTGAATTACTTGGGGTGCAGCTTCCATCTCCCTCACCACTTAAAGTGTCAGAATTTGACCCCCACTGGCTAATGCAAAAAACACACAGAAGCTGGCAAGACATGGGCTTGCTTGTCCCTCCTCTTTCTTTCTACCTGGAGCTTTACCTTTACAAATTTGTAGCACTTGAAGGTATGTTTCCCTAGCCATTTCTGGATCATAACAATTCCTTTTTCCTACTGACAAAATCTGAAACTTAGCCGGAAGCACTCTCTTGCCAGGGAAAGAACTGTGTCAGACGTGCGATGCGTGATAAAATACTACGGTAATGTGGAATAATGCTTTCAACTGTTGCCAGGGTGAGCATGCATGCAGAATGATGGAAATTGCCTGCAAATACAAATGGTTGCTCTGTGGCTCATCTGTAACCTCAATGTAGGAAAGCGGAGATATTCTTTTCCCTCCTTTGCAATTTGCACAGCCTCTTGTTGGAAACTATGGAGATTATGCCATTGAAAGTAACTGCCATGTTTACTCAACACACAATTTTTACTAATACAGTCTCCCCATGTAGTCATCTGTCTTGTGAGGTTCCCTCAATACTCCAGCTGTTCCTGTGGCTGCTGCTGCGAACACCTCATTGAAGAAATCAAGGTGCCAAACCCAAATGCTTTATGTGAGGGTGTGGAGGTCATTTTTGCATTGCTGAAAATGACATCCACTTTCTACCTTAGAAACAAAGGCTGCATAACTGAATGGGATTCAGTGCACCCCTACCCCCTTCTCAGTGGTGAATTCAATGGGAATTATCAGAGGGCTGGTCTGTATAACTAGAAAAGCCAAAATTGTTGGGTGTTTACTATGTGTTAGGTATTTTGCCTTCTTTTAGGTGAACCTCATAACATGCTATATCATAAATATTATCCTCCTCATTTTGGTGTTGAAAAACTGAGAGTCAGAAAGGTTAACTAACATGCTCAATATCTCCCAGATAATAAGTGACCAAGCCAGGATTTAGTCCCAGGTCTGTATGACTCTAAATCTTGAATTATTTCCATGACAAATAATGTTAAACTAAAGCCAGCATTTTTCTCTTTGAGTTGTGGTTAAACTTTCATTATCTGTGGCCTTTAAGCATTATTTGTTGGTTTTCACGTACCCATAACTATCAGGATACATGAACCAATGGGAAGTCACGTCCTCATGAAGAGCCAGTAGCCTAAATGTGAAATTTCTCATGCATACCAGAAGCACAAGGGGCAAAACACACACACACACACACACACACACACACACACACACACACACACACGTCAAAGGCTTCTCCCTCTTTATGAAAAGTAAAATGCCATTTTCTTTTTCTACAAAGGGAACAAGATAATTCATTCACGGATCTCTTGATTAGCTCAATTGTTCTGAGATGATAATAGTTACCATGGATTAGGTACTTACTACATGCCAGGAATCAAGGGAAGCACTTTGCAAGAAGGATAACATAATATTTATAACCCAATGATGTAGGCACTACTATTAGTCCCATTGGACAAATGTGAAAACTGAGGTTTAGAGATTATGTATCCTGCCAAGGTCACTCGGTTCAGTTGGGATTCAAACCTAGGCCTCTCTGGCTCTGCCTCCATGTTCTTACCTGCTATGTTATCTTGTTTTCTACAAACCCTTCCTAGCTACCATCTATGTGCTGGATAAATAAGGGAATCTTTTTACCGTAGAGTGAAAATGAGAAGTTCTGAGGAAGTGACATAGTGTTCTAGGAAGTGCCCTCCTTTAAGAACAAAGTAGGCTGGTTTCTCACTGCCAATCAAAGTGTGACATTGGCCCTTCTGGGGCTCACCTTTCTAGTCTGCAAATTGATGGTAGCAAAGGACACAATGTGTAAGGACCCTTCCTGCCCTAACGTTCTGTCATTCTATTAACCACATTTTCCCCTCTCCCATCATTTCTCCTGGGCTTTGATTTTCACTTTTTCATGGCCAGTAGAAGTCACACATACCCAAGGCGAGGCTGCCCTCCTCTAGTGAACTGCAATCATTTGAACATCCTGCCTCAATTGAATCATCCTGACAGCTATCCCTATGGCTGGCCAGTCAACTCCCAAGCACTTCCTGGAAATGCAGATGCTGTATCCAGGGCAGAAAGTACTTCCCCTGTCATCTCACTCCCTCTCTGGGCTCCAGCCCCAAGGCCTTTTAGGTCTTCAGACTGGCTCCGTGCCACCCTTGCACCAGTGCACATGCTGTTCCTCTGCCTGGAACACATTTTCTTCCCTGCCTCCTGTGGTTAGGGGCCAGGCAGGTTTCCCTAAACAGGGCTAAAGGCAGGCTACGATCCTCATTCTAGATTGGCCCTCTCCTATACAGTACTTCTCTGAATTGGTCCCTATTTATTCAGTTGGATCAGTGTCTTAGTCTTCCACTATACTCACCCTTGTGTCCCTGCACCCAGCCCAGGGCCTGGCTCACAGGAACCTCTCAAAACCTGTTGGTAGAAGAATTTGCACATTAACCTGCCACCCACATCTGTGTTCTCTTATTGATGAGGTACAAGAAAGGAAGATGGTAGGCCAATTTACAGTGGGGTTATGAGGCTAGGTCTCCTCTCAGCCCACTAATGTCTCAGAACCACGTTCTTTGCTGAGTTCATATGTTTTTTTTTTTTACCCCATCTCCAAACAGCAAGTAATCTTGCAGATCAATGCCTGAGACCAAAGAGACTTATGAATGTTAAGAAGATTATGCACATAAATGTACCACTATGACAGCCCCGCTAAGAAGAATAGTGATATCGCACTGCGTGCTAGTTTATCAACCTTTGCTACTTAAAAAATTCACAGCCAATTTAATTAAAAATATAACAGCTCTGAAAGCTGCTAAAATGACTATGACAACAATCTATCATTTTGTAATAGTGCTGAAGATCCATTAGGGACTTTGCACTGGATGCCAACTTTTTAAAGCCCAGATAGTAGGGGCATTTCATTCTGCACAATTAATGTCACTGCATTTAAAATATTGACTATCTATGAAGAAGAAAATACCAAACATCTTTATAACCCACATTTTTTATGGTCAAAACTTGCTTAGAAAGGTGCTTTGAATTTATTTGTTATAAGCTGCACATTTCACGTTCAGAAAATTAAAATGGTTTCTACTGACTAACTCATTTAATCATTTAGTTGATTTAATGAAAAACACTATGCATTTTTCTCTTCTCCGTTGCTAAGATTAATACTTTCTGTTCATTAGCAATCAAATATTGCAGGAAGGTTTACATCTTATTCTCACTTAACTCATTGCCTTTTATTTTTAAAAAATTCTAATAGAATTGAAATGGTATCTTTTAAATCAGGAATTTTCCTCTTGGTAACTCGTTTTGTCTTGTGGAAAACACATGGCTAGCCTGTGACATTGAGGCATTTATGTCTGAATTGTTTTTCTAGTCTTTTTAGGGGATGCATTATAGGGAGGAAAGGGAGTGGACACTTTAGAAAAATTATGAATCTAGTTTTCAGGGCCCCTAACTCATTAATACATCAGTGACATTCTAGCATCCTTTGAAATTCTGTTAAGAAGGGCCCTTTGATTTATTAGTGGGATTTTATGAGCTACCTGGGAAAGTGAACCCATTAAAAATGTTAACTGTAAGCATCTGGCTTCCATTGAATAAAGAATCGAAGCCACCACATAAAAGTGACTCTGCACAAACATGGCACTCCTCTCCCATCACTCCCAAAGCTTCCCATTGTAAATGCCACTTCATCACAGCAGTGCCATTTGCAGTTGTAGTCTCATCTCTGTTATCCACTGCTATTTTCAGGAGTGTATAAATGAGCAGCGAAATTCCTCTCCCCTGGAAATGCCTGTAAGAGCAGATTCTAAAATGGGAACTTTTTGTGACAAGATTGGGTACAAAATAGTATAATTACTGTAAATTGTTCAATAATAGGGCCAGTAGTTTAAAAGCAGCATTTCCAGATTTCCTTTGCTTCCATACCAAAAAGCATTTTCTTGAACCCCAATTGCTTCATAGGAGGAAATAATAAAAGGCAGGTGATAGCATTTTGTACTTAGCATAGATACAATGGTTTAAGGACACGGTGCACTGAGTCAAGACCACTAAGAGGTAGAGGGCAAATTAACCATTTGGACAGTAGGAAAAGGAGGCATTTTAAGGTGGCATGCAATGAGCCAGCCAGCTAATTATAGTAAGAGCAGCTTCCCTAACTTTTACTTTCTATTTCAAGGTGTTCATTGCTTCTCTCTCTCTCTCTTTCTCTCTCTCTCTCTCTCTCTCTGTGTGTGTGTGTGTATAAATCATCTGTCTTCATCATTGCATTATTGATATTGATTGATTGTAGGAGGAGAAAACAAGAATTTTTCCATTTTATAGTTAGGAAAACTGAAACACAGGCATCAGTGTGCTGTAACCCTACTATAATGCTCTTCTCTTTTTACGCACTTAGGAAAAGGATAATTTTTTTTTAACATTTGTGCAATTATTTAATATGTGTCTCCCCAACACTGTAATATCTATGAGAGCCAAATCACTACCTGTCTTGTTCATCATCACAGTCCCAGCACTAACATAGTCCCTGCTATATGGTTGGTAGGTGCTAAGTAAACTTTTTTTTAATGAATGAATGAATATTATTTTCTGAGGTCATTCCTATTGGAGCATTAGTAAAGCAGGACAAAACTCCAGGTCACATTCCTGTACTATTGTTGAACTTCTATTCACCCTTCAGGACTCTGGTGAAATGTCAGCATCTTTGGGAAGCCTTTCTGAGTTCTCCCTGACTTTGCCTGGGCTCCATTAATGCTTCGTACTTAGGCCTGTTGTGTGTTGTTTCTTTTGCTTCCTTCTCTTCACGGAACTACTCTTTCATGTGGGTAATTATCCTGTTCCTCAGGCTTTGGATGGGGTTGACTCCATTTCTAACTGGCCTTGGGATGGGTTCATAATCCAGATCTGGCCTCTCAGGGAACCCTATCCTTCTGGCCATGGTTATTGGCTCAGCAATGATCCTGTAGCTTAACTTGGGCCAGCATGGTCTGTGCAAAGTTTTTATAGGCATTACTGAAGCAGCGGGGGTGGGGTGGGGGAAACCCACAATCTTTCTACCATAAGCTA
This sequence comes from Homo sapiens, assembly GCF_000001405.40. Classification (NCBI taxonomy): domain Eukaryota; kingdom Metazoa; phylum Chordata; class Mammalia; order Primates; family Hominidae; genus Homo; species Homo sapiens. Next base: position 59,791,366 of record NC_000003.12, read on the forward strand.
GTAGGATGTGAGCCTCCGGCTGCTGGTGTTCGCATTACCTTCCCTGAGGAGAGGTTGCCTGAGAGAAGCAGAGAGACACAAAGCCCCTAATGACATTGCTTGTGCCCCTGGATCCAGCCGCGCCTGAATCAACAATACTATTAGACTTTTCAGTTACATGAGCTAATAAACTCGTTCTCATTCTCTTAAGGCTCTTAAGGCAGGTTGAGTTGGGTTTCTATAACTTGCAAAGGGTCTCTAATTTCTCTATGTTGCAGTCTATTGAGCATGTACTCCATGAAATGTGGGTGATTCATTTCTGTATTCCCAATGCTGAGTATAGGCCTTGTCCTTAGTAAAGGCTTGTTGAATTAAAAAAACGGTGCAATTCTAGGGCAAGGACATTTCCACAAGGCCAGGTATTTTGGGGATGACCCTGTCAATAAGGGCTATGTATCTTTTGGATCAAACTCTCATAGAAGAAGGAAGACCTCATAAAGACACCCAGAAAGTAGGGGCGCCAAGGTCAACCAGAAGAGAGAAAATGGCCTTCAGCCAGTCAAGGAGTAGCTTACGGCAGCTAAGAATAAGACAGTGGGAGCTGTGCAGCCCCAGAATGGATTTCCCATGCCTGGTTTTAATCATGGCTATGGTAGTCTATGTCTTGGTTTTAATCATGGCTATGGTAGTCTATGTCTTGGTTTTAATCATGGCTATGGTAGTCTATGTCTTGGTTTTAATCATGGCTATGGTATTCTGTGTCAAATGGAATGACTAATCCTAGGTGCTTTGGAAATGTTAAATTGTTCATAAGTCCCTTAGAGCTTTGTTTCTCCTTTGAACCCCATGGAGGGTTTTGGGCCTCAGAACAGGTATATTAAACCGTCTCCATTTCAACTGGTAATTGAGGGCCTCTCAAAGTCTACCTAGAAGAGAATGTCTTCTACTATAGAAAGAAACAGATGATGCAAAATTTTGATTTTTTAACCTAAAGTTTGGTCCTGTCTGGCAAAACAATTGAAGAAACATGACTTTCCAATCTATTTGGAAGGTGAGGGTTCCAAGTACACCCTCACTGTGATCTGAAAATTGTGAAAATCTGTACTAATGAGAAGCTTAGGAATCACCTAGACCTGGGTTTAAATCCTAGATTTGCCACATTTCTGGGGTGGTGGGGTGGACTGACAGGCCCTGAACAGACAACGTCTATGAGCCCTAGTGTTTTCATGTGTAAAACAGGACTATACTGCCTCACAAAGATTTGATGACAATTAAAGGAAATTACAGATGTTAAATGCTTAACAAGAATCTAGTACATAGTAAGAGCTCAATGTATATTAACTGTCATTGTGGTGACAACAATCATGATAATTTCAAGCTTTTATATCCAATTTTGTGTTGGATGCTTCATTAGGTAGGAATGAACATCTCAAACATATTTGTCCATCTATCATTATTTCTATATATGTTGTTCACCCAACCATCATATCAAATTCCTGTTCCTTTAGTTTGGAGGTCCTTATTTTTTGGGGGGGGGGGTCATGAACCTCCTTGAAAATCTGATGAAGTATGGGTGATGTGCTCCTCTCTGAAGCTCCAATAGCACCTCACAGGTTCCACCTTACCCCACTGTACCTCCATCCGCCTGCACTGTGACTGCTTGTTTATTCCTTTTTCCAGGCTCTGGGAGGTCAGGGAGTGTATCTGCCCAGATCATCATTTTCTTTACCTTGCTTAGCTCTGTGCCTGGCAGAGAATAGGTGTTTGATATTCACTGAATGCATAAATGAAAATTGCAAAGCCTTCCCCCTGACCCCTTAAAAATTCACCTACACTCAAGTTTTTGCATCTAATTTCAGACCCTGTCTGAGGACTCCAGGTAAGAAGCTACTATTAATGACTACCTATTGTAGGTCATTAAAAATGCAGTAGGGAAATTTTCAGGCCAAATAATGAAGCAGCCTGTTTTTCAGGCCAACTAATGAAACAGCCTTACCACAGGCCAGAAAGAAAGTGTAGATCGTCTTCTCAAGAGAGGAAGGACAAAGTCAGAATTGACACTGTGTTCGTGATGAAGGCAACCTTTGTCCAGGTCCCTTGTTTTACCAAAGACGACAAGAGGAGCCAGCCTTGCCCAAGGTCACATGGCCACTGGTAAAGAGACTTGAGCCTCCTGGCTTCCAGACCAGTGCTCATCAAACTCAAACCTTCCCCCTCTTCCCCTCTCGCACTGCCTCCCCAGAAGCTCAGTCCTTGCGAGAATTCAATGAAAATTTCCTTCCAAGCATGGTCCGAAGACAATGTAAGGAAATGCAGGATTTACATGACTTTGGTCAAGTGAGGGGACAGGACTTTAAACCAAAGAGTTGATTTAAATCTTTTAAAACCTACAGAGTGAAGGGCTTGCCTCATTGCCTCATTTGAAAGATGAAATCATTCTGTCTTTATTTTTCATTGATGGGAGTTTGGCTTTGGAGGGAAAAAGATCTGGCACTTGAGAGCTGGCCCAGTGAGGATAGGGGTTGTCATTTTCTCCTCACTGAGGCTTAGCAATGCCTTTAGCTAAGGCCCGGCCCATGTATCCCCAAAAGTGACAAAGGTACAGTATTTCACACAGGAACACTTGGGGAGCATTTTTCCATGGGACACGGCGTGAGAATCCATTAATCTCACTGCCACATACTCAGGCTATTTCTCACAAGCTTAGCCAGACATTTGGGTTTTTTTAAACCATGAAAAAAAGAGCCTTATCCTCCTCATCATACCAGATTGCTCCAGCGGATAAACATCAGACATGGTTTTTAGAGAAATATCACACGATCTGAGAACATCTGCAATTCTCTAGAACGTACCGTTGTCAGAACTTGACTTAAACGAAACAACAGACATCAGACTTTCTTTCAGACGTTTTGCACTGAAGCTTTCCATTATAGCACGAATGCCTCCTTCTGAAATGGCACCAATTGAAAACGCACCAGGACACGAACATTACCACAACTCAAATTCAGATACTCGCATGTTATTAACAATGGTGCTAATTCCTGTTTCAGAGATGAAACTTACAGAGGAGATACCAGTGGGTTTTCCTCCATTGCTACTTTTCATTTGCTATGGAGGCCACAAATTCAAGAGATCACTCATTCTTAAATTAACAAAAGTAGCCACCACCTGGCAAAACATCAGGCCCTGTGCAGGCGCTTTATATGCACCTTTATATGTATCGCCTCTTTTAAGCCCCTCAGTGGTCCTCGGAGACAGCTGCTGTTATCTTCCATGTCATACATCAGGGCACTGAGGCCCAGAGCCCAAGTGATATTGTAACAGCACTTCCTGTGTGCTAAGCACTCTCCATGCATTTTATTTATAGTATCTCATTAAATCTCACCAAATCCTTTGAGGTCAGAGCCATCATAAGCTCCAATCTACAGCTGAAGAAACTGAGACAGCTCTCAAAGCTAGGCCTAGTTTCCTCCAAAGTTCAGTCACATTTGTTCCATTTGACAGTATGAGGGAAGGCCTTTTTTTGGTTAAGCGTATAGACTCTGCAGTTAAACCTCCTGGACCCTACCCTTGTTAGCAGTATGATCTTAGATAAGCACGAGTTAACTTTACCATGGCTCAGTTTCCTCACCTGTAAAGTGGCATAATAATGGAACTTACTTACTTACCTCAAAGGATGAAGAGAATGCAATGCAAAGCATGTAGCATGGGGTCTAGCATACAGTAAGTTCTCAGGCAGTCATTAGCAGTATTAAAAATAATACTGGCCAGTGGCTCATGCCTGTAATCCCAGCACCGTGGGAGGCTGAGGCATGCGGATTACTTGAGGTCAGGAGTTCGAGACCAGCCTGGCCAACATGGTGAAACCCCGTCTCTATTAAAAATATAAAAATTAGCTGGCCATTGGTGGGTGCCTGTAGTCCCAGCTACTAGGGAGGCTGAGGCAGGAGAACTGCTTGAACCCTGGAGGCAGAGGCTGCAGTGAGCCGAGATTGTGCCATTGCACTCCAGCCTGGGTGACAGAGCAAGACCCTGTCTCGAAAAAAAAAAAATACCATAACATTTTTTCTTCTTATTTTTATATAAAATAAGGCTGTATTCATAAAGGATACAGGGATTAAAGCAAACCAAAAGAGAAGAGTGAGGGTAAGTTTAATTGTGTGATAAGGATTTAGGTAAGACAGCCTAGGCAACATGGCAAAACCTCATCTCTACCAAAAAATACAAAAATGAGCTGGGCACGGTGGTGGGTGCCTATAGTCCCAGCTACTCAGGAGACTGAGGTGAGAGGATCATCACTTGAGCCCAGGAGTTTGAGGCTGCGGTGAGCTATGATTGCACCACTGTACTCCAGCCTGGGCAACAGAGCAAAACCCGGTCTCAAAAAACAAAAAATACAATTAATAAATAAAAAGTAAAAAATTCAGGATTAAGGTAAGAGGTGCCCCGCTGTGCAGCACAGAGCTCCATCGGATTGGAAAAAGTGGCTGCCAGGGGATGCCTCCCCTTATTAGTTCAGACAGGCTTATGTACCGGTCTCCTTGCGGGAAGTCCTGTGCTGCTCAGCGTTGATGGAACACACAATGAACTTTTCCTTGCTTTTGTCTCTACCAGAACTCGACTGAGTGCGCCCTGCTGTGTGGTTTTATCCCTGGTCTTGGGATAGGTTTCCATGGCTATAGGAAAGAGGTGGAGACAGGGAATGCCACCTTCTGAGTTCATCAGAATAGAAGTGTGCACCTGCAGCAAGACATGATTCTCCCTAATTTGCTTTCAAGACAAAACTGTGTCTACTGATTGGGTAGATATTGTTGAGGCAAGATGCGGTATGTCTAGCCTGTGTCCAACACATATGGCGTTAGGTCATTCCTTTCATCTCCTCTAATGGTGCCCAGTACAATGAGAATGAAATGCAAATCCCTTACCCTGGCTCTGGGCCACCCAGACCCATTTGCGGGTCTCTAGCAACACCCCCAGACCCTCTATCTCTCCCTTGGTCACAAGGGCTTCCTTTCCTCTTTAAGGTCCTTACACCAGCTCCTCCTTTGCCTGTGACACTCTGTTTCCAGGTTTTTCATGTACGTTCTTCTTCTGTTGGGTCTCTCCTCGAATGTCAGTCTTCAAAGAGGCCTTCCTTGTGACTCCATAAACCACTGCAGCTCTCTGATTCACTTCCTTACTCTGTCTTGTTTTTCTGTCTGCTAAAATAGAACTGATAATCCTCGTCCTCCTTCTCTCACAGCATTTCTTTGATGAGCAAATGAGATTCATGTGTATGTGTCTATGAAGATGCTTTTATAACTGTGAGTAATCACCAGGGATGCAAAGGAGGGTTCAATTTCTATGTCAGTTCACACTGGGTGGGTTTTTCTGGGTTTTTCTGAAGCACAGCCCTGAGATGAATTCCAAGACTGCAGTATTCTCAGTGACAAAGGGTGCAGCAATCCCTTAATGATGTCTGACTTGGGAGAGGGAATTAGAGGCGTGGGTGTCACATATTTGCTATCTGTGCCAAAAATAAAGTCATATATTAATAGAAGCCCAAAATCAATAATTTACAAATAGCTTCCTCAAACTTTCAATGGTACTTCTGGAAAAGTGAGATTTGAAATTTTACTCTCCTTCCTTTGCACTCTAAAAATTTATTCCCCTGATATTACTTTTATATTAAAAACTAATTAGAAAACTTCATAGGTTTCATCATATATTTAACATCATTGCTAAAGTTCTAACACTATTTTTGGAAATCATCAAAAGAGAAAAGTGTAAGACAGACAAGGAAAACAGAGAAGTTTTCCATGTTTAATATTATAAGTCACCACAAAGTATTATTTTGATATTACAATTTTTTTTTTTTTTTGAGACAGAGTCTTGCTCTGTAGCCCAAGCTGGAGTGCAGTGGCACAATCTCTACTCACTGTAACCTCCGCCTCCTGGGTTCAAGCAATTCTCATGCCTCAGCTTCCCAAATAGCTCAGATTACGAGTGCCCACCACCATGCCTGGCTAATTTTTGTATTTTTAGTAGAGATGGGGTTTTACTATGTTGGCCAGGCTGGTCTCAAACTCCTGACTTCATGTGATCCGACCACCTTGGCCTCCCAAAATGTTGGGATTACAGGTTTGAGCCACTGTGCCTGGTCTTAACAAATTTTAAAAATAGTGATAGGCAAATACATCTAATGAAACTAGAGTATTATTTGTCATTTCTTTGGATGAACCAATGCATGTAAGGAGGATGTAGTTCTGGGTTTCTCCTGTTTCATCACACAGTAACCCACCGTGGCTCTCTCCTCCATGCCGATATTATATAATTGTCAAGGCATTGAGACAGATTTTAATTCATTTAATAATTAGGTCAATAAAAACCATTATTGCTGACAGTGCCATTAAAAGTCCATAATGTCACCTTCATGGGGGAAAAACTAATATAGTTCCGTTGGATTTTTTCCGTGAAATTAATATGATAGCATTTCAGTGGGTGTCTTAAATAGCTTAAATAGACATTTTTATTAACAGAACTAATCATAGAATTAAAACAAATGAAAATCGTTACATTTGCTGTGATGAGGTATCCATGTTCACAGGATTTTATCAGCCTCATTCCTGTGAAGAACCTGAACATTTACTACCACAAGAACAGTATATTCAACTTGCCTGGAGCACTGCTTAGGGTCCCAAAGAGGCTGCCCATTTGTGTTTTGGTGATTTCCTCTTCAACACCATGGCTCCATTTCTCAGAGCCACCCTACTGGGAAACATGCCAGAACCATAACCTCCTAAACCAAAAACCTTCTTCATGTCCCCTTTTTGGCTGGTAGTATTTCATCTAGAATATCTAAGACAGTATTTCAGCTCAGAAAAATACTAAAGCAGAAGGGGTTGCACCTACGCCGCCCAGCAATGTTTTATCACCTCTCCTTCCTCAGCTTAATCACTAACGGTAGATAGATCTTAACATGAACTAAGGTAAACTCTAGTATAGTGCTATACGATTTAGGTAAATTCTCACTAGAAGAGCAAGATAGCAGGAGGAAAGAAGATTATACCAAGAGTTTCCTCTCAGACACATGAATGCTATGGTTCTGTGAGTTATTCAAATGTGCAAGTCACTGTGTATGGCTGCATCATTGCTGCTTGGGTACCTACAACTCTTCATAATCAGATATACCAGGATTCACAAGAATTCAGGGGTGGTCAATATTGATCAAAGGCCAAGGCCACAGATGTAGCTAGCACATTATACACTGACAGAACGCTTGCTAATGTACACAAAGAAGTAGCGGCTGGAGCCTGTGAGGCTGTGCAAACAGTATAGGCTTTGGGTTTGGGAAGACCCGCATTAGATCTTAGTAACTTGGTTCCCAACAGGATGACCATGGGCAGGTTAGCTCCCTTCAGTTTTCAGTTTCAGCATCTGGAAAATGGATTGATGAAGTCCACAGTTGTTTGACTCTGTGGTTTTTAGGATGGTTCGAAAGAGATTTCAGATGAAACATATCTAACAAACACTGTGGCTGGCAGAGAGTAAGGGCTATTCTTCAGAGGAAAGAGTCATCTCAGTTGGCATTGGACGTATTTAAAATATGATTGGGAGGGTAGCCTCTGCTAACCTCCAGCCACGTTGGTGAACTCTCAGAAAGCCTTGTGCATGCCCAGACATGCTGAATCTAAACAAACCAAAGGGAAGCTGCACTTCTCCACTGATTACTCCCTTTCCTGCCCTTTGGAAGATTCTAGAAACACTAGGAAATCTACTTAAATATTTTTTAACTCAGTTTTAAACAACATCTCTCAGAAAATACCATTCTTAGTAGAATAAACCTTCTTTGAAGGCGTACATAGACTTACATATGTGATATTTGCAACCAATCAGCATTTTGGGTGACTGGGCAGGTCTTGGGAAGTGGGAGGCACAGTAAAAATGAAAGACTTTGTTTGACCTCCCTGAGTTCTAAGCAAGATGTGGTGCCTGAGAAAGCTTATGCAGGTCCTACTGGGCAAGACTATAAAGCCAAGCGCAACAGAGAAAAAAATACCTTAGGGCACGGACGTTTGGTTTCTCAAGGCCTGTGATGGGGAAGGCCCTGAAACTCCCCTAACAGGGATGGAAGAAATCTGTGGATATTTTGTTCATGAGAAGTAGAGGAAAAGGGGAGGGGAGAAAGTGGAAACAGCAACGTGTCTGGAAACCAGCTGGCACCTGTGCCTTGAAGTAAATAAATTGGGTAAAGAAATATGATAGCTAGATAGTCCTAGAAATGAACATCCTGAAATCATCCCATAAACTTTATTTTGGAGGGGGATAGGGAAGAGAAGAGACCCTTTCTTCCATTTATTTCATTTAGTTGGTGATATTATTGGGCATTAACTTGGGATTCACTATTCCTGTGGCAAGTACTTACCTTTGCTGAAATTACCAAATATTCTCTGAAACAGACTCTTATCAGAAAATTGATCTATAATACATAACGGTGTCTTGCAAGAAAAAAGTCCCTTGTGGGGGCGATTTTTTAAAATGGTTCACTGCAGGCCTTTCACAATCACATGGAAATTTGGAGATTGCTCAGATATTGTGGGAAGAGGAGAAAGGGAACAAAGAGAGACATAATACTTGAGACTTTACAGGCTCCTACCATTTTCTAGTCTATTCGACAAGAGCAGCAGAGGTTCATATCAAGGAAGTGAAAACCATTCAGGAATACAAAAATTGTTTACAAAAAACAGCCTGTGCTTTGCATTCTTTTCTGTTACTTCGACAATTGCCAAGAAGTGTAACTGTGCTTGCTCGGTATTATTTAAATTAAATTATCAAATGCAAATGCTAAATATGAACCTCTCAGCAAAGCACTGGGTTATAATGCCATGTCCTCTATTCAGACTAAAAGCTGATTACTGGTTCTGGAGTTACAAACATGTCAGACAATAATTTAATTGCTTTGCAGGTAGAGGAATATGCAGCGTTCTTGTTCTCATTCTGGAACTCAACACGACTCTTTAATACAACATAATGATCATAAACACACACAAAGTCTTCGCCTCACACCTGCTTTATGGTAAAAAGAAGCTATTGCAAATTTCTGCAAAGCTCAAAGAATGAGGCAGTGCCAGATTTTTTAATCACTAAGCAAAACAGGTTTCTCACCAAGTGGCCCGGGCTTTTACTCCTGGTTCAGAGAGTTACAAGACACATTTTCAAAATGAGTTTAAAGCTATAATGAATTTCAGGTGCAAAGGACCACCGTCTAACAGCTAATTTGCTTCCTGTCTTCAACTGAGCTGTTAACCATAGGCAGCCAGCATGTGCACCCCTTTCTTGGGCCACTGGTGAAGACAGATGTCACAATCAATACTCATTAACTCTGGGATCAGTGTGTATCTTCCTCAGGAAGAGAAAGGGGGTCTTAAATGTAACTAGGAGGACTTTGTAAGCATTTTCTGAGCATTGCAGTGGCTGAGTGTTAAACCACAACAGGACAGGAGTGCAGGAGGGGGAGAGAAGAAAGGGGAGGGTGAGAGAGGGAAGGGAAGAAGAAAAGAGGCCACATTTCGTGATCTCCTCTGTCTCTGGAGCTCTTTTTTATCAGCTCGTGAAATTCCCAAGGATCCTGATCATCTCCCCCTTCCCAGCTCATCGCAAAGAGTTGTTGTACATTTCTTTGCAATTGGGTAGGGAAAGATCTTGAAAGGTGGATCCAACTTGAACATTAGACTTTTGTGAAACATGATACAGAAATTGTAGTGTTGCAGAGCTGTACCTGCTCATTTGCTGACTATGATGACCCAACATTTATTGAGCACTGTATGCCAGGCCTGTGCTACCTCAATGCTTCACCTGGAGTACCTTATTTAATCCTTATGGCAATCCCATAACCCTATAGGAAGCAGTCATCCTTTTATATATGATGCACATAAAACTGTCTGAAATGATTTGCACCTAATGTAATGATGGTAGGCTTAAATGCTTTCATTTTTGTACTTTGCTGTGTTTTAACAAGTTTTTGTGATGGATTTGTTCTTGTTTTTGCAAAATCAAGAATAACTTAAAAATAAAAGACTGGATGCCAATACAAATCTCCCAAGATGTTAACCTTGGTTAATTCTGGGTGATGAGAACGTAGATGATTGTTATTTCCTTCTTTGTACATTTCTGAATGTTTAGTTTCCCTATATAAGTGAAAATATAGACTTTAAAAAAGAAAAACAAAAGAAGAAGCCCTTCACTAGTGCCACAGTGTGAGGAGAATGAAGCCTAAGCCTAAATTTTATTAAACAGCAGGGTGACCCAATGCTCTGTATCAATGCTAGATACACCACCAAGCATTCGCTACGCATAATCCCACCAGCTCCTTCCAACAACTCTGGGAGGTAGGTGTCACCACCCTCACTGTACAGACAAGCAGAGTGAGGTTTCGAGTGGGTAAAGGACCAGCACTTGAGGTCACTCGGGTATCTGGCCTCCACTTACCCTTCTGGCCTGAGGCTCCATGGCATGCCCTCTGACCTTTGCTCATACCCTGGTCTCCAGCCGCCTGAGTCCTTGTCTTTTTCTGACCACAACCTCAAAGTCCCTAGGTCCATACCTAATGTTCACACTCTCTCATTTACTTGGAAAGCCATTTTCCAGACTACACCCATTCTTCCAAACGTGTATCAAATACTCCCCCTTCCACAAAGATTCTCTGAGTCACCTCAGCCTTAGTGTATTCACCTTGGTGTAGTATATGCCACAGGCTGCCACATGGCAGGTGCCAGGCCAGCTCAGGCACACTGAATGCTCTGTATGGCTTATGCAGTGTTTAAAAGATTTAAAAAATAATTAGACTTGTATTAAAAAAAAAAAATGTGTACCTAGTGGCTCAGGTTCCCCTACCCTGCTTGGCAATAATTAACTGTAGCCAAAGCGTCTGCCCTATTCAGACAGAAGCCTGTGTGTGCTCTAGTTCCCAACAGTTTCCTTTTAATACTCCTTCTTATCCTTGGCCCATTTCTCTTAATTCATTGTTGTCAGGCCTCTGAGCCCAAGCTAATCCATCATATCCCCTGTGACCTGCACGTATACATCCAGATGGCCTGAAGTAACTGAAGAATCACAAAAGAAGTGAAAATGGCCTGTTCCTGCCTTAACTGATGACATTACCTTGTGAAATTCCTTCTCCTGACTCAGAAGCTCCCCCACTGAGCACCTTGTGACCCCCGCCCCTGCCCACCAGAGAACAACCCCCTTTGACTGTGATTTTCCATTACCCACCCAAATCCTGTAAAACGGCCCCACCCCATCTGCCTTCCTTGACTCTCTTTTTGGACTCAGCCCGCCTGCACCCAGGTGATTAAAAAGCTTTATTGCTCACATAAAGCCTATTGGTTTGGTGGTCTCTTCACATGGACACGCGTGACAATTGTTTTATGTGCCCAGCACATCACAGGTGTTCATTGAGGGCCAGAAACTAGTCACTTCACTACTGCTATAATCCTAGGGAGAGAGAATGGTGGTCTGAATTACAAGCAGTGAGAATAGAGAAAAGATATTCCAAAGAATCTGTCCTCTGAAATTAGGGGCTTTATTTATTTATTGGAACACTTTCTATCTTGAACTGTAGTGATACGGGTATACATCTTACCTATTCTACTTGACTGACTGCATCCCCCTGAAGACACGTGTCAGGTGCCATGCCTGCCCTGTGATATCCCCAGCGCTGCCTAGCTGAATGGTGCATACATACCAGGCACGGGATGAATGTTGGTTGACTGATCATTCATTTTAATCCTGAAACCTGGCGTTTATGTTTCCGCTACATTTAAAAGCTGGCAAAACACATCTCCTTCCCTCCCACTCACTCAATTAAAAGCTCAGTACATTAATTATCTGAATTAAAGTCAAGAGTCTGAGATATCCCTCCCAATTTATAAAGACAGGGACGAGGTAAATTTTTTTCCCAAGTTGTAGGGACAGAAAGAAGACTAAAGAATGAGGACCTTACAGGCGAGCACGGGGCCAGCGAAGGATTCTGTTTTAAGATCATCTCCTGGTGCTCATTAGTGCTGTTGCTCTTCACCTGGGTGAGCGGGCTTGCTTCCATGGAGAAGAGACCTCCGCCAGCTCCTGCTGCATTAACGGTCTCCGAATGTGATTTGGCGGCAGCACGGGTCTCATTAGAGTGGGGGATGTGCAAAGGCAGAAGGCCTCACTTTGAGAAAACACTTTGCGTATGAACAAAGGTGGAAAGATGTCAGGCTTTTAAAGGGAACCTGCATCTCGCTCCTCACTTAGCAAAGTCATCAGGAGATTCTGCTAAGTAAAGAAGTTCTGGACCTTTTCAAGCTATTAAAGGTGACCCAACAAAGCAAAATGGCTTTGTTCCCCAAATTTCTTTTTGTCAGTTGCCTTGAACAACCAAGCCTGAACGAAACAGCCTAAGGGAGATTGCCAGGTAATAATAAATCCCTATTTGCTTCAGTAAAGGACATCTCAAAGAAGGGATAAAATAAAAAATATCAGAATTAAAGAGGCACAAAAAACCCTGAACATCCGGGGCATGTAGATGCTCGGTAGCAATGAATGTATTAGGTTGGTGCAAAAGTAATAGCGATTTTCGCCATTACTTTCAATGGCAAAAACTGCAATTACTTCTGCGCCAACATAATACTTGGGGCCTGGTTCTCAGGGGTAGGGCTTCCAGCATTTTAAGTAGCAGTCTGCCATCAGGCAAGATGTGCATATTCATCATTGATGTGGCTTGATCATGACATATTCTGTTTTCTTGAGCAAGGAAAGAACTCAGCAACATCTCGCAGAGCGACCATCAGGTTATGTCCTTGTCTCTGGTTCATTTGAGGAGAGTAGGAAATTATGAAACCCACAAGAAGAGTTTATGGCTCCTCCTCACACTCCTACACTTAAATCCAGGAAGAGACTGCCAGGCGTCGGTCAAGTTTGAAGATATTTAATGGACTATGCATTATCTACACTGCCCCATTTCAAGGTCAATAGCTGTCTGTCTCTTTATCCCATAAGGCTAGGTTTTCCCTTGAAGAAGAAGGTACTGCTGTTACTGGTAGAGGGTGCCTATGTTCTTGGCATCTTGAAGAACTGGACAAAATGCGCAAACAAAGCAAGGAAAGAATGAAGCAACAAAAGCAGAGATTTATTGAAAATGAAAGTACACTCCACAGGGTGGGAGTGGGCCCGAGCATAGGGGCTCAAGGGCCCCGTTACAGAATTTTTGGGGGTCTAAATAGCCTCTAGAGGTTTCCATTGGTTACTGGGTGTATGCCCTATGTAAATGAAGAGGATGAAGTAAAGTTATGAAGTCATTTACTTGGCGTATGCCCTATGGAGAGGATAGCCCCTGTCATAGCTCAAGTGTGAATCAGCCTTATGTTCCCTGCCTGCAGACCCTATTTTCCTGTCTCACTGCCACTTGGGTCTCCTGAGAAGGCCCTTTGCTGACTCTGCCTTCTGGGAACTGGCAAGTCAGGTGATCTCTGGAGCTGCCCCACGGTAGAAAGTGCAGAGCGAACAGCCGAGGACTGTCATGCACTAAGCATTTGGGGAAACCACCCTTTCTCCCAGGTTGGTGGGCTCTCTCGAGACAGGTACCTGTACTTACTTGGTATTGGAGTGCTCTAATCTTAGAGTCTAGTGTAGGCTTCAGGGGAGAGGGAGCTAAGGCGGCCATTCTGTTTGCTTTGTTTCCAGGCCTTGGGTTTGTCTCTAGAGGGAGAAAGAGTCCTCCTCTGTCTAGCTTGAAGCAGTGGGAGGCTGTATGGGGCACGGAATAAGAAACTCAAAGTGTCCCTTTCCGGCGTGTCCTGCTCTGTGGGCACTTACTCCTTCAGAGCTTGTGAAGACAGAGATAAAGGTCAGTCAAGCCCAGGACCAGGTGTTGGGATTGTTCTTATCCCCAAGTTTTCTAATTTCACTAGGAATATTAAAGGCAATTTAATGCAATCTGCATTTTAAAGATAAAAGTGATGGAGTTCAGGACATGCTTCCCCAAAATATGGCACCTTGGCATAGTGAATATTTTCAGCTAAAGGAATGTGAGAAGGTAACAGAAGTAGGAAGGTCTTTCTGACTGTTCGCTCCCTGTTTGTCCTTGCGGCAGGTTAGAAGACCCTCATTGGAGAGGTGCCCTGAAGAAAGGAATGTTCTTATCTCTGAAGACAAAGGGTCACAGAGAAGAATCTGAACAAAACTCTGTGCTAAGTGTCCCCAGTTTATTGCCATTAGACTACATCCTTTTTGACCTAGAAGCTCCACCTTCAAAGTTTTTAGGTAGCCATGACCAGTCTAACTGTAGAAATGGAATGGAACATTGGAAAGACTGTAAACTTGGAGCTCTAAGAACTAGGTTCAGTTTCCTCCACTTATCAGCTTTGTGGCCAGAGTCAAATTTTGCCTCTCTGTGCCTCAGTTACCTTACTACAAAATTAGGACTATTCTGAGGCTTCAATGAGGGTTAACCATGTACTGAGCATGATGCTGGGTATGCTACTCTGTAGACACTACTTCTCTCCCCTCTCCTCTTTGGTGACTTTTAAAGATCATGGGGAAGCTGGGCGCGGTGGCTCATGCCTGTAATCACAGCACTTTGAGAGGCCGAGGCGGGCAGATCACGAGGTCAGGAGATCGAGACCGTCCTGGCTAACACGGTGAAACCCCGTCTCTGCTAAAAATACAAAAATTTAGCCGGGTGTGGTGGCGGGCGCCTGTAGTCCCAGCTACTCCGGAGGCTGAGGCAGGAGAATGGCGTGAACCCAGGAGGCGGAGCTTGCAGTGAGCCGAGATCACACCGCTGCACTCCAGCCTGGGAGACAGCGAGAATCTGTCTCAAAAAAAAAAAAAAGATCATGGGGAATAATCTACATGAAAATGGATGTTGTAAAGCCTAGGACATTACATGTGTTATGTGGCAAGAGGGGTAAATGGTAGAGTTAATTTTTAGGCCTCTCTTAAGCCTCACAATGGTTCTAATTTTGTAATAAGGTAACTGAGGCACAGGGAGACAAACACTTGACTATGGCCACAAAGCTGATAAATGGAAGAAACTGAACCTAGTTCTTAGAGCTCTAAATTTATACTCTTTCCAATGCTTCGTTCCACTTCTACAGTTAGACTGGTCATGGCTACCTCAAAACCTTGAATGTGGAGCTTCTAGATCCCCAGCGGCAATTCCCATCAAGGAGAATTTTGCCTGCTTGACTCTCTCCTACCATCCACAGTCATTGTTACTGCAAGTGAGTTAAAGCAGTTGAGCAAATCATATATATATATATGGGTACAGGGTTTATATATATATATACATATATATGTATACATATATATGTGTATATATATGTATATACATATGTATATATGTGTATATACATATGTATATACATATATATGTGTATCTCCCCAGTGTATGGGGTTAGAATGCAGCTGTGGAACATGGGGGTGTCCTCTTAGTGACTCAAACCAAATTATCACTGGAGAAACAATGAGAACAACAAAATCAAATGCAAACCACCAAAATACAAGTGTAGTCCTCATATCAAGAAAAAGATAAGGGAAAGATCTTCAGAAAGCCCCTCTATTAATTATTTAGTCTCAGCTCAGACAGTTCCAGAAACAGAACAGTGATAAACAGGACCATTGCCATACTTCTGGAGATGAGGAAAACACCAGAATAGAAATCTTCAGTGGGCTAGTATGGGACTCTGGCTGTGATCCCTCTCTTATCCAAAATTCTGCTAAGGGACTTGCCTGAGAACACACACAGATTTCTCTATGAGAGCAAAATAAGAGATATATACATAGGTTAGATAATGCAATGAAGATCAAAAATTACATTTTGGAATGTTGTATTCCATCTTATGGGGCAGCATTTAATCAGGATCCTAGTGCAATCTTCCATCTGGAGCCCCAAATCCAATGTCACACATTGCGGGTTGGGGTGCGGAAGATCTAGCTTAACCCTAGTGAGGAAGATGTCCTGCCTGGTTAACTTCCAGCTCAGTGGGTATTAGTAGCATAGCAGGGATGCCAAACAGGAACACACTATGGGGTGTCATCAGCAAGAATAAGGTCCAGAGCTATGTGGTGGGTTAGAAGTCTGAAAGTCAGAAAAGGCTTTGGAAGCCCTCTTGTCTTCCATTTTACAGGTGAAGAAACTGAGGCTGAATGATTTGTTTACCATTCAGGTTACACAGAGAGTTAAAGTCAGGACCCAGACCTTCCAAGTCCCAGGCCAAAGCAGGTGATTATTCTGTAGCATGTGCTGTCCATATTCCTCGGCAGCAGTATATCCCAGCAGCAGCATAATTTCAGAAAAGGAATGAGAAAAGGGGATATATCCATTGGAGGGTACCCAGGATCAGGGGTTTCAAAGATGCACAATTCTGGGACACAGGGTGAGTAGTCATGAGAAGTGGAGATATGGGGTGGGGGTGCGTGATGGTTTCCGCAAACACAGGAGAAAGAAACATTAACAACGTGGGCCGTGGAAAAGGAATTAAACTTGTTTGGTTTCATGGAGCAGGTAGATAACTAGTGGGTGGATCGGAAGAAAGCAATTTATATGTCTGTGGTGAAACATACACACATAACGTAAAATCCACCATTTAGCCATTTTAAAGTATATCGTTCAGTGGCATTTAGTGCATTCAACAGTGTTGTGCAAACATCACCGCTACCTAGTTTCAGAACATTTTCATTATCCCGAAGGGAAACCCTGCACCCATTAAGTGGTAACTCCCCTTTCCCCTACCCCCCCAGTCCCTGGCAACCACTTATCTGCTTTCTGTCTCTATCAATTTGCCTATTATGGATATTTCATAGAAATGGAATCATACAATATGTGGCCTTTAGTGTCTGGGGAAGCAGATGCTTTTTTAACATAATGAAAATTGCAGGATGAAGAGTGTGGTTTGAAAGGGGGCTTGGTAATGACTTAGGATGCTTGAATTCAGGCCAAGGCTAGAAGTCCACATGGTAGGGATATTGCGGAGGGGCCTCTGAACAAGAAGTGGGCTTGAAAGGCTGGCTCTTCAGGGCTTTTCTGACCTGGAGATGGAGGCCCTCTCTGACAAGCCCCTGGGACTATCTCCCTTTTTCCCCACAACCCCACCTCTGCCAGTGATGACCAGTCTCTACCCTACGGTAAAACTCAGGTCCAACCACGTCCACTCCTTTTGCTAATTTCCCCTCTTTTCATTCTCCTCCCACCTCCGGGTCTGTTGACACTTGCTTGCCAATTTGCCTGACACACTGCAGACAATCTTCTCACTCAAGCATGTTTGACCTGAACATACAGCTTTCTGCTGAGCTGATCTGGAGTTTCAGTTGGCCGTTTGGGCAGCCAGACATGAATTAAGAACAGGGATAAACAAGGATGGCTTGAGCTTTAACTACACCGATTTGGCCCAATAGGCTCGGGGATAATCTATAAGACCTAACAGCTGAGGGCAATAAAATTAGCTACAAAGGGACTGCGGGGTAGAAACAATGTCTTCTGATACTTCACACAACACACACTCACACACAAAAGACACCAAAAACTCTCCGACAGAAGCCTTACAACAGCTTAGAGGAGAGGCATTGTGCTTGAAAAACTATATTTTAAAAAGCAGAGAGGAAACCCACGGTGACTGAAGTATCATTTTCCCGGTGGTGATCATGGATTTCATCCCAAGACCTGGAAATCATGTTAGAACTACAGTATCAGCCCAGCTTTGTGTCTAGGGCTTAAACTTGAAATGTTGTTTACATAAATAGTTAAGGAACACATACTGGGTTGAAGAGTGTGCTCTCCAAAAATGCATGTCCACCTAGAGCCTCAGAATGTGACCTTATTTGGAAAGAGGTCTTGGGAGATGTTATTAGTCAAGATGAGGTCATACTGGATTAGAATGGGCCCTAAATTCCGTGACTGGTGTCCTTATAAGGACATCAACGGAGGGCAGAAGGCCATGTGAAGACAAAGCGGACACTAGAGTGAATCTGCTGTAAGCCAAAGAAGGCCAAAGATTGCGGAAAGGAAGGATTCTTCCCCAGAACTTTCAGAGAGAGCATGATTCTGCTGACACTTTAGTTTTGGAC
The DNA here is from genome assembly GCF_000001405.40 of Homo sapiens. Lineage (NCBI taxonomy): Eukaryota > Metazoa > Chordata > Mammalia > Primates > Hominidae > Homo > Homo sapiens. Next base: position 59,809,426 of record NC_000003.12, read on the forward strand.
ATCCAGCATCTTGAACTGGGAGGGAATGCATTTTGGTTGTTTTATGCCACTCATGTTGTGCCAATTTGTTACAGCAGTCCTAGGAAGCTAACATAATACACTCCCAATTCCCTCTTCTTTTATACAATTGTACAACCCTATTTGAAACATGGAAAAGGCTCTTAGTTCTCACAAAAAAATCTCATTATATTTGGAGTTCAACTTCTGAACACGGGTTTAGAAACAAATAGGGTCTGATTTCACTGATTTTCAAAGGGCTTTCTTTGTAATGACTGGGGTTTGTTTTATTTGTTTGCTTGTTTCCAGGAGAAGAGAAGATTGGCCTCAGACACTTCCGTCTTCAGACCTGTGCCTCTCCTTTGAGGATCCCTTCCCCGAAGCTGCCAAGGAGAACCTTCCCTCACATTGTTCCTCCTTTGTTCCCCGCTCTCCTTTTCCAGGCTGAGAGACCTGGGGCCTTGGAAGCAAGCACACGCTGGCTGAGCTGTGATTCCTCCATGTTGATTATAATTTTTATCACATTATATGGGATCCCTCTGGTGGTTACTAGGGGATACGTCAGTTTTGAGAGATTGGAACCTAACCAAAGAAGCTTCAAATCTAGAGGATAAGGGGACTCAGAGTTTACAAGTCACAGCAAGCAGATGCTGGTCTGCTTTAGGTGCCTCTTACGGGGATTGTGAGAGGGCTCCTGGGGCCTGAGGAGGGTCTTCTGAGGTGTGAAAGGCTGTACTGGTGGTCCCTGAAAGCCATCGTCATTTGTGTGAGGAGGAGTACTGGAGGAGCTGTCTTACCACATGAAAAACAGCATGGAGCATCCCAGCCACATCAAAGGCACGGTTTGAGCCTTGGGCTGTAGAGGCTCAGAGAGAGTGACAAATAAGACCCTGGTGAGAGACCAATGGGGACAGTATTTCCAGACTTTGGCATGAAACAGATTTCTGAGCACCTCATGAAATGTCTGCAAGGGCAGCTCCTCAGAGTGACCCTCCCAAATCAATCAAAGCTGGCCCCCTATCTTAATTATGACTTACAAATAGAAGCATGCACCTGGCTGGATGCAGTTTGCCACATGGTTTACAATAGCGGTAGAATAAGAAATAACTTACCAAACGAGTACATTTTCTTGGCTGGCTGGGGCACTCAGAGTTGACACTGGTAAGGCTCCATTAAAATGCCTTTATGTTCTGATATACACAGATGTGTTAATTTATAGCATATTCATCAGAAGACATAAATTAATTGCTCTCTGATGAATTTTATAACACCTCCTTTATGCCTCTCCACCCTCCCCCTCCAAAGTACACTGAAAAGGTCAACAGCACTATCGAATGCAGCACACTTCAACTTCCTTCCAAGCTTATAATTAAAGCTAATTAGTAGCTTTGGTAATTAGCGCATGTAAGCTTTCTGCTTTCTGAATTAATAAGACTGAGTCAGGTTTTGAGCCAAGTAGACTTTTCACTCACTGGTTCTGATTCTTGAACTGTGTTTGGCTGGTTAATTTAAAACATGTCTGTTGAAAGTGGAATACTAGAAAGAAAACATACTTGTGATGGTCTGCTCTCAAGCCAGTGTGATTTATGAACAGGCCAAAGTGGAACTGTTGTCACAAGAGAAAATCAGAATGCTCTGGGTTTCCAATAACTGACCAGTCTCAACCTCTCAGTGTGAAATGAGTTGTGCCCAGTTACTATGTCACATGGACACAACACAACGTCAAGGATGCCCTTGCACACTTATGTCACCCTCTCATAACACATCTGTACTAAGCACATCAAATCCTCTTTATTTTAGGAGAATGCAGAGGCAATGGCAGTGGGGTGCCAAGATATAACTAACTGCTCATTTTGATTCAAATAAAAATCAAAGAGGAGAAAAATCATTAGTCAAATCAGCTTCTGCTTTTGTGTAGACAAAGTGATTCTCCAAATAGCTTCGTGTTTCTTTTTTTAGCCAGCATGTGGGCATCCTGCATGCCCAGACAGAATTAAAAGTGCATGTTTTAAAATCAAGAAATCAAATCTATATTCTATTAAAAGAAAAAATGTGATTTGTTTTCAGACTTTAGAAACAGTTGGGATAAAAATTTCCACGGGTGAGCTCATTTGCTTTTTCTTTTCCCATACTAATCTCAGAAAATTTATTTTTGTTTTTTAAAGAAAGAAAGGAAGGAAGAAAAAGAAAATCACTTAGTGATTTACTGGACTCCTTATAAGTCCAGGACAATGGTGGGGGTTGCTCACAGCGCTAGTAATTTTGATACATAAAGAAAAGGAAACAGTCACTGCTGCAGAGAGAGGAATATATAAGACAGCTCTGGGTCACTAGAGTAAATGGTTTTCATTTTAATGGCGCACTTACTGCCACTGTGATAGCCACATTTGGATCTGTAAGGGGCAGTTAATACTATTCAAGAGCAAGGCACATTTGGTCTTGTGGATGGCTGTGATTGTGAAGGTGACAAGGGGTTATGGATTCCCACAGCCTCACAGGCCCAGCTGAATAGGAAGCCTTGTGCCCCCTTGGCAGCTCATCCTACCCCGTGGCAGCTCATCCTACCTAGGTGGATACACTCCAGTAAGATCTATACACAGTGGTTCTCAACTGGGGGAGATTCTGCCCCCAGGGGATACTTGGCAATGTTTGGCACAGTTTTGATTGTCATAACTGGTGGGAGAGGGTAGATGCTACTGGCATCTAGTGAGCAGAGACTAGGAATGTTGCCAAACGATCAGCCATGCACACGACAGTCACTCCTCAACAAAGATGATCTGGCCCCACAGGATACTAGTGCCAATGTCATGGAACCCTGATACAGAAGGTCTAAACAGGGTCTGAGGCCCTCCTTGTCTTTGAGGAAGAGTTAAATGTTAGCTTTCCAGATTGACTCTGGACTGATCTTGGCCTTATACAAGTCAGAAAGAAGTGAGTGATAGCTCACCCACAGGGGCTAGATCTGAGTCAGACTGGAAGAAGTCGGCACACTCAGGGTAACGGCAGCTGCCTAAAAGCCAAGCGCTGGGCATTTTTATGTTGCAGCTAAGGCCAGCATGCTGCATTATGGATGAGCTCATGTGCCATGGCAAACAGTTTAAGAACGATGCTTATATTTAATGAATCCTAAATGGTTTATTACAGAGGGTCAAGTTTCTGCTTCCTGTGGGAATTTGACATTTATGAAAATGCACGCACATTAATTATTCAGTGGAGACGTCCTTCCTATGGAAATTCACTTTCCTGTACACTCGACAGGACTACATTCCCTGTCTGCATGGGCTACTTTGTTGTTAATCCTCTAAGCATTAATTAAATAAAATTTGCAACCGAGCCAGGATGCATCTACCCTCAAATGTTATGCAAAAGACAGTTAAATGCTGTTTGATTTTTCCTGCTAGTAGCCAATCATTACCCATAGCTATTTATGTTCTTCCTTTTGTTCTTTAAAGCATAAACCTGGTATCTCTTCCCACTGAGAAGAAAACTACGCTCAGTAATTAAATTACACCACATTAAACTTACTTAAGTTCACCAGCAGGGAAAATTCCGTGCCCCTGGGTTTAACAGTAAGTCCTAATCACGCTTGCAAGCCATATCTTTTCTGTGAGTTGTTATAGTTTTCATTCCTGGAATTCCATTAAAAATGGTAATGTCATTACTCCTGTTACTGCTCAAAACCAACAGCATAATCCTGAATTTTAATTAGTAATTACAATTAATCATTATTTCATTAATGAAATGTTTAGTTGGTAATTGTCTTTGAGCACCTTACTCCCTAGGCTTATAAGCATTTCATAACATCTAATTTGTTGCCTGTTTCTGATGAAGTGGCACTGTCAACCTTATTTTATGTTAACACTTTGATGGGGCTCTGCATCCCAGGCCTGCACCACCGGCTGCATATTTACACCTTGGAAATGTGTGGCTTCTGGCTCTCGATAAGGTTCGCCTGAGGACGTACCCTCGCATTCTTTCCTGCCAGCTTAAGAAGGCGACTGTTTGTGCTCCCAGAGAGCACAGCATGTGAAGAGAGAAATAATAATTCCTGGAACGCTTACTTAATAATAAATCTGGGATCCAAATTCATGGATTTTTGAGAGGGGATAGAGCAAGGATTTGGAGGTAGTCTTTGGAACAGGAAGGTTGATTTTAAAAGAGCTTAAAGAATTAAGAATAAGCTGGGAGGGTTGTCAAGAATTTAACACGAGGCAAGATTTTTGTTGATCCTTTTGCAATAGCAAAGATATTCTTATTTATTAGGATGGTTTTTTAGGGGTGAGGGGAAGCTTGTCTTCCCCACCAAAAGGTCAGGGACCCAAGTATGCCTTGCACACAGTTGTATTCCTAGCTCCTGGTGCGGGGTTGGGCATACACGTGACTCAATAAACAGCTAGATAAGTCATTGTTCCTGCATGGCCTATGGTTAGGCTATGAAGGGGGTAACTGAGGTACAAGAGTTAATGGTGGTTTGGTGATGGTAGCAGGGTGTGGGATGCTAGGAGATGCCAAATCAGTGGGCTGGTGTGCTCACAAATGACCTGATGTCATAGTTGTCTGTCACTGACAATTCTAAAAGGACGGATTCATCCGACTGCCCTCTATGTAAAAAAATTTACACATACACACACACACACACACACACACACACACCCGACGGTGAATTATTCAGGGAGGAGAAAGCCTGCTATCCTTGGCAAATTAAACAAGGAGGATTTGAGCAAAGAAAAGATGTGCTGCTGTTATTTCAAGGAAGTATTCACAGCTTCAGAATTAAAACTGAGATGGAACAACATCAGACTTGTTGGAAAATGCTCCGCGTCTGTGGTGTATTTCAGACAAGTTAGTCAGAAAATTCAAAATATCTGGAAGAAATAAATGACGGCCAACAGTTTGGTGTTGGCCACCAGGTGCCAGAGCACGTATGGTCTTGGCCTAAGGTGAGTGAAAGACAGGTTTCTGGGTCAAGACAGGTGTTTCCAAATGGCAATTTTTGAGGCTGCTGACATTTTACAAAATAAAAGAATGTGATAAAGCTTAAGTTTTTGGTTGTATTTTATAAATGTCTATATTTAAGAAGTTCATGCTTTAGCACACATAAGACATTCAACAAGTCATTTGGAAATAACATCAAATGTCGAAATTTGAGACCCTTTATAATTAGGAGTGGAGGACCAAGTGGACTCCATCCCTTGTCCCCACATAGGTCCTATTTCTTTCCTAGGCCACACAGCTTTTAAACATAATATTTCTCCCCTATTATCCTTCAGTATTTATAGAGCATCCGGCCTGTGCTAGGAGCTTGAAAAGACAGTCCCTCTCTCATGGAGCTCCCAATATAGAGGCCCTTTCCCTTTGGACTTTCTTCTACTGGAAATTGCCTTTTCTTGTGTAGTTCCCTTTGCTGACTCTGCTTGTCCTCCTGTTCTCACAAAGGCTACCATGCAGTGGGGGAATAAATATGAAAAAAAATATAAGATCATTGCACTGCAGAGTGAAGGAGCAAATCCCTTAACAGTCATGAGTACACATTCCAGCTCATGAGCATAAAGCCACACTATTCATAGAAATGGGTGATACTGATTGTACACTTACCATGTGTGAATATTGTGCTTAGTATATCACATGGATTACATCACTTCACCTGCTTCGGAGAACCTGGATTGAGCATAATGGAAATTAAGAGTTGGCCCATCCCTAGATCCACATCTGTTACCTGCTTTGCTGGCTGCCTGGGAATGAGGTCTTGTCTGTCTGTTTTTTGTTTTTTTAACTTCAGCTTTGGCCTGGAGCTGCAGCCCAGGCCACTATGGAAGGAAAGGGAATGTAGCCTTTATAAAATCATCTATAGCCTGGTGGGAATGTCAACTAGTACAACCACTATGGAAAACAGTGTGGAGATTCCTTAAATAACTAAAAGGGGAATTACCATTTGATCCAGCAATCCCACTGCTGGGTATCTACCTAGAGGAAAAGATGTCATTATATGAAAAAAAATACTTGCACACACATGTTTATAGCAGAATAATTCGCAATTGCAAAAATGTGGAATCAACCCAAATGTCTATCAGTCAATAAGTGGATAAAGAAATTGTGGTATATATATATACAATGGACTACTACTCAGCCATAAAAAGGAATGAATGAATTAATGGCATTCGCAGCAACCTGGATGAGATTGGAGACTATTGTTCTAAGTGAAGTAACTCAGGAATGAAAAACCGAACACTGTATGTCCTCACTTATAAGTGGGAGCTAAGCTATGAAGACACAAAGGCATAAAAATGACACAGTGGACTCTGGGGACTCAAGGGAAAAGAGTGGGAGGGGGGTGAGGGATGAAAGACTACACATCGGGTACAGTGTACACTACTTGGGTGGTGTGTGCACCAAAATCTCACAAATCACCACTAAAGAACTTATTCATGTAACCAAATACTGCCTGTTCCCCAATAACCTATAGAAATAAAAAAAAAATTTAAATCAGCTAGAGCCAAGCAGAAATAATAAGGAAAGTGAATTCCAAGAAAAAGTATGGAATTCTCTTCAAAGCATAACAGAAAATGTTTTGCCATTTCTGGTTGTTGTCATGAAGCAAAAAAACCCACTTGCCCACTTGGCATGTCTTACCTGACAAAAACTACAAAGAAAGGCCTGCCCAGGGTTTCTGCAAGTCCTGGATCTGGGAGGCTGTGTCTCACAGAGAGTGACAGCCAAGACTGAATAACTGTGAGACTGTGGGCAAGCTGGTGAGTTCTTCTGTGCCTCAAGTTCCTCTATGTAAATGGGGACAGTGATCCTTGCTCTTGGGCTTGTTGGGAGGATTCCATGGAATGATATGTGACACCTGGCACACAGTGTACACTCAGTTATCATCACATATGTCATCTTCAATATGATTTTTGCCAATTAGATGTGGACTTTTTGCGTTCATTAAAAATTTAAACAAACAATAATAACAACAATCACAGTGAGTTTGGGTTTATAATACTGTGGATTTCTTCCTTGGCATGATTGGAGATAAAAGAAGGAACATTCCATGTGATGCTGTGAGGTCCCAGGAAAGGTGTGACAGAGAATCCTGAGTCATGCTTACCTGTCATTACTAGTGGGAATGAGAGCCATCTGGGATGACCTAAGTGCATATTGTTTGCAGACAGTGATAGGTGCTCAGGGAGCAGGAAAGTGGAGCATGAACTCACAATAGAAGGTAGGAGCAGAGACAATCAAGTCCTATCCTACCAGATCAACTGAGAGATTTCTATTCCCTAAAGTTCCACAGTCTTTGTACCCCTCTCACCATGTCAACTTTGCTCTCCTTGAACGATCTTATCCCCTCTCTTGAACCATACTCCCTGTTTTTCTCACATTTACGTCCCCTTCAGGATATGGCAAATTGTCTTATGCTCAGGAAACATTTGCTGAATGAATCCTCTGGAGATCTTCAGAAAATCAGCATATTCCAAATGAAGTGACTGAGACTTAAGCAAGAGACCCAGGGTGGGATGGACAGACTCTTGAATAGCATCTTGATCTAGACCAGTATAAACTCGTGGGACCTAAACAAAAGTGGACCTTTGTTCAGTGAAGAAGATTCCCAGGGAGCAGGTAGAAGCAGATGGAGCTAACTCCAGATACAGGCTGTGCTCTCCGCAGACCCCAGCGTCTTCGTAGATAGGAGGTTTAGCAGATGGTGTTTTTGCATTAAGTTTCTAAATTACCATCTATAAGATCCTCTGTTTTCTAAAAACTAGTTGCCTTAAGGCTTTAAGATTTTAATGTAATTTTAATGTTTGTGTGTGTTGTTAGTGTACCTGTTTCTCAGGTTTGCTATCCCAGATAGGTTATTTGCTAAGATCAGAAGAAAATCAATTGGCAAAAGAACATGCTCACATGTTACATGTTATTACCAGTTGGAACAAGAGCCATCTGGGATGTAAGACTATCCACCAAACGGGTGTGTGGAACTGTCCCTTGGCATTGCACAGGAGGACCACTTTTAGTATGATTTCCTGTGCTGTGGCTATGACATCAGGGAGGCTGAGGCAGGATCACTTGAGGCCGGGAGGTCGGGGCTGCATAATGAGTTCTGATCGTGCCACTGTACTCCACCCTGGGAGACAGAGCAACACCCGTCACTAAAAAAAAAAAAAAAAAAGAAAGAAAGAAAGAAAAGAAAAAAGAAAAAGAAGAACAAATTCAGAAGCTACAATAGGAATAGTTCAGAAACCATCCTCCAGCCTTTTAAAGGCACAGAAGAGCTTTGTTTCACATTCGTTTCGGCTTCCAAAGCAACTAGTCAAGTCAGTTTCACCTGTTTTATTCACAACAGTTATCTCTCCAATCCAGATTCCTTCTTTAAAAAAAGGGAAGAAAAAACATTCTCATATTTCTTGTTTTGCTAGCAAGAAATGAGCTGCAGAACACTTTCAGAGATCCACTAGCTGTTTTCCTTAAGCTGAGGCTGAGAGCTTCAGGGGCACTCCAAAGAAAGAAAGAAAGGAAAGATAAAACAAAGGACGAGAGGCTGGGGGGAAGAAAGAGAGGAAGGGAGGGAGAAACTATAGAGACCACTGTGTGGACACCCACAACTTCTGGTTCTGAGGCTGGTGGGAAAGGAATTTGCAATAGAAGAGGAGGGGAACTGAGAGGAGAGCACTGTATTAAGAGCTTATAGGAATTCTAAAAAGAAAAAAAAAGGAGGCCTTTGATCCATTCCAAAGAGGGAGGCAGAAAACTTCAAAGCAGAATAACAGTCCCCTGCACTCTGCCCTACTCTAAGTACCCGGAGCATTCATTATGAATCAGCCCACCTCCCCTCGGCCCACGTGGGGCTGTGCAAGCCAGACACGCAATTCAGACCCACAGCTTGTTCAGCCTCCCCGAGAACACAGCGTGTGCAAGGTTTGGGAATGGAAATATAGCAGGGTGCCCACTCCTAAGTGGGGTTAATTCACGGATGTGGAAGGAATCTCTACCTTTCGCAGAGACTGCTAGAAACACCAGCTTCCCTTCTTTCTCTTCAAAGGAAGATGGTGTTTTTTTCTCCTTAATCCTGAGTCATTTACAGTAAGATACACGTAAATAATAGTCCAGGAGGTAAAATGTGATCTACACAGTCTCTACCTCAAAAATAAGTTTTTTGGGGGACTTGTTTACCATTCCGAATGTGACCCGGCAGCCCTTTACAAAAAGTAACATTTGCTTTTATTAGATACAGCAGATCTATTTCTGTGAGCACCGCAGATGTAACTGGGATTCATTTTTACTGGATGTCTCAGAAGACCGGGCCGACTGCCAGCTCTCCTGGACACAGGAAGTTACAGGGTGCGGTCACTTCTGCTCACCCATTTCTCCTTCAACAGCGCAGATCACATGCACAGAGTTCTTAGGAGACAGGTCTTCCCCAAGGCAAAGGCACACAGAAATGCTTTCCTTCCCAGCTGCCCCTTGATGAAAGAAACTAAACACCTCTTCAGCATGGATATGACACTAGCCCTCGGCTTCTTATTTTTTGCAATGACTACTCTGTGTCAGAGTCAGTAAAAATCGCAATGCAGAGAAGAGAGATAAAAAGAAACATCCTGGAGAATTCTCCTGGTTATTTTTAAAATATTGTCTCTGTTGACTTGAAGTGGTGTAGAAACAGTTCCATATGCTGTGTTTCTTTTTTCCTGTTGCATCTTATAGTTTAAACATAGATCTTTTATCGGATACAACTTCTGTTAACAATATGGCCTACTGGGTTAGCAAAGAAACCGTTCTTTTCTTACAGTTCTGGATTTGGGGAGGTTGCTCACATTTAACTGTGGAAAGCATTATGCTCTTATGGTCTTTGCCAATTCTTTTCTGTAACACAAACCTAAATTACATACCAATTTCTCGAGGTTCTTGCCTAGTTTGGACCAAATTAGGTCCCACAAATTCCTGATCTTAGCAACTGTGTCTCTCAGTTATTTTCCGTGAGACAATATGTTTGTCTGTACTTCATATTGCTTTGTGGAGACAATTACCAGTGCTATATCCCTATTTTTCTTTTTCTTGAAAAAAAATTTAATTTTTAGAAATTATTTGTATAGGAAAAATGTTAAAATAGAAATAAGAATATAACCTCTTTGACCACCCTGCTCCAGTCCTGGTCCCCTCCCTGGAGGTAGCCGTATTAGCAGACAGGCTCGTGTTCTTCCAGACATTTTTCTGTATATTTGCACACATCTAAATACATAGTCATATGTCTTGTTTTTGTTGTTACCATCATTATACAAATGGAATCATACCATAGAACAGATGCCTCATAATTTATTTACCTATTCCTCTATTAATGGATGCTACGGTCTGAATGTATCTCTTCAAAATTCATGTTGGAACTTAAGACCCAATGTGACAGTATTAAGAGGAGCCTTTGGGGAAGTGATTAAGACATGGGGGCTCTACCCTCATGAATGGACTTAGTGCCTATATAAAAGACACTGAAGCAAGCACTCTGGTCCCTTCTCCCTTCCACCATGTGAGGACACAGTGTTTGTCTCTTTCTTCCTGTGAGGACACAACAAGAAGACTCCATGCCAGAAGCAGAGGGCAAGCCCTCACCAGAAACCCAATCCGCTGGCACCTTGATCTTGGACTTCCCAGGCTCCAGAACTATGACTAATAAACTTCTTTTTTAAATTACCCAGGCTAAGGTATTTTATTGTAGAAACAGGAATGGACTAAGACAATGAATATATACCTTGCCTGTTAATTTGCTGAGAACCAAGGTTTCATTTTCAACATTTACTAGCTAATCTAGCCTAGAGAAGTACAAAGAACCCAGGACTTGGATTTTAGTCCAACAATACTACTAATGTCCAGGTAATCTTCGGCAAATGATCATCCTCTTTGGGCCAACATATCCTCAGCTGTCAGACCAGTGGGCATGTACAGTGAACAACTTAGTACCAGGTACTACAACAACTTACACATGCCTAGGCCCCAGGGCACCATGGTGATTCTGATTCAAAGCTAGGGCTAAGATTGGCTACCCTTAGCAAAGAAGAGTTACTGATGTGTAGGTGAGAAAAATGTCTCACGATTTAGAACAGGATGGGACAAACTACATCCCATGAACCAAATCAGACCTGCCACCTATTATTATAAATAAAGTTTTATTGGAACACAGCAATGCTCGTTTGTTTATATATTGTCTTTGGCTGCTTTAGTGCTAAAGTGGCAGAGCTGAGTAGTTTCAACAGAGATCTCATGACTCACAAAGCCTAACATATTTGTCACTGGGTACCTTGCAAATGTTTGCAGACCTCTGCTTTGGAAAGATCCCTATGGTCACACAGAGGGTGGGGAAGGAAGACAATTTAGAGTGGTGGTGGTGATGGGGGTCTGAGTCAGGGCAAGAGAAAAGAACAATGTGCGAGACACAACACAGGCAGAAGCACAGAAGTTGTGACTGACTGAATGGATAAAAGTATGAGAAACAGAAGTTACCAGTTTCATATTTCCAACTTGGAGGCTTGGGTGATTGTCATTAACCAAGATGAGTGTCATGAAAGGAAAGAAGATGTTTATGGGAAGGTGAGTAAGATTCGAATTAGGGACTTTCTGAATTCAAAGTGCAGATAAAGGTGTCCAGGAAGCAGTTGGAAATATGAGTCTAATATTCAGGAGAGAGGTGGGGCTGGAGGTCAAGCTTGAGCGCCACCATCTTGGAGATGAGAGCAGGTTTCAGGTGAGCAGACCAGACCAAAGAGGGAAAAACATAGAGGCAAGATATTTGAGGAAGAAATTCTGAGAAACCCCAACAGTTAAAGGACTGGCAAAGGAATAAACCTGAGAAGGAGCAATCAGAAGAGTAGAAGAAAACAAACATGATAATATTTGTGAAAGCAGAAGCAACTGATGTTGGCTTTTATAAGAGGTCTTTGTTGGGCTCATGTCGGGGTAAAGAGTGCTCTGAGGATTTGGTGCCTCTTGTCAGTGTCCTGTGGTGGCTTCCATAGAAAACACTCCACACCCATTATCTGCAAGGAGACAGCTGCAGTTTTGCCTCTTCATGTGGTTTCCTCAAACCCACCCCCTGGGAAATGCAATATGATTCTCTCACAGAGCAGATGGGATGCTAACTGGAATCACCTCTGCCTTGCAGAGTTCTCCCTCAGTTGCTCCAACAGTGCCTGGTAGTGTAAACAAGACTGGCTTACCAGTGCAGCATTCAATACCAGTGCTTACCCAGCAGCCATTCAACCAGTCCTGCTGATGCCCCACCATGTGCCAGCCACCAAAGCATCTAGTGCCAAGATTACAACTGTTTCCTTCTGCTCCTGGTTCTTAGAGTTTTTTTTTAAAAAAAATATATAAATGATCTGCATTTAGTGATATATTTATTTTTAATTTTTTTATTTCCATAGGTTTTTGGGGGAACAAGTGGTATTCGGTTACATGAGCAAGTTCTTCAGTGGTGATTTGTGAGATTTTGGTGCACCCAACACCTGAACAGTATACACTGAACCCAATTTGAGTCTTTTATCCCTCACCCCCACCAATGCTTTCCCCCGAGTCTCCAAAGTCCATTGTATTATTCTTATGCCTTTGCATCCTCATAGCTTAGCTCCCACATATGACTGAGAACATACAATGTTTGGTTTTCTATTCCTGAGTTACTTCACTTAGAATAATAGTCCCCAGTTCCATCCAGGTTGCTGTGAATGCCATTAATTTGTTCCTTTTTATAGCCAAGCAGTATTCCATTGTATACATATACCACAATTTCTTTATCCACTTGTTGACTGATGGGCATTTGGGCTGTCCATATTTTTGCAATTGTGAATTGTGCTGCTATGAACATGTGTGTGCAAGTACCTTTTTTGTATAATGACTTCTTTTCCTCTGGGTAGATACCCAGCAGTGGGACTGCTGGATCAAATGGTAGTTCCATTTTTAGTTCTTTAAGGAATTTCCACACTGTTTTCCATAGTGGTTATACTAGTTTCCATTCCCATCAGCAGTGTAGAGGTGTTCCCTTTTCACAGCATCCACGCCAACATCTATTACTTTCTGATTTTTTTTTATCATGGCCATTCTTGCAGGAGTAAGGTAGTATCATATTGTGGTTTTGATTTGCATTTCCCTGATCATTAGTGATATCGAGCATTTTTTCATATATTTTTTGACCATTTGTACATTGTCTGTTGAGAATTGTCTATTTACATCCTTAGCCCACTTTTTGATGGGATTGTTTGTTTTTTTCTTGCTAATTTATTTGAGTTCCTTATAGATTCTGGATGTTCGTCTTTTGTCAGATATATAGATTGTCAAGATTTTCTCACACTCTGTGGGTTGTCTATTTAGTCTGCTGACTGTTCCTTTTGCTGTGTAGAAGCTCTTTAGTTTAATTAAGTCCCACCTATTTATCTTTGTTTTTGTTGCATTTGCTTTTGGGTTCTTGGTCATAAAGTCTGCCTAAGCCAATGTCTAGAAGGGTTTTTTCTGATATTATCTTCCAGAACTTTTATTCTTTCAGGTCGTAGATTTAAGTCCTTGATTCATGTTCTGTTGATTTTTGTATAAGGTGAGAGATGAGGATCCAGTTTTATTCTCCTACGTGTGACTTGCCAATTATCCCAGCACCATTTGTTGAATAGGATGTCTTTTCCCCATTTCTGTTTTTGTTTGCTTTGTTGAAGATCAATTGACTGTAAGTATTTGGGTTTATTTCTTGGTTCACTATTCTGTTCCATTGGTCTATGTGCCTATTTTTAACCATGCTGTTTTGGTGACTATGGCCTTATAGTATAGTTCAAAGTCAAGTAATGTGATGCCTCCAGATTTGTTCTTTTTGCTTAGTCTTGCTTTGGCTATGTGGGCTCTTTTTGGTTCCATATGAATTTTAGAATTGTTTTCTCTAATTCTGTGAAGAATGATGGTGGTATTTTTATGGGAATTGCATTGAATTTGTAGACTGCTTTAGGCAGTATGGTCATTTTCACAATATTGATTCTACTCAATATCCCTGAAGAACACAGATGCAAAATCCTTAAGAAAATACTTGCTAACTGAATCCAACAGCACATCAAAAAGATAATCCACCATGATCAAGTGGGTTTCATACCAGGGATACAGGGATGGTTTCACATACACAAGTCAATAAATGTGATACACCACAAAAACAGAATTAAAAAAAAAATCACATGATCATCTCAAAAGATGCAGACAAAGCATTTGACAAAATCCAGCATTGCTTTATGATTAAAACCCTCAGCAAAATCGGCATATAAGGGGCATACCTCAATGTCATAACAGCCATCTATGACAAACCCACAGCCAACATAATACTGCACAGGGAAAAGTTGAAAGCATTCCCTCTGAGAAACGGAACAAGACAAGGATGCCCTCTGTCACCACTTCTATTCAACACAGTACTGGAAGTCCTAGCCAGAGTAATCAGACAAGAGAGAGAAATAAAGGGCATCCAAATCGGTAAAGAGGAAGTCAAACTGTCGCTGTTTGCTGATGATATGATCATATACCTAGGAAACCCTAAAGACTCATCCAAAAAGCTTCAGAACTGATAAGTGAATTCAACAAAGTTTCAAGATAGAAATTAACGTACACAAATCAGTAGCTCTGCTATACACTGACAGCAACCTAGTTGAGAATCAAATCAAGAGCTCAACCCCTTTTACAATTCCTGCAAAAAATAAAATACTTCAGAATATACCTAACCAAGAGGTGAAAGAGTGTACAAGGAAAACTACAAAACACTGCTGAAAGAACTCTTAGACTTTCTCTATCCCTATATTTGGAAAGAAGGTTGGAGGAGGGGTACAGAAGGACGGAGGGAGGTAGAGAGAGTGTTAAAGAAGAAGGAAAGGGGTAAAAAAGAATGGGAATAGAGGCATGGACTAGAAACTAATTAGATGGTGAGGCAGAGACCTTGCATTGCGTATCTTACATGCACTGGCTTGGCAGCCTTGAGAACTGATGTGTATATTGAAAGCAACAGCACATGCTAGGTGTCCAGCATAATACCTGACATATATTAAGAACTCAATACATGTCTGTTATAATAATATTTTTGAGTATCCAGAGGAACTAGGCCAGCCTTTGAATTGATAGGCCCTTTGGTAATTTTCATACAGCCATGTAGCAAAACTTATATTAAATAAATTGGGGGAATTTCATATTATACTACATTCCTTTTGCATTCTCACTGGCAGGAGTATTTAGCCTGGATGAAACTTGATACTTCAAAAAGAATCACTTGCTAAAGGGAGAAGTGAGCCCCACCTTCTGTTAGGAAGATGTGGTGAGTACATCAATATTACAAAGATTCAGTGTGTTAAATCAATATGTTCAAAGTAGTTTAAATGTCCAATACTGGTTTCCAACTTCTAACTTTTCTCTATCCTCTCTCTCGGCCTCTTTTCAACCATTCCTTCCTTAATCCTTCCACCCATCCCTCTCCTAACCCCCACCATTGTAGACTAATTTCTTTTGGTTATCTTTCTAAGCCTTTGCACACTTTTCCCTATTGACGAGCTTTGCTGTTAGGATTCTCCAGCTACTTCTGCAAAGAGGTTTTCAAAGGACTTTTGAAAATGCAGCACTGTGTATGTTTTGGTAAAATAAAGCAAACATTTTGTGTGGTTGGGTTTGTTGTTTGAAGTGTTGCAGTCTCCCTCTGGGGCCTCCTACTGTCTTCTGACTAGCACCTCAACAGCATCCCTTCCTGCTGATTTGCAGAGGGTTTGATTCTTTTTCAATAGTGCATAATGCTGCTGTCTTATTGCCTGTTTGCTTTAGTTCATATTTCTTCTCCAGATGGATTTTCTATGAAGATCATCCCTATTTGTTTGATCTTTAATTTCAGACCTTGTCATTTTCTTTTCGAGTATGCTTTTTTATGGATGTTTCTTTTGGCAGAACCACTTCCTATGAGCCTCAGTGTGTGTTAATGGCACTTTCATTTATTATCATAGACAATTTCAATTTCTAGAGGGATAGTTGAGTTCTGTTGTGGTTCAAAGGAGAAATAAATCCTCTTGCAACTTTGGCTATTTTATTTCACTTCACTTTTGGCCTCAGAGGACGAGAGAGAAGCTGAGAACATTAGCCACATCTGTCCATGAAGATTTCTCCAATATCAATTTGCTCCCACACCTGATGTACTGAATACTCAGAAAAATGCTCAGGCTATAAAACCATGTCTAAGGCACAGACAGTTTAAGATCAGGCTTTGAATGAAGGCCTCAGTTTATCTTACACATTACTGAAGCCCATTCTATAGAAGACTAATAGTTTCCACAGGTGTCTTGGGTGGAGAAGGGAAAAAAGTCAATGGACTGAGATACTATTGGTCTCAGGAATCATTTGCCCAATCTACCCTAGGCCAAGCTTTGAAGGACAGGCCATCTGAATTCACTGAGTGACTGAATCCCAGCACAGGAAATGTTGATATTCTTATTGATTCTTTAATGGCCATTTTATATCCAACCATCCAGCCATCCATCTATGCATTTATCCATCATTTATAGTAATGTCCCTAAGGCTGCTTTCTTGCTAAAAATAAGGAATATTGACAGCTGAAACTCACTTTATTATTCTGCCACAGTTTTAAGCATCCCTGCAAACACGACTTCTTTAACGATCTCCAGTTTAATTCCACAGTATGGTTCCCTATCTGCATTATTCTCTCCTACTCTGATCATCTTATTTATTTATTTAGACCCAGGGTCTCACTCTGACACCCAGGCCGGAGTGCAGTGGTGCAGTCTTGGCTCACTGCAGCCTTGGCCTCTGGGGCTCAGGTGATTCTCCCACCTCAGCCTCCTGAGTAGCTGGGACTACAGTTGCGCACCACCACGCCCAGCTAATTTTTTTGTAGAGATGGGGTTTCACCATGTTGGATCACCCTACTTTAAAATTGTAATATAGTTCCCTTTTCCAGCAACTTCCATTTGGTTTAACCTGTTCTTTATTTTTTCTTTGCACTTTTCACCTCCTAGCCTAATATATATTGTACTTATTTACTATGTTTACAGTTTGTTTATTGGCTGCTTCAAGAACATAAGCTCCTCTCACCATCTACTCACTGTATTCTAAGTGTGAGGCATATGGTGGGTATTTGGTAAGTATGTGTAAGGCTTCTTGGGGAAATGACCCTTCAGTGCCTTTATTCAATACTCAAGAGTGTTTCTCAGCCCCTAACCTGGCATTGTAGGAGACACAATGTGCGCGAGTGCGCGCGAGTCTCATACACGGGAGTCTCAGCGTGTGTCTCATACATGCTGCTGGATGTGTGGCATGCCTGGCCCCTGCCCACCAATTGCCAGTAGTGACCTTATCATCAATGTAACAATTAAAAACACCCCAGGACATTTCCAAATTCCTCATATGGCTCCAGTAAGGCTTTGCTTGATAATTACTGCAAGTCTTAGAATAAAACCATTTTTTTACACTGTGTTTCCACTTGGCAAATAATTAGTCCACCTTATGGCATCCTAAGGGCACTCTCAGAGATAATACACTTTCTTTTTTATATGCCTCCCTCAACAGATTTCAAAATCCTCTCACACAATTAAAGACAGTGATATTTAATGGTAAAACTCAGCTGTCAATGATGCCTTCTATGTCAGTCATTAACAAGCCAGTAAACCAATATTTACTAAGAGCTTTTGAGCCTGACTTCATGCCATGCAGTGTCCATTTTATAGCACAAATGGTACCCCACCCACTAAGGCTGTGCCTGTGTTACCTGCGGTCAGCATCTCATCTAATCCTTCCTCACATTTTAGCAAAAACCAGGCCCTGCAGTCAAAGAACAAGTTTGACTGATTTCTTTTCACTGGACTGGTCAGTTATTCAACCATGATGGACAAACTGCTGAGTTAAATTGGAATAACACAGGCCAAGAGAATCACATTTAAAGTCAGAGATGGCAAAAATAACAGACATTTCTATGACAGAACATCAACAAATAATTACTGATTGTCTACTGGATACAAAGTACTGTGGTATAGGGCACCAGAAGGTGTGGTTAACATGACATCAATTGTCATTCTGCTGGGTGACAATGAAATATGTATAGGAATGTATACTAATATTCAGATAAATGCAGATACTGCGAGCAGCTATGCTAAGTGCTTTACAGGCACATATCACTTAATCATTAACATGAATACCATAGGTATCCCTATTTTATAGAAGAGGAAGCTGAAGCACAGGGCAGTAAAGGGACAAGGTCACTCAGTCGGGAATTAGTGGGGCAACAGTTTAAATTCAGGTTTCTCTCATGCCAAAGGGTCTTAACCACTGTGTGATAAATCAAATAGTTTTCAGTTGTCTGAAATTTTCAGTTTTCATTTACTTTGGTTGTGTAGGCACAAACACAAGAAGATCTACAGATAATGTATATTTTTTAACTTCCTTTAAATTAATGCATGTTGGATTGCTCTCTACCATTTGCCCCATCTAAGTCTTTGTAGTTGGAATCCATCGTTCTCTGCAAATTTGACATTTGATCATAAATTGCTCATCTCGAGATGAATTACAACACCTCACATTAAAGAGGCACTTAGGGAGACATTTCTATTCCATTTCAAGAGACTTATATAAGAACCCTTTTTGATCTTTCCTAAAATTAAAATGAAAAGCCACATTTTGGCAACATTATGGAATAATACAAATGTTCAATTCTGTGGAAAAAGGTAGAGACATGACTGATCATTTGATATTTAAGGCAAAGAAATAGTGGTTTTATTTGATTTTTCATTTTGAACTCTGTCAGACTGTGATCCTTTTTTCTATCTTCATAGTTTTTAAAAAATAATCATCAGAAACAAGAAACAAAGAGAAAGCAGTAAAACACATTTTCTTTGCCTCCAGGATTGAAGACATTTTCCCCTTGGCATGTACCTACTAAGTAGGAAAACCTAGAATGAAAGTTACTGTGTTGCTTCAGTAACTTCTAAGAAATCAATATAATTTTGGTTTTCTGCTATAACTCTCAAAGCATATTTGATGTATCTCTTAGTCATTGACAACTTTCTTTATACTCTGAAGCAAAGTTATCCCAGCCAAGTGTATGTGGCTGCGGATGATAAAGTATGGCTATTTGAAGTTTGCTTCTTCTTAAAGAGAAATGCAAAGTTCCCAGAAAGACGCTAGATACAACGGTTCACATACACTTCACAAGGCACTTGCCTAACTTCTTGGACCAAATTACATTAAATCTTTGAGCCAAGAAAATTAACTCACCACTCATTGAAAAACAGTATTTCAGCCATGTCATATCTTTGGTTAAGGCAGACTTAACGGGAAAATCTCTTTCCAATATGATATGTGATTCCTTTACAAGTACACAGTTTGTTAAGTTTTATACTTTTTTAAGAAGTAGAGGTTTTTTGTTTTTGTTTTTTTAACCAATGGTACTCTCTCTGTGTGTGTGTGTGTGTGTGTGTGTGTATCCTACCAAATTCCTTAGTTAATAAGCAAGACAAATTTATTCACAGAACTCATTTTGTATTATGTAAATTTTCCAAGAAAAAAAAGAAAATCTTAATTTGTGTTTCAAAGCCTCTCTAGTTTAAGCACAATGACTTTGAAGAAACAACCAAAAAAAAGATAAAATGTGGATGCAGAATGATGTTTATTTTACATGTATATGGTACACATTGGGTACCAAAAGAAAGTCATGGTTAATTACAATAATCACTCTAGTTTGGCCAAATAACATGGAACTAACGACATGAATTTCAACTATGGATAGTAATATTAAGTGGGTTGAAGTAATCTCTACACAATTAATTTTTTCTAGTGCCTTGGCCTCTGAAAACTTATCTTTGGTCTATATGGATCTATGTGCATCTAATTAAAGGTTCATATTTGCAATGCAGGGTTTTAGTTAAGGGAGGTTAAACATGAGATTTCCTTAGAGCGCCTCAGTGTTCATGGGCCTCTATATTCTCATATCTCTGCACCAGCAGTAGGAGGATGTGAGAGCCCAGGGAGCCCTCGAACTTCAAAATTAGATCTGTGGGAGAAAACATGTAAATCTCAGCCAGAAGAATCTATGCCTCCTTTTTCTCCCATGCTGCCTTACTCATAGCACTGATAGCATGCATGATCTGTTAGCCTTCACTATCCTTGCAGAGGAACTGGATTCGGTGGTATGGAAAAGACATATACTATTCCATGAATATCCATGTGCTCTGCTCCATTTCCTGTTCCCTTGCAGATAAGTGAGCATACTCTGACCAGTTCTGGCCAAGGGACTCTGAATGAAAATGCTACCTTAAAGGCCAAAGTATTTAAGAGCCAGCACATGACTCTCCAGCTCTCTCTTATTCTGTCTCAGTGATACAGAGGCTGCAGGCCCAGGTGTCAGAATTATACAATACAGAAAATAGATCTCTTATAAGGGAGTTTGTAAGAAAATTGGCCCTAGAGAGCCACCAGTCCCTTAAAAGAGTTTATATGACAGCCTGGGCAACATAGGGAGACCCCATATCTACAAAAATAAAAAAAAAATTAGCTCGTGCCTATAGTCCCAGTTACTTGGGAGGCTGAGGTTGGAGGGTGGCTTGAGCTCAGGAGGTTGAGGCTGTAGTGAGCCATGATCACACCACTGCACTCCAGCCTGGGTGACAGAGACCCTGTCTCAAAAACAAAGCAAAACAAAACAACCCCCCCCTCAAAAGTTTACATTAGTGGCAAATAAACTTTGTTATGCTGGGAAGATATTACCAAGAATAGCTTAGTTTACTGTGACAATTTAAATCAACTGCTAAGATAACCAAAGTAATCAGAAGCTATAACAGGACATAAATGCTGAGTACAAATATTTATTTTTGTACCTCCTCTATTGGAGAAAATCTAGAAAATAAATTCAATATATATTCCAAAGGAAAAAGGAGGAAAGTCTAGGAAGTTTTTCATTTGGGATAAAAGCCAGGAATAAATATATGACTTTCATTGGAACATTTTCAGGCACTCAGAGATTCAGAGATATCCTTAATGCTAAGTAGATGTATAATTAGCTCCCTGTTTAGGGACTCCAAAATGTGCCATGTCAAAACTGTCTCCTGAAAATGTTGCTTTGCGATTCCAAAAGCAATCAGAGGTTGTTGAAAAATCTTTGGGATTTTGCAGTGTGCAGTTTTCCCCAACAGGCCTAACATTAATCATTATAGGAAAAACATTCAAACTCCCCCATTCTTTCATAGTCTAGTCTAAACATTCAATGCAATATCATAATTCTGCAGACATAAATTCCCTCATTATCTGTGGGCCAGGTCAACCACAGCACAGCCAGCCACCTAGCAGACCCATGAGCAGGGCCTTTTGCAAAGGTGTAGCACTGGCCCTCAAAAAGACTTACAGTTAAGCACTCCAGGAGGCTGCAATTGTGCACAGCAGCCAACCTGTCTAATTGGGTCATTTTTTCACTGGGTGATTTATATAGAATGTGGACTCAAGGCTGACTGCTCTTCGAACAGTATGACTGCTTTTGTCTGACTGTACCAATGAAGCAGGATGGGGTTGCTGGTATTTAAGACCAGGCATTCTGGTCCCAAAGAAACATTGCTTTGGGCTGTAGTTCTGTGTTATTGCAAGAAGCATAGTATCCGATGTTACCAGTGTGGGCTCAGTTACTTCATCTGTAAAATGGGAGGCTATAACCCCACCTACCTCTTAGGGTTCTCGTGAAGATGTGCTTGAGAAGAGCTGAAACAGTGTGCCTGACACAGAGAAAGCATTCAATGAATGTGAACCATTTATGCTATACAGCATTATTACTGATATGAAGTATTAGTGATACATTATTGATATAATTATCATCAACATTATCTGTGATGCTGGTGATATGATGATGATGATGATGATGATGACAGTAATAATCATTTTCTGAGTGCTTGCCATGTGCTTGCCAGTCTACTAAGTGCCTAATGTGGATTACTTAGTGAATCCTCAGGGCAACTATTGAGACTATTATCTCCTTTTGATGAATGAAGACACTGAGTCTTAGAAAGGTTAAGAAGCTTGATCAAAGAAGTAATAAAGCTGAAATAGAAGCCAAGCAGTTTGACTTCCGAGCCTGTGCCCTTAGTTACTACCCTCTACCCCAGCATTGACACAAACACAACCACAGCTTTTATTAGTTGTCCTTATAATGACTTAGCCTCATGCGATAAGACTGTCTGTCCCAGATAGAGCCACAAGTTACTTAACATATCTCAGTGTCAGCAGCCACAACCTGCTAGGTAACTACAACTCCAAAGTGCCCTGCCTCCTGAATGAGATGGAAAATCAGTGGAATAGGGAATGGGGGTTCTGCTTGGAAATAACCTGTAACCAGACCAGTTAAGGTGGAAAGGGGTGGCTGTGAAAAATGAAAACAATAAAACAAAACAAAATGCCAAAAAGCAGGGTGATATAGAGAGGGTTTAAAGGGTATTGCTCCCCTTTCACTCCTAGCCTGGGATTCAATTTGTGGCCAAAAGCTGATGGTAAGTGTGTGTGTATTGCAGCCATAGTCAGCAGAGCAAATGGGGACTCTCAACTACTGGTCCTACTTCCCCTAAGGAGCTGGGTAGTTAACATGTTATCCCTGCACCTGAGTAAATTAACCCATTACTCCTTACCCAGTGATCCACTTGCCCCCCCATGATGTGCACTGTAGGGAGTTCATGCTGTTTAGCTCAGAAATTCTAAGTTCACATGGAGTCCAGTTTTCCTGGATTGTACCTTAAGTGGTTGATTGTTGGAGCCACTTCATATCTATATTTAAGTTAGACTATTGAGTACTGTCCCTCAGTTTCAGGAGCCATGGGAGCAAATCGAGGGGCAAAAGTTACTTCTGGATCTTCCCAATCATTTCTCAACCATTGAGTCACAGCCTGTGACACCAGACGTCTTTAACTTAACTCCAACCTCATTGTGCTAGGTTCTGTTTTCTCCTCAATTATTTTTTTTTCTTGCTCTAAGAAAAGGATAATACACCCCTACCTTATCTGTAACATCCAGCCACATTGTCTGGCTTGGTTATGTGACTTTCTTTGCCCAAAGGACTATAAGCAGATAAGAAATATCCATGTCTACATAGAATCTTTAAATGAGGTTGCAAGGCTTAACTTTCTGCATTTTTGTCCTCTGCATTGTGAATAGCATGGCCCCGATGAGGGCTTCTCTGCTTCAGCCTAGGTCTTGGAATAAGAGATGCACAGAATAGAGCCAAGAAGAAGTGCTGCCAACCACAGACTCATAAATGAGAAATAAATATTTGTTTATTTGGGGGTTGTTTGTTACTGCAGCCGAGGCTAATACACAAATTTTTCAATAAGAACTCAGCCTCAGCTTACATCATGTGCGCAAGTGAATCTGGGGATGCTAGGGGCTATCTTCCCTATCATTGAGTGAAAGACTATTTATGTATTAAGCCAACAGGCAAGGACAGAATCAAGAAATGTTGTAAAAGTAAGAGCTCCGAGTCCTTTGAGCCCCTGAATCCAGCTGTGCCTGAAGACTTAATGCTACATGTTATGATTATGTGAGCCAAGACATTTCTTTTACTTTAGCTAGTTTGGATTAGGTTTCTAATCTGGTTTAAATGAATACTGACTTATATCAGGTCTCCTCACTCTTTTGCAATGATATCTGAGCACAAGCATATATGACATATTAAGTAATAGTAATCACATGGGGGTAAGTTACACTGGGGTATAAATCATTGTAATTGAATAAGCCTGTCATGGGTTGAACTGGGTTCCTTCTCCACCCCCAGCTTCAAATGGATATGTTGAAGTCCTAATCACTACTACCTCAATATGTGACATTATTTGGAAATGGCATTGAGGATGCAATTAGTTCAGATGAGGCCATACTGAAATAGGGTGGGCTCCTAAACTTATATAATTGATGTGCTTATAAGAAGACAGCCACATGAAGTTTGAGATACACATAATGTCTTGTGACCATGAAGACAGAGATTGGAGTGATGCAGCTACAAGCCAAGGAACATCAAAGATCGCTGGCAAACTACCAGAAGCTATAAACCAAAGGCAAGGAAGGATTCCTCTACAGGCTACAGAGAGAGCATGACCCTACCAACACCACAACTTCAGACTTCTAGTCTCCAGAACTATGAAACAATAAATTTCTAATTTTTTAAGACACCTAGTTTGTAATATTTTGTTATGGTGGCCCTAGGAAACTAATACAAAGCCCATCAGGTGAATTTTTACCAACAGATCCCATGGAAAACTTCTGATGGAAATCACTATTATACTCATGAAGGTCATTGACAGGGTTTGGCTCTGTGTCCCCACCCAATCTCATCTCGAATTGTAATCTCCACATGTTGAGGGAGAGACCTGGTGGGAGGTGATTGGATCAGGGGGACAGTTTCCTCCATGCTGTTCTTGTGATAGTGAGTTCTCAAGAGATCTGATGGCTTAAGTGTATGGCACTTCCCACTTTGTGCTCTCTCTCCTGCCACCTTGTGAAGAAGGTGCCTGCATCTCCTTTGCCTTCCACCATGACTATAAGTTTCCTGAGGCCTCCCCAGCCATGAGGAATGGTGAGTCCACTAAACCTCTTTACTTATAAACTATTCCAGTCTCACATAATTCTTTATAGCAGTGTGAAAATGAACTAATACAGCTATATTGCCATATCTATGTCCACACAATATCCAGAGACACAGAAAGGAAAAAGGAGGCAGCACAATGCAATGGTCATGCACATTGGCTGAAAGATCAGGAAGACCTGAATTCAAGTCCTAGTTTGTTCATTTACTTTAGGTGATTTCTGACTCCAGTGTTCTCCTGTACATCACAGAAAAATCCATTGTTTCATTCATGATGTTTTATGAGAGTTAAACGAGGTAGTGGATGGGAGGTGCTTTACACTGTGCCTGGCAGAGTATATTTGTTAAACAATAGATAGATAGATTAGCTAAATAGACAGACAGACAGATAGGTAACTTAGACATATAGATAGATGATAGAGAGAGAGAGACAGAGAGACAGACAGACACTTTGGGCGACTATCAAAATATTATAAACTGGTTGGCTTATAAAAAACAAACATTTACTTCTCACACTTCTGGAGGCTAGAAATCCAAGATCAGAGTGCTAGTATGGTCAGTTCCTGGTGAGAACCCTCTTCCAGGTTGTAGATTGTCAACTTTTTACTGTATCCTCACGTGGTGGAAAAAGAGGAAGTTAGCTCTCTGACATCTTCTTATAAGGGCACTAATCCCATTCCTGAGGGGCCCTATCCTCATGGCTTAATCACTTATCAAAGGTCCCACCTTCAAACACCATCACAATGGAGATTATATTTCAACATATGAATTTTGAAGGACACAAACATTCAGTCTATAACAGATAGACAGATATACACACATAAAAATATATCAATGCATAAGTCTATAGATATGAAGGTCTGTATCTTTCCTGCCTATATAAAATTTAATCAAATCATTAGCAGTTAAATAGTGAATTTTCAACACATTCCCAAATAGTTTTAACTTACTTAATATGTTGTGTTGGTGGTAATTTTCTTGTTGTTGTTTTTTAAACTGAACTTGATTGACCTGATTTTATGTAGATATGCAAAGATACCACTTACTCATGCAGACCTTGTTGTGTAAATAACCCAATCTTCTGTCTTTGCAAAGACAATCTTTCCCTAAGAGTTATAATCTCCTCTCAACACATCGATTATATGGATCAAAGGCCCTCTGACTTATATCAGCCTGGGCCAAAATAGTCATTACCAAAGATTTTCCACTTTCCCTCTTTAATAGACTAAGCTTTAGAATTTGGGTAATGGTTTGGATGTCAAACAAAACCTGAGAACTTGTTTAGGTTCAGAAGAAAGTGAGAGTGATAATATTCCTTTCTTCATCAATGGAGCTTTCTACCCTTTCCCGCCTATTATGTCTAATGTTATTGTGCACCAAAAATGAAGCTCTCCTAATCTTCATTTACCTTCATAATAAAGAGAGTCTTTGTGCGAACCATTTCTACTATACTGCAAAGACACAAAGAAGAAGGCCTTTATGCTGAAGCTACAATTTGTTGACATTTTTATGGATATGAACCTGAATTGTCATGAGTGAGCTTGTTCTAGGAGTAGATGTGTCCGAGTTTTCACACATGAAAGACTGGGTCCTGACCTACCAAGAGGCAGTAAATGGAATACTCTGAGGATTAAAGACATTACTCTCAATATGTCTTCCCCATAAGCCTAAGATTCCAATTTAGTGCTACGAGAATCACCCCTCTGTATTACAATATGCATTGAGAAGACTCTCTTTGAGGTGTGTTAGAAAGAAATACCAACACACTTGAAGACCACTAGCTCATTAAGTTGATTAGTTCCTTGCCAGCCTATAATGAAATTCTAAGATCTGGAGGGAATTGAATACTGGATGATTAAGTTTTGGCCAAGCGGTACATTACTAAAGAAATAGGGAGGAGAAAAGGGGGAGCCCTAGTCGCTTAAGAGTAAATCAAGGGGACACAAATAATCTAGGAGGGGATGGTTCCCAAATGGCCCCAGGAAGTCCTGTTGGGATGGGCACCCAGATTTTTAACCATTTTCCCTCACTCCCCATAGTACCTTAAATCAAGAATATCCATGAATGTTACTAAATGCAGCATGCCCAAGATGGAGTCCTCCCCATGAGTTTACAAAGAAGACTCAAGTCAAGAAGACTTGATGGACTAGGAGGTACTACTTAAATGGGAAGGAAAAAGTTTCTTGCTAGATGCTGCAGGAGACTAGAAGATGAGTAGATATTCTGTGATCCTCTCAAAATTTCACAGGTTGAGCTCCTTTGCACGATTCCATACTGTTAGGCTGGGCATTCTTATCCTTTGTGACTGCTGCACAAGGAAGAAAATGAGCCACACTATCCCTTCAAACGCTGAGAGCTGGTTTGACACATTTGTGCTGGTTTGGATAACTAAGTAGGAGACCCAGGACATAAGTGGCAGCTGGCTGGCAAGGATGTCAGATGCAGAAGTACCCAGAAAACCTACTCAGGGTGTTTTCTTCCTTTCCTGGTCCCCTCCTGTTACAGGAAGGCTGACCTCTGCACATGCCATATGAGCTTGGCCCTGCGGTTTGCCTTCTGCCAAAGAAGTCCCTGATATAAAATGGAACTTCAGAACCTTGCCTTTTTAGGAGTGTCATTAGAAATCAAATCAGTATGGGCTGAACAGGCTCAAGGACTGCTGCTTTAGTGTGGCAGCTGAAGTCCAAATTTTTGAGAGTAATTGGGCCCAGGCTGTTAACAGGTGCAGCCACTTCCTACTAGGGAGAAAGAATGCCTGCCATGTGTGTTACACATGGCCTCAGAAGGAAGCCACCTGTCAAGAGAAATGCAGACACTGGGCTGGAGGGGCCCGAACAGTGATGCAAGTCTGAGTGATGACTAAATGAGGCCCCTGCAAAGGCAGAATGGCCCAGGATTGTAATTAAGACACTTTCTTACCTTCGCATGGTAAGATTTGACTTGTTATAGTGCTATTTCTAGTCCTAAACTCACTATACGTCTATGCTATCATTTCTAAATTATATTCCATTCAACACTAGTATTTGGAGAAACACAGTTAATTTTCTGTGAGAAAAAAAAGAGTTCAGTTTTTTGGATTTGCTTAGGAGACACTTCTTTGTACAGGCTCCATCTGGCAATTCTCAGAACACATTATTCTATTATCTAAAAATGGCTGAGTAGTCCTGGAGTATAGAAGCCTGATTAATTTTAAGTCACCTTTCCCTGAACCAATACAGTCATCCCTTGGTATCTATGGGAAATTGGTTCCAGGACCTCCCTCAGATGCCAAAATGCACGGATGTTCAGGTCGCTGATATAAAATGTCATAGTATTTGCATATAACCTATGCACATCTTCACATATCGTTCAAATCATTTCTAGATTATGTATAATACCTAATACAATATAAATGCTACGTAAATAGTTATACTTTATTGTTTAGGGAATAATGACAAGGAAAGAAAAGCCTGCACTTGTTCAGTACAAACACAATTCCCCCCACCCCCCAAATATTTCCAATCCTCCATTGATTGAACCCATGGATATGGAGGGCCAACTGTAAACATTTTCATTAGATCTTTTATAAAAATGTCCCATGGAATCCTATTTGAGAAATTCAGGATTACACAAGTAAACAAAAGTTGAGAGAACTGGTTTTCTCTATCAAATTGGGCAAAGGTCTTCTCTGCCCTTGTCATTATGTGGATACGTTTTTCTATGAGGAGCACTATAGCACAGTGGTGAAGGGAATGGGTTTGGACTTGGACTGCTTGGGTTGGAATACTGCCTCCAGCATCCATTACCTATAGGACTCTGGGCAAGTTACAAAACCTCTCTGCACTGTTTTCTGCAATGTAAAATGGTGGTGGTGTGGGGGGGTGGTGTGGGAATAATAGTAATATCTGCCCCAGAAGGTTGTGGACAGATGAAGTCAGACAGCCTTTGTAAAGAGCCTAGAACAGTGCCTAGTACCCTGTAAGCCTGGGGCAAATGTTAGCTGCAGTCATTGCCACCATCACCATCATCTTGCCATCATCTCCCATCCTCTCTCTCAGAATCAGATTCCAGAAGTCATTTTGTCTCCATTTTCCTCACTGCTCTCCACAGTCATTCACTCTCGCTGTCCCACTCCTGCTTTTGAAAAGCCTCCACCCCTCTAGCCTTCATAACTAGCACAGGCCTTCCTCGCTCCAGGCTGAAATATTACAGCTTTCCCCTAGCTAGGTTCCCTGACCCCAGTCCCACTCTCTACCCAAACAACCTGCCCTCAATGCCCAGACAAACCTGCCTGAAACCCTGCTGTGTTCTTGGCCCCATTCTGCTACAATGTTTCTGCCTTCATTGTCTAGATGGCAGAGTTCAAGGTTACCTTGGGTTGCAACCCTCTCACAAACTAATTCAAACCTGTTTTCCAAACCACATTTATTCCCTCACCCCCAGCTACTGTTCCTGCTGTTCTTCCCACTTGGAATGTCGTTCCTAGCCTCTGCATAGACTCAAATTCCAAGTAGATTCCAGAACCCATCTCAGCTTGTGTCTTCTTCCCAAGGCCTTCCTGATCCCTCCATCTCTTACTCTGGCATGGGACACTAGCATCTGCTCTACTGTGGAGTGGCAGGTTTAGAGGGCTTAGGTTTAGAGACCTGGGCTCATATGCCAGCTCCAAAATGAGCAAGCGGTGAGAGTTTTGATCCAGTTGTGTAACCCCTCTGTGTCTCAGGTTCCTTATCTGAGACTGGAGATTGATAATGCTCTCTCTCCAAAGGGATAGCATGAAACTCAAGCAAAAGTACTTGTACACATTCAGATTTTTTTCCAGTCTTCCTGTGTGTTTTTTGAGGAGCCCTAGATTTGGCAAAGGTGCCTTTGAAGGCGGAAGTAGGAAACTGAAGCGGGCTAGGTTGTCAGACCTCCAGCCCCTGCCTCTACACTTCAACCAGAGCTGCGCTACCTTGATCAATTATATTTATATATTTGGGATCTGGGTGACCTTTACTTAGGAAAAAAAAGAGATCTATTCCACAAAAGAAAGAATAAGAAAACCATCTCATCTCCCAGCTGGGCGCGGTAGCTCATGTCCCCAATCCCAGCATTTTGGGAGGCCGAGGCAGGTGGATCACTTGAGGTCAGGAATTTGAGACCAGCCTGGCCAACATGGTGAAACCCCATCTCTACTAAAAATGCAAAAAAATAGCAGGGCGTGGTGGTACATGCCTGTAATCCCACCTACTCAGGAGGCTGAGACAGGAAAATCGCTTGAACCCGGGATGCAGAGGTTGCAGTGAGCTGAGATCATGCCATTGCACTCCAACATGGGCAACAGAGCGAGACTTCATTTTCAAAAAAAAAAAAACAAAAAGAAAAGAAAAAAGAAAACCACCTCTTATCATTAGTACCATACAGGCTTTCCATAATTATTTCACTATTTCACAACAGTACAGCTGGTCTCCCCAGATACATTGTAACCTCCTTGGGAGAAAGGACTGAGTCATCTTTAAGTATGTATTTTCCCTAGTTAAATATGTTGTACCCGGTAAGTACTTAAATACTTGTTGATGAAGCAGCTCTGCCTTACTGCCCACCGGTTCCTCCAGAGATCACACTTTTATAAGGTTAAGCCCATCAAGAAGTTCCTTTTCCACTTCCCTGAGCAGGCAGCCATGGCTTCTTTATCTCCTTTCACTCTCTTCTGGGAAGATCTACTTCAATCCCAGTGCCATTATCTCTCTCTACCAAACACTGCTCAGAGAATAGCCTCTGAGACCTGTTTCCTTACCAGGATTCAGAGGATCACAGATACTAGAGATGAAGGAGAAAAAAAATAAATCTATCAGGGCATCATGTCCTCTCCTTGTGCAAAACGGTTAAGTCCTGAACATTTTCTAAATATTTGTCAGGCCTGGTATTAAAGGCTTGAAGTGACAAGGTCCCTCAAGGGAGAAGTTGGCATTAAACCTCACTCTTAAAGATGACTTCTTTTACTGACTTTTCAGTTTCATGTTTCACCACTGAATCTCACTTCTCACTTTTAGTTAAATCCCTTCTAAGTAGCCAGGCTACAGTGAGTGGGGGCTACAGAAAAGCCACAGGAGGAGTCAGAAGAGGGTAGAGCTGTCACTCTGTGGGCTATGTTTCCCTCTGACTACAGGTAATCAAAAAGGATGGGCAAGGTGAAATCTTGACATCTCACTTGAACAGAAGTACTCCCCCATTCTTGCAGATTCCCCATCATTCCCATTCAGAGAGCCAAAATGCAACTGTGTAATTATAAGATAATGTCTTATTTTTGTGGCCCCACTGAGGTTACCAACTCAGACACCTATAGGGGCCCTTTGATAAGGATGGCAAACCCACTTCCTTCAGCATATTGCCAGCTCACAGGAAGGTGCATCATGTCACCAGATTATCCCCCTTTAAAAAAAAAAAAAAAAGAAAGAAACCATCTATCAAAATTTCAATGAGGAATCTCTTCATTTTTGAATGTTGGCAATGAATTCAAATTATCTTTAACCCATTGTAAAGGCACAGCTGACACCAGTCCCTTCTGTAGGAGATTTCTTCTCCTTCTGAAATCCATCGCCAATTCATAAGCAAGCACGCAGGAATGGACAATGCTGTATGTTTATTACATTTATAATTTTGTGTGTAGAAGCCTTGCCTCAATCCTCAAAATGCAGACACCTATGCTGCAGTCTTTTGCGTGGTTACATCACTCAACGTCCCCAGTACATATGTTCAGAAAAATGGTCAGGTCCTCAGGGAATAGTTAAAACTGTGCAGGACTAGACTACTTAGGTTTATATCCCTGCCTCAGTGCTTGACAGCTCTGGGACCTTGGGCACCTCAGTTTTCTCATCTATATAATGGTGATGATAATAACAGCCCTGGGCTCATAGGGTTGTTGTGAGGTTTAAATGACATAGCAGGGTGTACATCATTTAGCAAATACACTAGGAGCTTAATAAATGTCATTTGGAAGCTGCTTCACATTTCCACATTCTATTAAAACACCCAGGAACCAATGGTGCCCTCACTTCATCTCTAGATTTTGCTAAAGAGTTGGTTTAATTTTCGCCATGTCTTCGGGTTTCATTTTTACCTCTGAAGGTCAAGTTGGCTTGCTACATTCTTGGCAGAGTCCATAGCCCCTTTGATGGTAGAAAATGATATAAATGAAAAGGTCAGATGATCTTGCCTGGGTTACCTGTCATTCTGGAAGATCACAGCTGTATGCTAAACTAGATCTAGGTATGTGTGTGGGGTGGGGCTGAAGTCTACACCCATATTGTGGTAGGCACAGATATGTACCACCCAGGTTGCCCTTCAAGGAGGGACTTGGCCTCCCAACTGTAAGGTGGATAGTGATTAGCAAGCACTGTTCAGCCATTAGCTACTTGAGAATGGGCCTCAGCTCCAGTGAGCTGCTTCCCTAAAGACCATACATTTCTTGGGCAGCTTTCATTTCCTACAGAGTGAGGCAGGTGTGACAAGATGCTGCTGTTTCCATTCATCACGGAACAATCCAGATAGGCAATAATGAACCCAGGGCTCCCCACTGGCTTGGGTGAAGCTTTGGAGGGCCTACCTCAAAGTCCAGCTTCTACCTTGCCCACTCCTGTTTCTGCCCCTTCCTTTCACAGGTGTTGATGCCTAATAAACATCTTGTACTCCAGAGTCCATCTCAGCACTGCAGCCCAAGAACCCAACCCATGACACACGGGTGTACTGATGCACACACACACTCCTGAAACCCAGACAATCCTTTAAAACTATCTTTTTAATAAACAGAAACCAGCCAAGTTTGATTATAAAGAAAACCAATCGTGCATTGAGACCTATGGGATTAGCAGGGTCAGGGGTATCTATAGAGTTGGGAAGGATTACCACTGATATTTTCTTCCAATTTCTTTTATTGTGGTAGAATACACATAATCTAAAATTTACTATCTTGGCTATTTTTAGGTGTACAGTCCAGTGACAATAAGTACATTTACATTGTGGGCTACAATTGCCACCAACCATGTGCAGAACTCTTTTTCGTCTTGTAAAACTGAAATTCTATACCCATTAAATAACAACTCCCCATTCTCCCTCCCCCCAGCTTCTGGCAACTACCATTCTACTTTCTGTCCATGAGGGTTGACAAATCTAGATAACTCATGTAAGTGGAATCATACAGTATTTGTCTTTTAGTGACTGGCTTATTGCACTTAGCACAATGTCCTCCAGATTCATCCATATCATAGCACTTATCAGGATTTCCCCTTTTTCAAGGTTGAATAATATTTTATTGCATGTATATAACACATTTGATTTATTCAATCATGTTTCAATGGATACTGAGTTGCTTCTACTTCTTGGCTATTATGAATAATGGTGCTATGAATGTGGGTGAACATGGGCGTACAAACATCTGTTCCAGTTCCTGCTTTCAATTATTTCAGGTGTATGCCCAGAAGTGGGATTGCTGGATCATATGGTAATCCTGTTTTTAATTTTGTGAGAAACTGCCACACTGTTTTCCACAGCAGCTGTACCATTTTACACTCCCACCAACAGTGCACATGAGTTCCAATTTCTCCATATCTTTGCCAACACTTCACTCTTTTTTGATAGCAGCCAACTTAATGGGTATGCAGTGATATCTCATTGTAATTTCATTTGCATTTCTCTAGTGATTAGTGATGCTGAGCATCTTTTCAACTGTTTATTGGACACTTGTACATCTTCTCTGGAGAAGTGTCTATTCTAGTCCTTTGCGCATTTTTGAATCAGTGATTTTTGTTGTTGTTGCTGAGTTTTAGGAATTATCTATATATTATGAATATTAATCTATTATCAGATATATGATTTGCAAATATTTTTTCTCACTCTGTGGGTTGCCTTTTTACTATACTGATGGTGTCTTTTGATGTACAAAAATGTTTTTCATTTAAGTCCAATTCATCTATTTTTCCTTTTGATGCCCGTGTCTCTGGTGTCATATCCGATAAATAATTGCCAAATAAAATATCATGAGGCTTTTGCTCTAAATTTTATTCTAAGAGTTTTATAGTTTTAGTTCTTAAAGTTAGGTCGGAGACTCATTTTAAATTTTTATATGGTGTAAGGTAAGGAATGTACCTAACATTAATTGTATTCTTTTGCACTTGGATACAGAGTTTTCCTAGCGGCATTTATTGGAAAGACTGTCTTTTCCTCCATTTAATCATCTTGGCACTCTTGTCAAAAATCATTTGACCACATATGTGAAGGTTTACTTTTGGACTCCTCTATCCTCTATTCTATTCCATTGATGTATAAATCTATCTTTATGCCAATACCACATTGCTTTGACTCCTACAGTTTACAGTAAGTTTTGTAATCATAAAGTATGAGTCCTCCAGGTTTGTTCTTTTCCAGGATTTCTTTGGCCATCTAGGGTCCTTTCAATTACATATGAATTTCAGGATGGCTTTTTGTATGTCAGCAAAAAAAGCATCGTTGGAATTGTCACAGGGATTGTGTTAAGTCTATAGATCGCTTTGTATAGTATTGAAAACAATATTAAATCTTCTAATCCATAAACATAAGATGTGTTTTCATTGATTGATACCTTCTTTCAGAAATGTTTTACAGTTTTCACTGTACAAGTTTTTCACTTCTTTGGTTAAGCTAATTCCTAAGTATTTTATTCTTTTTAATTCTCAATTTTCTTTTCAGATTGTTGTTAGTGGATAAAAATGCAATGTATTTTTGTTTGTTGACTTTGTGTCTTATTGCTTTGTTGAATTCATTTATTACTCCTTACAGATTTTTTTTTTTGGTGGAATCTTTAGGGTTTTCTACATGTAAGTTCATATCATCTGTAATACAGTTTGTATGTTGTCCCCTTCAAATCTGATGTTGAAATGCAATCCCCAATGTTGGAGATGAGTCCTAGTGGGAGGTGACTGGGTCATGGAAGCAGAACTCTAATGGCTTGGTGCTGTCCTCATGATAATGAGTGTGTTCTCATGAGATCTGTTTGTTTAAAAGTGTGTGGAACCTCCCACACCCTCCTTCTCTTTTGCTTCCGCTCTGGCCATGTGACATGCCTGCTCATGCTTCACTGTCTGCCATGAGTAAAAGCTCTCTGACACCTCCCCAGAAGCCAAACAGATATTGGCACCATGCTTGTGTGACTTTCAGAACTGTGAACCAATTAAACCTCATTTCTTTATAAATTACTCTGTCTCAGGTATTCTTTTATAGCAATGGAAGAATAGCCTAATACAATCTGCAAACAGATATAATTTAATTTCTTCATTTTCAATTTGGATGCCTTTATTTTTCTGGTTGAATTTTTCTGGCTAGGACTTTAAGTACTATGTTGAATACAAGTGGTGAAAATGGGCATACTTTCCTTGTTCTTGATCATAGAGGCAAATCTTTCAGTCTTTCGTCACTGAACATGATGTTCAATGTGGGTTTTTTATATGTGGCTCTTATCATGTTGGGGTAGTTTCTTACTTTTCCTAGTTTGTTGAGTGTGTGTGTCTGTGTGTGTCTGTGTGTGTGTGTTTAAACCACAAAGGGCTTGAAATGTGGCAGATGCTCTTTCTGCATCAACTGAGATGATAATGTGTTTCTTCCTCTTCTTGCTCTGCTGTGATGTATTGTATTGGTTGATTTTTGTGTATAGAACCATCCATACACTCCAAGAATAAATCTCGCTTGGTCATGATGTATAATTCTTTTAATATACCGGTGAGTTTGGTTTGCTAGTATTTCGTTGAAGATTTTTGTAGCAATGTTTATAAGGGATATTGGTCTGTAGTTTTTTTGCAATGTCTTTGTATCAAGGTAATGCTGGCTTCATAGAATGAGGAAGTGTTCCCTTTTATTTAATTTTTTTGAAAAGTTTGAAAAAGATCGGTTTAGTTGTTTAAATTTTTGGTACTATTCACCAGCAAAGTCATAAGGTCTGGGGCTTCCCTTTGCTAGGAGATTACTGATCACTGATTTAATCTCCTTACTAGTTTTAGGTCTATTCAGTGTTCATGACTTAGTCTCATAGGTTTTGTGTTTCTAGGAATTTGTCCATTTCACCTGAACTATCCAATGTGCTGGCATGCAATTGTTTATATTACTTGCTTATAATCCATTTTATTTCTGTAGACTTGATAGCAATGTCCTCACTTTCATTTCTGATTTTATTAATTTTAGACTTCTGGTTTTTTTTCTTAGTCTAGCTAAAATTTTGTCAATTTTGTTGATAATTTCAAAAATCACTTTTTCCCCTGATTTTCTAGTTTTTCCTTGATTTCTATTATTTTTCTGTTCTCCATCTCATTTATCTTTGCTCTAATCTTTATTCTTTCCTTCTGTTAGCTTTGGGGTTAGTGCGTTATTTTTCTAGTTTCTAAGTTGTAAGCTTAGACATTTGTCTTATTTTTAAATATAAGTATTTGTAGCTATAAAATTTCCCCTTAGTACTGTTTTCATTACTTCCATATGTTTGGATATGTTGTGTTTTTGTTTTCATTTGTCTTTTAAGTATTATCTAATTCCCCTTGTGTTTTCTTATTTAATCCAGTTGTTGCTTAAGATTGTGTTATTCAATTTTCACAAATTTTTGAATTTTTCAGTTTTCCTTCTGTTACTGATTTCTAATGCCATCCTATTGTGATCAGAGAAGACACTCTGTACAATGTCTGTCTTTTAAAATTTACTGAGACTTCATTTGTGGCCTTGCATATGGTCTATCCTGGAAAATGTCTCACGTGTACTTGAGAAGAATGTGTATGCTGTTGTTAGGTAGAGTGTTTGGCATGTATCTGTTAGATCCAGCTGGTTTACTGTTTTGTTCAAGTCCTCTGTTTTCTTACTTAACTTCTGTCTTTTGTCTCTTTGCTAGCATTTTTTATTTAAAGTCTATTTTTTCTGATATTAGTATAGCCAACTCTGCTCTGTTTTGGTTTACTATTTACATGGAATATCCTTTTCTGTCCTTTTACTTTTAACCTATTTGCATCACTGGTTCTAAAGTAAGTCTGTGAAGACAGTATATAGTTGGATTATGATTTTTTAAAACCATTTTGTCAACCTCTGTCTATTGACTAGGCTGTTTAATCCATTTACATTTAAAGTAATTACTGTTAAGGAGAGGTTTGATTCTGTCATTTTGTGACTTGTTTTCTATATG
This sequence comes from Homo sapiens, assembly GCF_000001405.40. Classification (NCBI taxonomy): domain Eukaryota; kingdom Metazoa; phylum Chordata; class Mammalia; order Primates; family Hominidae; genus Homo; species Homo sapiens. Next base: position 59,846,145 of record NC_000003.12, read on the forward strand.
CCTTATAGGTTTATTTTGTCCCTCATTTCCTGTATTCCTGTCTTCTTTTGTGTTTGGTTGATTTCTTGTTTTGATAATGAAATGATTAAATTCCTTTTCGATTTTTTCTGTATATTCTTTAGCTGTTGTCTTTGTGGTTACCATGGAAATTATATTTAACATCCTGAAGTTATTACACTGTAATTTGAATTTATGCCAGCTTAACTTCTATAACATATAAAAACTGTGCTACTTTAACAACATTATACCCTCCCCTTTCTGTTGTTGATGTCATAAAATTACATCTATATATCTTGACTTCCTCAAAACATCAACTAATAATTTTTATCCATTAGTCTCTTAAATTATATAGAAAACAAAACATGGAGTTATAAACCAAAGTTATAATAATATTGATTTTTAGACCAATATATTTTAAAAATCCGTTATTCTCTTAATTCATATAGAAACAAAAAGTGGAATTACATACCATGTTAAAATAACACTAGCTTTTCTACTTACAAATATATTTACCAATACAAAGACCTTTATTTCTTTATATAGCTTCAAGTTACTGTCTAGCATCACCTCATTTTAACCTTCTGGACTCCCTTTAGCATTTCTTGAAGGGCAGATCTAGTTCTAATAAATTTTCTCAGGTTTTATCTGGGAATGCCTTAATTTCTTCTTCACTCCTTTACTTCTTTTGCAGTACAGTTTTGTTGGATACGTGATTATTGGCTGACAGTTTTTTTTCTTTTACCACTTTGAATATCTGAGCCTTCTGGCCTGTAAAGCTTCTAATGAAAAAATCTGCTGATAATCTTAGTGAGGATCCCTAGTGCATGACAAATCTCTTCTCTTCTGCTGCTTTCAAAATTCTCTCTTTGTCTCTGACTTTCAATAGTAGTATTTATAATGTGTTTTGGTGTGAGTCTTTCAGGCTCACCCTATTTGTATTTTGGTGAGCTTTTTGATGTTCATATTCATGTCATTCAACAAATTTGGGAAGTTTTTATTCATTATTTCTTCAAATAATCTCTCTGCCCCTTTCTGTCTCCCTCTTTTCCTTCTGGGGCTCTCACAATGCATACGTTGGTTCACTTGATGGTGTACCACAGGTCCCTTAGGCTCTGTTCATCTTTCTTCAACTTTTTTTTTCTCTCTGTTCCTCAGACTTAATTTTCATTGACCTATCTTTAAATTCATTAATTCTTTCTTCTGCCTGTCAAAATCTGCCTTTGAGTTCTAGTGAATTTCTCATGTCAGTCATTATATTTTTCAGCTTTACAATTTATTTTTGGTTTCTTTGCATCACTCTCTCTTTATTGATGTTGCCCTTTTGATCAGACATTATTTTCTTGACTTTCCCCAATTATTCCTTTAGTTTTTTTGATCATCTCTATGATAGGTAGTTTAAGTATCTGGCTAATGGATCCATCATTAGGTCTTTTCAGCTCAGTGTCCATTGGTTTATTTATTTATTTTCCCTTTAATGCTTAATACGTTCCTGTTGCTCTATATGCCTTGTAATTTTATTTTTGTTGAAAACTGGACATATGAATCGAATAATATGATAATTCTTGAAATCAGATTCTCCCCCTTTGCTAGGGTTGCTGGTATTTGTTTTCATGTTTTTGATTGTTGTAGGCCAACTCTATAGCAAGGATCACTCTGAGGTATAAACTTAAAGTCTTTTCTGAGCCAGTGCCTTGCCTGGAACATGCACAGTAGCTATCTAAAGTCTCCCACATATGTAGTTGCTTTTGAATGTCCTAGTTTTCAATATCTGGGTCCCAAAAAGGGAAAGAAGAAAAATTAAGGGAAGCGAAAAAAGGCATCAGCCCTTTAAATTCCCTAGGAGTCACTTCAGCTAGAGAGGAAGGTACAACAATAATGGCTACCACCTCTTTTTTGTACCTCTGTGATTGAAAACGGCAATCAGTAATCAGAATACAGATCCCAATATTTGCAGGATAGAGTCCTTTTTGCCCACCGTGGCTCCCACAAGCCATGTGCAAACCAGGAGTACATGCACAGCTGCCTGCCATGGGGCTGAAAGATGGGGAATGGGTAGTTATTACTGTGCTAAGAACTGAAATTGATTGAAATTAATCACAATTTGTGCCCCTTTCCCTGGAATATTCAGGCCTTCAGTGGACTCCAGAGTTCCAAAATAGCTACAACAGACAGATTCTGCCAATGCAATTGTTATCTATGTGGAAATACAGATTTCTCAAGCTTCATACTCTATAATCTTCCCATCAATTATATTTTAATATACCTATGTTTATAGGGAAAGAATGCCAAAAAGATTTAAAAAAATCACAGACCTTTAATAGCTCTTTGGGGATTTTTGAGCAATTTCAGTAATCTTCTAAAATAATATTTAGAATATCTTCTAAAATAATAGAGATCTTAGAAATTATAAAGACAAAAAAGATTATTTGTGTTGACATTCAATACTTTTTCTTCTGAAATTCCCAAAGTACTTACATTTAGGATATATTAGATAAATTAGGTAACGCAATGGGAAGGTAAGCTATTCTAAGTTTTCCAGCCTTGTTATTATCCAGTAATAATGCCATTCAACTTGCTGGCACTTAGATTGTCTGAGGAACCTTTCCAAATATGGTGTCATATAAATGCCATTGTAAAGCTCTACCAGAATAGCATTATCAGATTCTTCCTTCAATGCCCAGTAACAATAAAACACTTGGGGAAAAAGATCTCATTTCAGAGTCCCTGTCTCTCATCCTTCACTCTTGAGTATTCAGCTGCATCTGTCATTCTTTGTTTTTATATTTCTGTTTATTCAAATATCACATGATCCTAAAACAGAATAAATCCTGTCATCATGCAAATTCCATTTAGGACAGTACTCTCATATATGAGGTCAGGTTCATATCCCTTTATAGGCAATCAAGCTAATGTATATAGTTGTTTGTTAAGAAATAAGATTCTCGGCCAGGCTCAGTGGCTCATGCCTGTAATCTCAGCACTTTGGGAGGCCAAGGCAGGCAGATCACTTGAGGCCAGGAGTTTGAGACCAGCCTGGCCAACATGGTGAAAGCCCATGGCTCCATTAAAAATACAAAAATTAGACAGGTGTTGTGGTGCACGTCTGTAATCCCAGCTACTCAGGAGGCTGAGGCATGAGAATCACTTGAGCCTGGCAGGTGGAGGTTGCAGTGAGCTGAGATCATGCTACTGCGCTCCAGCCTGGGTGACAGAATGAGACTCTGTCACAGAAAAAAAAAAGATGAGATTCTCCCATTATTAAATGCATATGAAAAAGATCAAATAATGCATGCGATATGAGTTGTGTCCAAACCACAATCTCATGGAGGCAAAATTATCAAGACTTCAATCCGATTGGTGGCTTGCAAACTACCCTAGGCCTCCAACCCACAAATATATACAGCCTCCAACCCACAAATATAAACAGACACAGATGAAATCTGGATGCTAGGAATTCGTTTCCTAAACTTTCCAACAGCACGTACCTGAGGGACTGTATGGAAGAGATGAAACAAGAGACATGTTTAGGAGGAAGGAGCTAGTTGTTTACCAATTAATGACGAACTATCTAAAACTTCTTTGCTCTCTAAAAGTAAGACTTGTAATGTTTTCAGAAATAAATATGGGTTATTCTTAATCAGGTATATTATAAGAGTAGCTTATAGAAGGAGATATGCATTGTTTCTGCAGTGAAGGAAAAAGCATAATTTAATTTTTGACAAAATCAGAAATATTATAAGGTATATGTTCAGCTGCAGAAGCTATAATACCTTTGACTTTAGTTCTTTAAAATAAATTATAGATACACAACTATATGCACTAACAGCCTAAAAGTAAGTCATGCTGGGTTTTTTTCCATACAATTTTAATTAGGTATATTTTTTCCAATGTGTTTTGAAATGATCTGCTAGGACCAAATGCTAACATGAAATTCCCTGCATGCTGGTAGTTAATTTAATAAAAATTAGAAAGGTGAAGCCCTGTTCCCTAGAGGGAGAAGGTCTTAACACAAAACATTCATTATTTCCACATAAATTGCAAAAAGTAAAGATGCTGGATTTAAAATCTAAGCAGGAAGAAACTGTCAACTTTCATTATCAGTGGACAAATGTTTTAATTTGCAATATTCCCTAGCAACTTTTTGAACAGACAACTTTACCTCTTTACCAACATCTACTTTAATTCCTAATTTGCAGCTGCATAAGTACTATGTTGGGCCCAAAGCTTTGGGTATATCTCTTAGAGGTAATGGAATCCTTGTTGTTTTCTGGCACTGCCTCATTAAAATGAAACTCAGACTCAGGGTAACCCTGAAAAACCTAAGCCCTCCAATAAAAAATGTGGTATATCCCTGCACTTAAATTACGCAGGAGAAGTGAAGGCTGGTACATCACACACAGAAGAGAAGCTAAAGGTCAAGCTATTAGAGTTAATGAGCCGATACAAGCTCAGGCTCTCTAACCAGAGAGGTTAGGGACAGAATACATGGCCACCCCAAGGAACTTTATTTAAGATATCAATTAAAAATGAGTCACCTCTCTTCTCAGCTCCTGCACTCAACACTGACACTGGGAACAATGACTGAAGGACTCACACATGTCTGAGAAAAGGCACCTTGTGGGTGTGACTTGCCACAAAAGCAAGAGTCTTTCTGCATTTGTAAATGTGTTGGTAAGGCAACAAAAAGAATACTACTGTGCAAGGGGAGGTAGAGGTGGTGATCCTGGCAACCTAAAAGCCTGATTGTATGTTCTAATCCATTCTGATGTCACCAAAGCTCCCCTTCGAGGGAATAACCTGGATTATGGCCAATACTTTCTACTTCTAATAGTCTTCCAGTTTCATTGTTCACAAGGGGTTGGTAAACAAAAATCAATGAAAAGAGCAGGGTCTTCTCTATTTTGGATTTGGACACTGATGATGAAGCTGTGATATTCTGATCCAGGACTCAATGGCTCCTCCTGGATCTTCTAACAAGGTCAATCTGGCTGAGTTCCAGACAGTCAGCTGATGGTCTCATATGAGGAATCTAAAGTTGATGAAGATGGTGGTAGTAGAGTGGTGTAATCCTCATAGCTCAAAAACGATCAGAGCTCATTAATTATTAACTAACTAGAACTTTTATGGCTCATTAGCTACTGGTTAAATGTCAGGTAAAATGTAATATTTAATAGAAAATGTTAAGATTAGAAATATGCAGAGCATTTCTTATGTGCCAGACCTATGCTAAGTATTTCATATCCATTATTGTACTTGATCCTTACAACTCCCATGCAAGGGACCTATGTTTATCTCAATTTAACAGAGAAGAAGGCAAAGTGTGAAAAACTAAGTAACTTGTCTTAAGTTAAACAGCTAATGGAGTGGTAGACTTGAGCTTCAAACCCAGGTTTAGCCAACTCCAAGCCCATTCAATTATCACTTGATACACACCCAACCTATGTAATACTTAGCTTTGTTCTTAGTCATTGTTGCAAAGCTCATTTCACCCCTCAGTCAGGCTTATTACATTCATTCGTGTTCTCAAGAGACAAGAGGGTCTTGCCCAAAACTACAGAATATCACTATCACAAGTTGCCATTCCCACTAGAATTTACCTTGATCCCCAGTGATGCTACATGCATTATTATGTTAGTTTCTTCTTGGAGGTGTTATTTTTAAACTGCAAGATTAAAGCTCCTACAAGCTTCTGACAACATGAAAATCAGACACGACTTTGCAGTCTTTTTAAAACAAACTAGTAAGAAGGTCCCAATTAAGAGAAAAAGAGTAGTCACACATACCTGTAGAACTGATTGTAATTTACCCTTTCATCTTGCTCTAAAACACATTCCTTGAGTCTCAGTTTAGTAGAGATAAGATTCACCCAGTCGGGGGATATTAGTTCTTCCTGGATATTTTAATTAAACTGTTACATTGAGTAGTTCTGAAAATCACATATAATCATTCAAGGTATGGTGGAGTTCTGTTCTCCAGCATATGGCTCTCCACCCAGCCACATTCCATCTCCTTAGGTAAACTAGCTGGAGGCCTTCAGTGTAAGCTCTTTAATTTTTAAACTCTTGGGTGGTGCTTTGTTCTTCGGGTAGAGAGTAGAGCAAGAGAACGAATTACCAAACAGTAATATTACCCCCATCGACAAGCGGGTGGTGTTTATATCACACATACTATATACCAAGAAATGCGCCACACCTTTTACATGAATACTCATTTTAAAACAGTAAAGACTTTATATTTAGAGAAGTTTTAGGTTTACAGCAAAACTGATAGTAAGGTACGGAGATAGCCCACATATCCCCTGCCCCACATATGTTGCCTCCCATATTAACTTCCCCCCACCAGACTGGTACATTTGTTACAATTTGTGAACCTACAAGGACATATCACCCAAAGTCCATAGTTTACAAGAGGATTCAGTCTTGGTGTTGTACATTCTATGGGTTTGGGTAAATGTATAATGGCATGTATCCACCATTACAGTATCATATAGAGTAGTTTCATTGTCCTAAAAGATCCTCTGTGATCCGCCTATTCATCCCTCCCTCCCTCCTAATCCTTGGCAACCACTGATCTTTTTATTATCTCCATAATTTTGCCTTTTCCAGAATTCCATATAGTCAGAATCATGGAGCATGCAGCCTCTTTAGGTAGGCTTCTTTCACTTAGTAATATACATTTAAGTTTCCGCCATGTCTCTTCATGGATTGATAGCTAATTTGTTTTTGGCACTGAATCAGAAACCCTTGTTGGGATGTACCACAGTGTATTTATCCATTCACCCACTGAAGAATTTCTTGGTGGCTTCCATGTTTTGGCAATTAAGGATAAGACTGCTATGAACATTCATGTGTAGATTTTTGTGTGGCTATGTTTTCAACTCCTTTGAGTAAATATCAAGGAATACAACTGCTGGATCATGTTGTAAGAGCATGTAGTTTTGTAAGAAATCGCCAAACTGTATTCCAAAGAGGCTGTAATATGTTGCATTCCCAACAGAAATGAATGAGAGTTCCTGTTGCTTCACATCCTCTCTAGCATTTGGCATTGTCAGTGTTCTGATTTGGGCTCTTCTAATAAGTGTGTGGTGGTATCTCACTGTTTGAACACTCATTTTTGAAATATCCACATAGGCTATTATGATCTTCATTTTACAGTTCAAGAAGCTGAAACTCAAAGAATGTAGATATTTCAAACTGGCCATTGTAAGCTAGAGCCAAGATTCAAACTCAAGTTTGGTGAATTTCATAGCCTATACTTTCTATCATTGAGGTACATCTTGTTTTCTCAGTTGTATTATGTGATTTGCAAGTCCTATGAATAATATATTTAAATTATACCAACATGAAAACTAAGTGTAATCTTCAGTCAATAAAATATCCACTAAATACTTCAAAATATGAAACTGGAAGCTTATCTAAATGAACTAATTCTTTAATATCACCATGAAAGGATGATGTTTTAAATTAAGAAGTGAAGAATTTATAGTTTCCAGATTGAGAATAATTTCCACAAATTTTTATTTTCATCATATTCTATTGTGGGTGTGCATGTGTGTGTGTGACAGACACATATGCAGACACAGAGATATGGGGACACACACATAGACACTTTCCATCTCATGCCATGTTGGAACTTCCCAGAGACAGTTAAAATTAGCTAGCTAATTTCCATAAACTATCAAAATAAAATTATACTTATTGAGAGTCTAGAGTTCCTGTCATGAAGACTTAGCAGTTAAAAAGCATGGAAGTCATGGAATCTCAGTGCTCCTTCGTTGCAATCCACACTCCTGCTACAATTAGAATCCCACCAATAGATAAAGTCATCAGGAGCTAATTAGTCCACGTGTAAAAAATAAAAATAAGACAAAGAACAGACTTCTAAAAAAAACAAAAACAAACAAAAAACAACAACAAATCATTTGAACCATTGGGTACTTCGAGTACATGAAAATTGTGAAGTAAATTAATTAGCTTTGCATTGATTGGTATCAAAAGTCGTTAGCCCTGCACTGCAAGGAAATCCCCAGAAGCCTAAGGTGCATGAAAGAAAAAGGCTGGGAAGGAAATCAATCTCTGCTCTTCAACGCTGATGCTTTAAAGGGTCCCTGCTGTATAACTCGCCCGGAAGCATTCCAGGGGGAAGAACCCACAGATTTATATCTGCCACACGTGTCACTGAACACAAATACGTCTGATAAATAATTGAAGCTCGGTATTGTGCTTACGTCGCATGTGCAAAAAAACAGGGACAGGAAGGCAAAGAGGTCAAGTTTCCCATCTGACTTTCCAATGAGCATCCCAATCATCACTTAGGTCATTATTCTACCTCGTGAAGTGTCAGAACTCATTGTCTTAGGGAATCCAGGTGCTGGCATCACATATTTAGCAAATCTCATTTCCCTCTCTCTCACACCGCAGAGCACTCTCTAGTCCAAGCACAGTGCAGGGCAGAATCCAGAGCTTATTTTATTTAATCCTCACAATTTTGTGATTTTTACAGATGAAAAAACTGAGGTCTGGGGAATAGAATTGTTTTTCACAGGCACAAAGCTGGTAATTGGTAGATCTGGGATTTGAACCGAGGTCCAGGAAACTCTAGAGCCCATATTATTGCCATACTAGGCTCCCTCTCTAAATAACTTTCTCATTAAGTGAGCAGAGAGAGAGGAGCCAGACTGCCCTGAGGCCTTTGGTATTAATAGGAGGCTAAGAAGCTCATGCAGCTAAGTCTCTTTATCCAACGGCACATCCCTGGAAGGAGAAAATGGGCTCTGTTGGAATCCTTCCACTGACAGGAAGCTCTCTACCTCACATAACTACAGACCTGATTACTAAAAAGACTTTGGTTTGCCTTTCCAAAACTCATATCCAGTGATCACAATTGTGGCCTCTGAAGCAGTTTGATTCAATACTAATTGCACTCAGTACTTGGATCTATCATAACTGTAACATTAAACAATGTTTTCCCCTCGCAGGGTTCTTTTGAGGATACAGTGAGTATTAAAATGGGCTGGTACATAGTAAGAATTTGCCCAATGTTAATTATAAAAATTTTCCTGATATTACTTGGTAAGTTATTCTGTTAAATGGAATAAACACCCATGAATGCCACATATAAACCAACAGCTTTGACCCTCATAATGACCCCCATCTATCCATGTTGTCCTCCCCCATTTATCTTCTTGTCTCCAAGGTCATTATGTTCCTGAGTGCCAGGTTCATCTTTCTTCTTACAGGGTTTTATTGCATGTATAATTGGTCCTAACATGCTTTATAATCTAAGCTGTTTTAAATTTTATAAAAAGGATTCCATCCTTATTTAATCTTATGCTATCCTCACAAACTTATTTTCCCCCACTTGATATTTTACTATGAAGAAATTAAAAGTTACCTACAACTGAATAATAATGAAATGCTACATATTAAAATCTGTACTTATAATAGAAGATAGCCTCAATGTTAATAAGGTGTCAATCTTAAGTATACAAAAACTGAACAAAATAAGTTCATATTTAGCAAAAGAAAAACCACAATAAATATGAGCACAAATTGATGAAATAGAAAAATATTTTCTAGAAAAGATCAAAAAAGTCAAAAGTAGATTCTTTGATAAAATAATTAATAGATAAACCTTTTTTTGTTTTTTTTTTTTGAGACGGAGTCTTGCCCTGTCGCTCAGTCTGGAGTGCAGTGGCACTAACTTGGCTCACTGCAAGCTCTGCCTCCCGGGTTCATGCCATTTTCCTGCCTCAGCCTCCCAAGTAGCTGGGACTACAGGCGCCCGCCACCACGCCCGGCTAATTTTTTTGTATTTTTAGTAGAGACGTGGTTTCACTGTGTTAGCCAAGATGGTCTTGATCTCCTGACTTCGTGATCCACCCGCCTCGGCCTCCCAAAGTGCTGGGATTACAGGTGTGAGCCACCACGCCCAGCCAATAGATAAACCTTTGACAATATCGATTAAAAGAGGAAGATGTTTTGAATGAAAAAGTGAATATTTATTACAACTAAAATAATAAATGGCTATTGTCAACAACTATCTGTCAAAATTTTTAAAAATTTAGATGAAATGTATAAATGCCTAAAAATTTATAACTAACCATAATGGACCCAAGAAATAACAAAAAGTTTATATAGCCCTATGGCTATTAAATAAATTAAGGTAATTGTTAAAATTTTTTTTGCAAAGAAAACATCACACCAGGTGATTTTACACGCAAATTTTTCCCAATGTTCAAGGAAGACATCATTCCAATTTTATGCAAACTCTTCCATATGATAGAAAAAAAGAGATTATTCCCCATAGATTCTGTAAATCAGTATAACCCTGTTACTAGGACCAGGCATAAAAATCACAAGGGAGGAAAATTACAGCCTTCTCTCACAAAGGAATATAGATGCAGACCATTCTTCTTAGTAGTATACTCAATTGTAAGGCATAACAAATTTTATTTCCAATATACAAGTAGCAGTGTAACATTACAGAAAGATTTCATTAGCTTTGGAATGTACCATTTTTCTAGCTGTATAATGTAGCAATGTTATCTAATTTCTCTAAGACTCAGTTTCCTTCTTTGCAAAATGGCTTTTTATAATATCTATCTAATTCTGTGGGAATTAAGGAAGTAAACAATATAAAGCCCTTAGCTCAGAGTCTGGAAGTAACAGTAAGCAATAATAAGTTACAGCTTCTATTTATCAAGTACTTAGCTCCCCGGCTGAGTATTTTTTTTTTTTTTAACTCTCCTTTAATCCCCACAACCACCCTGAATGGTGGAGATTATGCTCAATTAGTGAATAAAGAAACTGAGTCAAGTGGAATTTCAACAACTCACCCAAAGTCACATAAGTTGCAAAAAGTCACGCTAATGTAACAATCGCAGTCTCTGAATACTGATGCCTGGGGTCCTTTCAAATGTGGAGCTGATATTACCAGCTGCTATCGGGGACACAGCACTTCCTCTGAGGGGCACTGGAGTTCCTTCCACAAGGCATGGAATGTGTTCACCTTTTCAGGGGAAGCAGTTTTCAAGTTGGGGTTTGATTTGTGACATGTGAGATTAAATTGCAGCATTTCTAATGGAAAGGCTTCAGAGGGCAGGAATGAGCGATACACTGTCATTTCTCCATCTCTGCGTGAGGAACCTTAAGCACTAATGAGATCAGATATGTCACCGCAACTCTCTCCACTCTGCCACAGATTCCAGGTCAGAATATTTTTTTTTTTAAACATTCTGGCCACTTCACTGCCTACCTGCAACTCTCTACCACGTTCCTGACATATAAGATTTATGATAATTTACCTTAGGCAGGGCTTGGAGTTTTATTCCACCAGGTTATCAAAAATGTTGCCAATAATCTCTTTCATATTTTCATAGGACAAGATTATACAAATAATATTCCACCCTATTCTTTCCCTAGAGAAACTTACATATCGATTAGACAGGGAGGCCTAACAAAGATTCAAGAGTCAGTTTGTCCTATGAGCGTGGAAAACACCACTCCTGTTAAAGATTACAGAGTGACGTCACTTATGACTATGCTGTGCAAAGTGCTGGGTTTTTTTTTTTTTTTTTGTATCCTAAGGGGCTTTATGCTTGTCTTTGTACTATTGGTGCCTTGGGAAGGAAAACAAGAATGCATTTCTCAACATTTATGTCTGCAGCGATACTGGGAACTGTGAATGCTAACATATTTTTAAAGAGCTCTGATAGAGAGAAACCAGGTGGTGAAAGAAGGTAGTGAACAAGCCTGGATACAGAAAGGTTTAGAGTAGAACTTACGGGCGCCACCTGCTGGTCCCCTGACACCACTGCCCAGAGCTTCCAGTTCCCCTAATTGGAGTCTCAGCTTTATGGCCAGTTGGCTCAGCTGAATATTATTAAATGATTTCTGTCTTCAACTATGCTTAGACACAGCCTTGGAGACAAGTAAGTAATGCAGAGAGAGTAAAAGGGAGTGAGTAGATGTCAAAGAATGGTTTGCCCATTCAACATATGTGTGACTGCTGTGAAAGGTGTATGGGAGTTTCCCACATCATCTATCAGCAAAAAGACATAAATGGTGATCTTCCTTCCTTTTCCCACCTTCTTTTTTTTTTTTTTTTTTTTTTTTTGAGATGGAGTGCTGGAGTGCAGTGGAGCGATCTCGGCTCACTCCAACCTCCACCTCCTGGGTTCCAGTGATTCTCTTGCCTCAGCCTCCCAAGTAGCTGGGATTACAGGCGCCCGCCACTACGCCTGGCTAATTTTTTGTATTTTTAGTATAGACGGGGTTTCACCATGTTGGCCACGATGGTCTCAAACTCCTGACCTTGTGATTCACCTGCCTCGGCCTCCCAAAGTGCTGGGATTACAGGTGTGAGCCATCGTGCCCAGCCTTTTCCCTTTCTTTCTTGGAGAGAAATGATAGCATCTGAGGAGGCAGGAGCGAGGGGTGTCTTGTGGAGGTGGGTAGTGATGGCAGCCTGCTCTGTAACTGAACATGCAGGGCAACGTGGGGAGAGGGGTGCTGCATGGATGGGGGCAGTGGTGTTTCTAGTGTGTGAGGAAGCAGAGCAGAGGATGAGATGTACGCAGGTGGTGGGCAGTGAAGGCTAATATTGAACAAATGAGTATATATATTAAGGATAATGGGAACCAAGTTTCTGTCAGAGAAGGTATTTATAAATGTGGAAGGGGGAAAAGACTTAGATTTGAATTGAAGATACTGATATGAATTCATGTGGCTTATGTGTAAACATATACACATACCCAGATATGGAAATAATAATAAGTGTGTGTTTGTGTGGACTTATATGTACATATTTCCTAGCTCTGTGTTGACTGGGTCTCAAAGCATTGACATCACAGGAACAATAAGCATGCTAAGCACCCAGATCTTGATTTCTAAAATCATTCTACACGGACAGGAACCAGAGCTGCTTGGAGAAGTGGCTGATTCCAAGGCTGGACAGGGACAGTATAAGATGATCCTGGAGCATCTTTTTTGTACCAGAATATAAAGAAATGCTCAAAGAATGATGGGGAGATCTGGCAAGTACCAACTGGACCAGGTGATCAAGTGGGGATACGGTCAGTGTGGTTGCCTTCTGATGTGATATGCTGAGAAGAGCTCAGCAGCGTTTTTGTGGAATTCCTGCCAAGATGGCATGGAAGAATACATGACTTGAGTCTAATAATGAAGAAACAGTGGAAGCTCCAGAGAAAGAGTCATCCTACAGGAAAAAAAGACCTATACTCTTTAAGGCAGGAAAACACGAGACAGGGAAAGAATAAAAATCCATTCCAGGCTGGGTGCTGTGGCTCACGCCTGTAATCCCAGCACTTTGGGAGGCTGAGGCGGGTGGATCACCTGAGGTTAGGAGTTCAAGCCCAGCCTGGCCAACATGGTGAAACTCCGTCTCTACTAAAAATACAAAAAATTAGCCAGGCATGGAGGTGTGTGCCTGTAATCCCAGCTACTCCAGAGGCTGAGGCAGGAGAATTGCTTAGAAGCTGGGAGGCGGAGGTTGCAGTGAGCTGAAGATCGCGTCACTGCACTCCAGCCTGGGCGACAGAGGGAGACTCTGACTCTCAACAAACAAACAAACAAACAAAACCATTCCAGATTGGAGGAAACTGATGAAAAATAATAATTAAATGCAGTGTATGTTTCTGTATAGCATCCTGGACCAAAAAAGAAAATGTCATCACTGAGACAGTTGGCAAAATGTGAATGGGGCCTGTGGACTGAATGGTAGTGCTGTATCAGTGTTGATTCCTGATTGGAAGTGTTTTTATAATAGTAATGAGAAGAGTGCTCTTGTTTTGGGAAGGTAATCAAACACCTGAAGAGTGATGGAGCATCATATCTGAAAGGGAATATCTATATATTGATCTCTCTGAATGAAAGAGAATTAAAATGTTGCAAGGTGGATAATCAGGGTGAAAGGATACCGCAGTTCTTGCTACCCTTCTGTCGGTTTGAAACAGCTTCAGAATTAAAAAAAATACTAAAAGTGCTGAGCTCTGAGAAGAAGAAAATAGCATAAGTTTAATGGGAAAATTATGTTATACATGATTAGAATCCTTCTTTGTTTTCTGAGAAGACCCTTTGTTGGGAAGAATTGATGATCAGGAATGCAAATGAGAATGGCCAAAGGACAGCTAGCTGACTTACAAAAAGAAAAAGAAGATTCGGTATAAAGAAGGAGAGAAGGGTGACCAGGTATGCAAGGAGAAAAACTGATTGCTAGATATTGAGAGAGAGTACTTGCAAACAAGCAAACAGTTGCCATAGGGAATGGAACTTGTAGGGAAAAGAAGGATGTTGGAGAAAAGTTGAATAAATTTTGAAGTGTTAGGTGTAATATAATTCTTCTGTTATTCCAAATCACCACCCATAACATCCACACCCTTCATCAACACCCTTAAGACACAGGTATTTATTTGTTTACCTTGTTTGTTTGATTTAATGAAAAGTATGAGACTGACTGGAGAACAGGTGCTTGGTGAGCACAGGGCAGTCAGTGTGTATCAGTATGTTTGTGTTTATTATGAAAAGTGAGATAAAACATCTACATAAATAGTTCTAATACAGGGTAGAACAGAATAAAAAGGAGCCACCAGAGAGTGTCAGATAAGGTGTGAGGAAACTTCAGAAAATAGAAGGAAAAAGAATATTTACATTCCCCAAGCTCCTTCTCTGAACCAGAAGGTGGGAATTATACATTGAAATAGCACGGTATGAAAATCCAGTAATGATCCATGATCCCCCAGCTAGTAAATGGCAGAGCCCAGGTCCATAGAACCCGAAAGATCTCTTTTTTTCCTACTATAGTGGGCTGCCTTGTGCCTGGGTCTGAAGAGAAGAGGAAGAAAGAGGGGAGTCTGATGGACAAAGCTCTGTGGAGGACGTGGCACTGAGCAGAAACTTGAAACAGAGCTTGACTGGCTGGCAGGATGAGAAGAATGGACTCTTGGCTGAAGGGGAAGCAAGCACAAGCACATAGAGATGAGGAAGCATGGGTGGTGGTATATAGGGTAAGTGCAATCTATTTCAAAGACAGCTAAAACACAAGATGACCCATTCCATGGCAAACATGGACACCAACACCATGTACAAAGATGATGAGGGTGAGGAAGATTGAGACGTCAGTTATACTGATTGGGAGGCTGTGGAATAGGCAGCACTGGCAATACTTCTGTGCCCTAATGTCATTCTCTGAAGCTCAAGGCCAAACCCACTGGGGCCAAACTCACACAGAAACATTTATTTTCAGACATCATTTAAGGAAGGCAACACCTGAAAGATGGAAGGGCTCAGTGCAAACTTCCAGGGTGCTATTTTTGAAAATGCAGAAACTCCCAGTTTGGAAATATTTTCTTAAAAATTTCCCCATCATTATTAGCACTTCTGCCAAATAATCACTAACTAAAAATATTCCCTCCTTGATAATGCACAGATAAGGTCTCTGCACTGAGGAGGAACAATAAAGGAAGGTGATGAATTGCAAATCAATCATAATTTATGCAGATACTCTACTGAAAATCACATTCATCACCTTTTCCAAATAGCGCCACATGAATTTCCTGAAGTACAAGAAGTCTATTTTCATAAATTAGACCTTAATTTCTTTCTCTCATCAATATATTTTTATGCCAAAAAGTTAAATAGTAAACAATACAGCTGAGGAAGAAATTATGAACTAGAAGAACATGAAACATGGTATTCAGAAGGAAAAAAAAATAGTCAAATATATTTTCTATGGCCTTTGCTTTGTGTTAAAGTGTGTGTTTTTTCCCCAAAGGATTATGTGATGTAATTGGTACTAGTTGGATGATGAATATAAACAAAAAATGCCAAATTATCACAAGATGCCTTTGGGAAAAAAAAAAACCTGTAACTGATGCTACAGTGTACCCTGCCAGTATTTTTGAAAGCAAAACTGTACTAGTTCATTTTTACACTGCTATGAAGAAATACCCATAGCTGGGTAATTTATAAAGAAAAAGAGGTTTAATGGACTCACAGCCCCACATGGTGGGGGAGACCTCACAATCATGGTGAAAGGCAAAGGAGAAGCAAAGGCACATCTTACATGGTGGCAGGCAAGAGGCCATGCGCAGGGGAGCTGCCCTTTATAAAACCATCAGATCTTGTGAGACTTACTCACTATCACAAGAACAGCACGGGAAAAACCCGCTCCCATGATTCCCACCAGGTCCCTCCCACGACACATGGGGATTATGGGAGCTACAATTTGAGATGAGATTTGGGTGGGAACACAGCCAAACCATATCAACAATCATAACAGCAATCAGCCAGCTAAGACCAATGACCATCCAGCAAGACTCACTTGCTATTTCTCTGTGTTATCTATGTCAAATGGCACCTTTTTTCTTAGCATCCCGTTTGTAGAAGAGCAGACACAGAGAATGTTTCACAGGTCCCCATTCTGGGGATTATTGGCTGGGTATTTAAATATACTTTTCTTAGGCTGGGTTCCTCTAAAGCAAACCCTGAAGACAAGACTTTGAAGGCAAGTAGTTGATTTAGAAGGTAATTGCAGAAATCACCACTAGTGGAGTGAGGAAGTAAGATCGGGAGGGAAGAAAATGTGTGTTATTAAACATGTGATTGCTGTGGGCAAGAGGGACTCCGTTTCACTGGGAAACACTATAGATACGTTTCCCAGTTATTCCTCCACAAGAGCAAAGGAGCCTGGGTACTTACTCACCAACTTCCATGAGTCATTCTGATAACTGCTACCAAGGGGTGACGGGGTAGGATGTGGGCTGGGAGATTAAATTCCTAGCACTTTCAGGCTAGTTTGCACTGCACAAACACGAAGTAGACACCAGTGACTAGAAAAAGACAACAGCCAGAATGTAATAGTATTTAAAGATGGAAGCCAGGGGACAATGTGTAGAGGAATAGTCCTATCCGAGGAATAGTCCTATCCAAGGAATACGGGCAGTACACTGCAACAGGGCCCTTTTAAGGTGAGATATTTAGAAACCTGGGTCAATGCTTGTCTCCATGCCAATGCAGTTACCCACTCCCTCTCAGCCCCAGCCACTCTACGATAAAGTCTTAATGAACATCAGAGGGACGTTTCAGGGCCTGCTTTGTGACGCACATCACCCCTTAGACTACTCCAGTGCTCACTGATGTCCCAAATAACAAGTCCTCTAAATTATTGGTGGTTTGGTCTAATTATCTGCTGAAAGCATTCAAAACCATTGGGTATCCCTGAAGGAGAAAGTCACAATGCTGCATAAGAAGAAACAACGCCTGCAACGGATAACTTATTTGCTGTCATATGATCCTATAGCATCCTACAGATCTCCTTCCATTAGCATCCATCACATCTGTAATTATTTCCTTTTCATTATCTGTCTTCCCTGAGTGACCATAAACCCAATGAAGCCAGAGACCATGCATGATTATTCATTCACAGCTCTACTCCCTGTGTCTAGCTCATAGTAGGGAGTCACTCAATACTTCTGAATATGAAAACAAGTGAATGAATTAAGATTATTACCGTCATCCAGCAGGCAAAATGGATTACATAGCTAAGGGTCTGTTCTTCTGAAGTACCTTCTTATAAAGGATAAAAAAAGGTGCTCCTTCTTCCAGGCAGATGAAGCTCTGAGCCAGAGCTCATTGCTTAACCAAAGCATTGCAGCTCAAATTCAGCTCCTGCTCACCCATTGGCAAGGTGCCTGCGGTAGTTTTAAGAGCCATCAACAAATATTTCTAGCTTGTCTTCTTCCTGCTGAATGAAAAGTTTGCCCTTCCCTGCTCCCTTGAAATTAGATGTGGCCATGTGGCTTGCCATGGCCAATGAAGGAAAACAGATATGATCCCATTCTAGGTGGAAGCCTTTATGAGTTCGTGCACAATTTACCATATTTGTTTCTTTCTGCCATGACAACCAGCAAGATCGCAGATGGCAGACAGTGATCGGCCTATATTCTTAAAAGGAAGAGACATATACACAGTACCTAGCTAACCCACAAAAGGCATATGATATGTTTTGGCTGTGTCCCCACCCAAATCTCAACTTGAATTGTATCTACCAGAATTCCCACATGCTGTGGGAGAGACCCAGTGGGAGGTAATTGAATCATGGGGGCTGGTCTGGCCCACGCTATTCTTTCGATAGTGAAGAAGTCTCACAAAATCTCATGGGTTTATCAGGGGCTTCTGCTTTTGGTTCTTCCTGATTTTCTCTTGCTGCCACCATGTAAGAAGTGCCTTTTGCCTTCCACCATGATTCTGAGGACTCCCCAGCCATGTGGAACTGTAAGTCCAATTAAACCTCTTTTTCTTCCCAGTCTTGGGTATGTTTTTATCAGCAGCATGAAAACAGATTAATATAGCATGTTAGAAATATACTTGTATTGTTTAAATATTGGCGCTCTTCATTCCTGCAGCATATCTAGCCCACTCTGGCTGATCTAGTATACAACCCGCAGCCCTATATCCTGTGGCCCTGGGCAGGTTAACACGACTTGCAGTTTCTTTGTTCTCATGAACTGGTGTTCATGTCATACCCTCATGCATGCATTACCCTCTCTCTGCACACAACGTGGGCCTCTAAGAAGCAATGCTTTTCTGTGGAAGAAGGAAGAGGGGGCATTCAGACTTAACCCTTTCTGCCTAAAAGGCCCTTCTGAAATTATATGAAAGAGAGAGAGAAAAAAAAAAAAACATTTTGCATGCTGTTCATTTAGAAGGGAGGCCTAATTCTTTCACCTTCCTATAATCTCCAGAGCAGTTCCTATACCATCAAGGCTGCCTCTCCTGAGGGGGCCAGAGCTTCAGGCTCATAATTAGTTGTATTACTACTACTGTCACTGCTAATTAATGATCCACATTCAGCCTAAATTGAAACTGCCCATTTCTGACTCCTCCACTCTAGGTCAAATAGATGGTTCCTTATTTTCAAATTATGTACTTCATCTTAATTGTATAATTTCAATTTCATTTAAAAAAAGAAAAAAATTAAACCAAGGAAGAAATGACATTTTCTAAACTGGTGAGTTGGGTTATCAAACTTAAAAGCATAAAAAATTAATACTGTGGGATTAGCATTATTATAGAAATACATTAAATCTTATATTTAAATACCAGTCTTTTAAACCATGGCTGTCACAGTGAAAATGTTAATAGTATTTAAACATAAATCCTTCTCCCCATGAAGAATCATTCATCGTGCAAGCACGTTAGCTATTCTATTCACTTTAGAGATGCTGCCTAGCAGAGCATTTTAACGTAAGCCTTGTCAGTGTTAATCCTAATGTCTGATGCTGAGATGTGTGTTATATTACTTTATGTAGCTGAAAAATGGGAAGCCTTTATGTCAGATTACAGGCTGAAATAACGACCTCCCCTTGGAGCCAGGGCCTGGGATATAACGAGGTGCCAAATGGGATTCTAGGTCAGAGCCTCTGCAGGACATAAAAGGGAACAGATCTTTTGTTAAGACCCATTCACTCACTAACAGAATGCTTTTACCCTTTGCAATCTACTTTATGGCTCCTCTGCAAAGAAGAGTAACCAAGAGAGAAAGTCTTGATTCACAGTGGGGCTTACCAGCCAAGCTTTGGATTCAGGCAGGCGATGGTGGAAATGTACCCAGCCACTCCTTCACCTCCACAACCAACAGTCTAGGGCTACGGTGTTCAAATTGCATTCATCAAATTCAGAGTGGGGAGTGAGAGCCTGAGGTTCGGCAGAGGCAGGAACGGGGAGAGAGAGCATCAAAGTGGATCCAGTGCCTTCTCCATCCTCACTGCATCCAGAGCAGTTCCCTCTACATCTGTTTTATATACCACAGTTTTATGAAAGATGGCACATGAAATATGGTTCTCCTGTTAAAGTAACTCATTAATTCAACAAATATTTACCAGCCACAGACAATAAACCCCTGAATAAATGAGCACATTTCAGAGAGTGATAGACGATACAGAGACCAGCAAGCATGATGATGAGATAGAGAGTACCTGGAGTAAGGGCCACTTGCAGAGAGGACAGGGAAAGCCTGGCTGGGGTTTGGTGGGGAATCTGAGCTGAGTCATGAATAAGCAGAAACAGCAAGCCATGTGAGATCCAGGAAGAACCATTCCACGCAGAGGAAGTGGCCAGTACAGACAGCCTAAGGCAGAAACAAGCTTAACGTGTCCAAGAATAGAAAAAGGGCAATGTAACTGCTATTGGGTGAATAAAGAGAGGCATGGAAAAGATGAGGAAGGCAGATCATTCGGGGCATTCCAGACTCAAACAAGGAGTTTGGGTGTCATTGTGTAGTGGTTGGAAGCCAATGGAAGGTTGACAACGGGGGCATGACAAAATCTGTTTTGCGGAGTTCTTCCACACAGAGAGTAGATTCCAGGCACAAGAACATAGGCTGGAGGATCAACAAGAAGACTGTTACCTTCCAGGACCTGGAAGAGAGTTGCAGTGAAGATGGTGCAAATTATCTGGATCTGGGATATGTCTAAAAGTAAATCTGATGGGACTAAAGGATTACTTGAAATCACTAACCAGAATTTGAGAAGGGGAGGGTGGAACACGTGGTATGTGGGGAGGGAGGAGATAGTGCTTAGAAAGAATAGAATAATTGCCACTTCTGTAGATAGCTTCTGGCCAACTGACTTAGCAAAGAGCAGCACAATATCCTTGGGCTGAGACCAGCGGGTTTGCCACTGTCTCTCACCGGCAATCGCATTCTTGCTTCCAAATCCGGCTGATAATTTAGGAAGGTTTTATGTCACCGCTGCTCGGCTTCTTTTTGTGCTTTGATTACCTATTCTCATACAACACTTAAAGGTGGTCACAGAATAATCTCTAATGTTTTGCTTTCTATGATAAATAAGGGGTTCGTGAAGTTCATTAACAGGGATTGCATCACCCTCCACCCTCTTTTACAACCACACCATAAAAGTAGCCTCTAATTAGTTAAAAGACTACAAATTATACCATCAACGTGAGGTATGGCAAAATCTGATGGCTCTAATTATCTTAATAATCAGCAGAACCACTCTCAACCTAATAAGAGAATGAGTCATTAGTGGTAGTTTATGAAGATCACCGACATTCTCTTTGTTATGGAGTTTGTCCTTCCTGTGTTAAAATTTGGACACACTTTCTACTTGAATCTAAAAAGGATGATTTCTAAGAAGTTACTGAAGCAATGCAAGATCAAAACATAATAACCACATTCATTCTTAATCAGCATTACAGTGAAAGTAATTTACCAAAGAACACATAATTAAGTCATAAATGAAATCTCAAGACAGAAATTGCTCCCCTTTTAAGATTTCTCATTGTCCATACACTCAGAAATGAGAAGAGGGATTTTCTCATTCTGATCCTAAATCTATCACTGAAATGATGACTTCACTTGCATTTATGCATTTTGCTTTATTTTGTGATTACTTTATCTCACTATCCTCCCCTTTTTCTGCTTGTGTGATTGCCTTAATCCTTTTATCTAGAACCAGGGGGAGTTCCATTAGCTTCAGCTTTTTGGTATGCCTTAGCCACAGAAAACTATTTTGTGATTCAAAACTGCTCTAAAATTCAGGACCAAATATCACATATTATGTACTCCCTAGACTTTTGAGAGTTTCACTCTAGATTATAGAGGACAAAATCATCTCCCCACCTCCACCTTAGGGTATGTACTCCCCATCTCAAGTCATAAGATAAACCTATTGTGGTCAGAAGGCAGAGTACTCTAATAACCTTGTTATAGTTGAAGAGACTGAGTCCATGAAAAAGTTACGGACCAAGGTTATACACAGAGCTGGTGACAGTCTTGAGGCTAAAACCCAACGTTTTACTCTTAGCTAATGTTCTTTTGGGCTTAATGAATGAACTACTGCTGTGGAAATGTTTTTTTTTTTTTAAAAAAAAAAAAAAAAAAACCTTTCATTGTGTTTTGCCAGAATAAAGACTGAACATGGCCCTAGCGGAAGAGCTAAATTCATTATCTTTAAAAAATGAAATTTTCTCAAATCATAAATGCAGTCACCAAGTGTACCTTCTTTCTCTGCATTGCAGTACACCAAAATGCCAGTCCTCTCTACAAACACATTTTATGGATCCCAAAGCAGAGAGATTGACGTTGTTCCATTTCCTGTTCACAGTATAATCAGGACAAAGGAATAAGATTAGTATTGTGCCATTTCCACGCGGAAAAAAAAAATTGTTTTCTCCATGTGACTGTCAGTGTATGTCAAAATGATAATGGGGAATGTGTAATACAAGATATTGCTACTTATCAATGGACTCTGAAAAGAAAATTAGCTCAAGCATCCCTTGATATAAAAAGCAAATATGAGGTCTTGAATCACACCATCCTGCTATCAACATGTTTTGTTACAAGTCAGTTTATGTTCCTTGAGTACCACGTGGTTTACAGTGCATTTCTCTGACAGCAATACAGAACCTCAAACAAATATTACCCTTGCCTCCAATACCAACCAACATTAAATACAAGTTCTATTCCTGAACTCAGTGGCATTCAGAAATTCAAAATGCTTAGATGCCCTCTCCATCGATTTGCTTCTCTGGGTATTGGGCTGACTTCCTGTTCATCAGGGGGTGGTGGTGGTGGCTGGAGGAGGAAGTAGATGGTTTTAACCATTTGTAGGTCTAATTACTCAAGCTCAGTGAGCCCACATTGAAGAAGGAGAAGGAGAAGAAGAAAAATTCTCTTTCCTATTGTTCATATATAAAATCCCAGGGAAAGATTCTAATCAACTCTGTTTGGATCACATGCTTACTCCTTGGGCCAATCGCTGTGGCCAAGGGACAGTGTAGCTTAATTAGGCAAGCCTGGTTACATTCCCATCCTGTTGGCTTGGAAAGGGGGATACTATGACCAGTAAACCACCCCAAATCATATGAAATGTAGGAGAACGGTTATTTAGTGAAAATGAAGCACTATTATCAGAAAGAGTTGGAAGTTATACTAGCAGACAGAAACAACAACACTCCACTGCCTTTCAAATAAGTTTATTATGAAATGAAACTACGGCTCCTCTTTTCTAACAGACCGATTTTGTGATTAGAAGTAATAGGTTTTTCTCAACCAACAAGCTCAACTAGTTTAGCTCTTTCTACCAGATGAGCCAAGAATAAAGGACACATAAGGGTCTCAAAGATTATGCTTTCTATCCTGCCCAAATTCTGTAACCATTACCTTTTCAGTAGGTGATACATTTCCCAATTTAGACTTCACATTATAGAAAAAAACCATCCTTCACTGAGTTGTATTTGATACCGAATGCCTGCATTTTCATGTACTAGTCATTATTCCATCTTTCCTTAAAGAACATCCTTTTTTTTTTTTTTTTAGACAGAGTCTCGCTCTGTCGCCCAGGCTGGAGTGCAGTGGAGCGATCTCGGCATACTGTAAGCTCTGCCTCCCGGGTTCACGCCATTCTCCTGCCTCAGCCTCCCTAGTAGCTGGGACTACAGGTGCCCGCCACCACGCCCAGCTAATTTTTTTTTTTTTTGTATTTTTAGTAGAGACAGGGTTTCATCATGTTAGCCAGGATGGGCTCCTCCTGACCTCATGATCTGCCCACCTCGGCCTCCCAAAGTGCTGGGATTACAGGTGTGAGCCACCACAACCGGCGAAGGATACCCATTTTTAAAATACCATTTAATTTAAAGTTACCAGATGAAAGCTGCCCACTGTAATTCCAGGGAAATTTTACTCTTAGTTTTCTTCTTTATGGTCACCCAAATCTAGATTATTTGAATTCTTCTTCTGCAGTAAAATTAATTATAATCATAGCTTCCAATTTTTAGCTGCTACTTATTGAGTGCTGACTATTCTTGGCATCAGCTATATTATCATTAATCCTCATACCAGCAATTATTATCATCTCCATTGTATAGCTGGGGAAACTGAGATAGAGTTCAAAGAATTTACTCAAGGTCATACAGCTGAGAAGTGACACATCTTGGAATCAAACCCACCTCTATTTCACTACCAAATGCCTTCTCCTAACTATATACTCTACCCCTGCATCGCGAGCATCAGGCACCGAGTCTCTCCAAGGCTCTGTGATAAATACTACTCTTGTGTGACCTCATGTCACCCTCACTTTTCACTCGGAATATAAGGATTCCCATTCCCATGTCACAGGTGAGGAAACTGAAGCTTAAAGAAATTCATCAACAGACCTAGTTTGCCCTGTATATAGAAAAGCTCAGGTAGTCTCATATTTTAATCTCTTTTTAGCCTCCTTTTGTTTTGTTTCACTCAGTTCAGTCTTAACGAGTCTTAATAGTCAAGAAAATAAAATCATAGTAAAGAAAACAACAAAGGTATCTCATAAGGACAAGAACTAATCCATCCCACTCCTACTGGGCTGGCTCCTTTTGGCAGTGGTGATTGCTTTCTCAGATGTCTTAATAGAAGAGAGAATTTGTGAAAGCAGAGAGCCCCATTAATAAGGAAGGAAGAACCTGCAAGGTGCAAATAACTAATCTCTTGTTGCTTTCCTGTTAAGGTACCATGCATGTGTCAAAAATCAAAACCAGGGAGCCCAGCCTCTAATATGAGAAGATTCCAGATTTCAAAAGCACTAGGTACTATTTGATAAACCAAACATTTTCCCTGTTATTGCTAGAAGCAGACACACATAGGCACATTTGCATCCTCTATATTGATACTTCTCAAATCATCCATAGTAAAGGGCGTGTGTGTGTGTGTGTGCGTGTGTGTGTGTGTGTGTATTTAACCTCTATTTACGGCAGTCTGATTCATGACCCTACTGTAAATGACTACTACATAGTTCATACCACATGTGACTTGCCACACAAGTCTGATCACATTGGAACTGGTCTTCTCCTTGTTCAATAGGATAAGGCCACCAATTATATACTTGGATGTCATGGTGACTTCAAATTGCTATAAAGTTTCTTATCCAAGACTGACAACTTGCATTTCTTCAGGACTGGCACTGATCCTCCAGCGACATTTTGAATGGCCTACTCCATAATTTTTTGATACAGGGTAGCAAATACTATGCCTATAGTGGCAAGGAAGTGTGTACTCTGCTGAGGAAGTCACCTCTGCAGCCACCAGAATGACATTTCTGAAGCCAGTGAGAGCAATATCAGAGAGCATCAATATTGTAAATACGTTTTGATCTTATAGATAACCTGAATTTTGCTGTGTGCGCTATTAATAACTAATATTTGTAAGAATCTCAACAATTTTCAAAATGCTCTCTTATATGTTAACAAATGTAGCCCTACTACAATCCTGTAACATAGTATCCTTACCCACCCCCCCACACACGCACACATACAAAGACCACCACCTCCACCCCATTTTTCAGATGAGGATAATGGGGCTTAGAGTATTTGGGTGACAAGGCTAAGCTCACATAATAAGTTTTACAGGCTAGCAGGAATAACACCAAAGTTTCATTTTATTTGCCCACTCCAAAGAACTGATAATGACAGCCAGCCAGGAAGCTACTTGGAGGCTGTGTCTGGGTTCAGTGGGTAAAGAGTCTTTGAGAGATTAGCAATGTCTGCCGGGTAAGACCAGATACACTGGATACCCTTGGATAGATTCCAATCCAGGTAGCCTAATTTCCTTTTCCACATCCTTTAGCACTCCACATAGAGTTGTTTCTCACAAGTATCCACATTTAAAAGAGGTAACCTCCCAGAACAGAAACTAGCTGACATTTTGGAGGCAAAGTCTGTTTCTCTTGCGCACTGAAGACAAGAAGAGTCAATTTGTGATACGTGTTACAGAGATAATACACATCTAAACAGCGGTGATAAATGCATGGGAATTACAGGCAAAACCAAGGTGATACAAAGTTTCCAAAGATTAGATGTATCTCAGATTAAACTCTCCAGATTATACTAATCAATTACAGAAATGGGGCTGAGTGGGAGTAGTCACTGAAGCCACCGTTGATGTACTTTCCCTAACCATTTTATGCAGGCATTCCTTCATGGGGGTCTCCTCAAGTCACTGGAGTCCTCAGCAGGGGAAAGGAAAACAGCAATAGAGAAGGAGGTTAGGATCTTGGGCTTCATTTTGGGAGTCACAGTACTAAAACATCACCTCATGATTAGCAGATAAAAGGTGCTGCCCTGGGCTCAGGCAATTACAGGAAGAAACAACCCTAAAGCAGAATTCACAACATACTGAGTTCATGAGGAGGGCGATGAGGCTGATGTGGGGACTGGCTTTTCTTCTTGGTGACTCAAAGACAAAGCCAGCAGTACTTATTTAAAACATGCCACGTGCTCATGTTTATGTGAGGAGTAGAAGACAACGGCTTTGGTAAAGGAGAAAATTCACTGCATAATTGAATCTTTGAAATTCCAGAGGGAATGGCCTTTTCTGAGAACAATGTCTGTTATTAACAGAAGAATTTCGAGGCCAAATGCAGAGTTTTCCACCAGGTTGCATAGTGAGAGTCATATTTTGAATGGATATATAGTTTTTTAAAAAAAGAACTCTGAAGAGTTATGGATGTTTCTCAATATCTTTCTCAAGAAGGCAACAGATTTTGGACTCAGCAGATAACCCTTTATCCTATAGCTGTAGTGATGATGACATGATAAGCTGTGTAGCCTGAGCTTAGATGCAGAAGTGAATTCTGGGCAAGGGTCCCACTAACCTGTCTTCCCTGGGCTCCAGACCCACATCCCTAGCTCCTTGTTGGGGGCTCCAACTTGTACAGCCAGCACATCAGGCTCAGTAGGTACAAAGTTGACATATCAATTTTCCCATGAAAAGAGATCTTGTTTTGACAACACTAGTCTTTCAGTTACCTAGACTCAAAATCTAGAAGCAGCCCTGCTCACCTTCATCTCCTTCACAGCCTGAACTGAGTCAAGGGTCAAATCACATAGCTGGGTTAGAGATATTTTTGACACAATTCCTTCCTTCCTTTCCACCCACTTTGAGTTGGCACTTGCTTAAACACTCCCTGTTTTACCTCTGGATAGTTACAGTGCCCCTCACTTGTTTCCTCATCTCCAGTAATTATCCATTCCAACCCATCCTTTAAACCCATGCCAAAATCACTTTCATAAAGCTTACCTCCACATTCAAATCTCAGTACTCTACCAGGCACATGGTGGCTATTCAGGTAATATTTTCTGGATGGATGGATGGGTAGATGGACAATGTATTTACTCATCATTTACTATATGCCTGACATTGTGCTGGGTATTAAAGACAGCAGGAAACAAACCAACTTCTAACAAAACACTTCCCTGCTCATGAGCCTTGAATGGCCAATTAACATAAATGGTTCATTCCAGCATTCAAGCCCTTCTGCAGCACAGCCCCATTCTAATTGTTTCACTGGTCACCTACTCTCCCATCTGTCCTCTAGCCAAGGGTTTCTGACCTTAGCACTATTGACATTTTGAGCCAGACAATTCTTTATTGCAGCTGCTGTCTTCTGTATTACAGCATGTTGAGCAGCATCCCTGGCCTCTACCTACTTGATGCTAGTGGCACACAGCCCCACTCAAGTTGGGACAAGCACACATGCCTCCAGACAATGCCAAATGTGCCCCGGGGGAGAAGAGTCGAAAAGAACCCAACTGAGAACCACTGGTCTAGGGTGGCGCCCAATTTACACCCACTGTCCTAGGGAAATTATTAATAGTACTCCCCTTTCACTTTCACATGTGTTCCAGTTTAGAAGACAAACTAGATT
The DNA here is from genome assembly GCF_000001405.40 of Homo sapiens. NCBI lineage: Eukaryota > Metazoa > Chordata > Mammalia > Primates > Hominidae > Homo > Homo sapiens. Next base: position 59,873,863 of record NC_000003.12, read on the forward strand.
GGTTCCCTGCTTAAATCTCCCGAGACAGCAACCTTGCTCTGTTCTCATGCAGATTGAAGAGGAAAGCAACAAATTAGTATGAAGCCTTCAGCTTCCAAGCAACACTTTTTTTTTTCTGGTGAACCGGTCTCCTCTTTAAAGATTCAACTTCTCTCTTCTTCTTTCAGCACATGCAGTACTGGGAAGTAAAACTGGCCCAAATGCTCTGCAGGGAAATGTGAGGATCATAAGCTATCCTCGCCTCTCAAAAAAGAATCACAAAAATATTTACAGCTTTTCTCAAAAAGTTTCATGTTCCAAAGATCCCCTTCTACGTCATTCTAACCCCAAATGCCTCAAAAAGAAGTTCAAAGCTCTCAAGTCCATCGATCCAACTTCTTCTCTGGCCAAAAAACAATTTCGTGCCATGTGTTAATGCAAAGGGCTCATGCTGTATTCACGAAATGCCAAGACACCTGGTTAAAAAGTTCAAAAAAGTTAAAAATTGATCCATAATTTCGACTAGCATGGTAGTTCTCAAGCTTTACTGTTTCAGAATTCCCTGGAGTGCTTGCTGAATTGGAGGTTACTGAGCCCCAGTCAGCAGAGTTGCAGATTTAGTAGGTCTAGGGTGAGGCACAATAATTTGCATTTCCAAGTTCCCAGGTGATGCTGATGCTGCTGGTCCAGGGATCTAGAAGATGCCCGCTGCTCCCTGCTTATTCCCTCACAGACTGAAACGTACGATATTACGGGGTTAGGACAGTGGGCTTGGGAAAGAAGGGAGGGAGGTCAGGAGACTTCATCCGGCTGCTTGCTTAGGTTTTGTGTTTTTCATTTTTTTTTTTTGCCAGTTAGTCAGAAGAAAACGATTTTACCCTGGCCTGTGCTGGGCACCATGCTAGGCACTAGGGATGCAGCAAGAACCAGACAGACCTTGCCTCCTGCTGTTTTCCCCTTTAGAGCCACAAGCTCTTCTATGGGCTCCAATTCCATTCCTTCTAGCACTCCCTTTCAGTTCATCAGCTGCTAATCAGCACCTTCAATCACTCTCCAAATCCCCACAAGACAGCTTCCATTTTTCAAAAGCAAAGCCAAAGGGAAAATCAAGAGTTTTTAGAAGCATCTCCTATTTCGGCAAGTGCTTCCCTTTTTGACTCTGATCCATTTCATCAAAAACCCTTATTAGAGTGGTCCTTCCCAGGTGTATCTTTTTAGTTACCTCTGGAGATAGGAGGTGCATCCAGTTTATTCTTTCTGCTTTGTTTCCTGTCCAGAGGAGAAGAGTGCTTTGATCCAACACTGACAACCACGTCTGCAGGGGCCTCAGACTTGCTTCCAGGGAACAATCACTCAGCCTATGATTTTGAATGCTTCTTTTGTCACTGTCACCAAAGCCTGAGGGAAAGCAATCTACACGCTGGTTGACCTCTGAGGCGACTGCCAGAGGTGCCAGCTGTTTCCCCTAAACTACTACTCACTGTTGAATGTCTAGGTTTCCATCTCCCAGGGAAGACATTGCCCCAGCTTACCTCTTCATCATCATTTGGGAAGGCCAGAGAAGTGTGGGCGAAGCCATCCTGCCTGGCGTCCTCAAGACTCTTGTCTGATACCAGGGCTCTCTCTGGGTCTATAATCTTTGTTCAGGGAATAGGGAAAATGTCCTGTGATTTGTTAATCCCTCCTGTGCAGTGAGGGGGAAGTTTTAGAGTAACTATTTATATTTTTGTGATATCAGGAGCATCTAGATATCTTTGCTTACAAGTTTTTTTTTATAATTTTAGCAAAGGAAAATTTTATAGTTTTTAGCAAAGGAAATTTTACCTTTCATCATAATAAAAAATGTATTCTAGAGGCCATTATTCATGGGTTAATATTATCAGGGAGCTAACGATGGCTTAACAAGAGATGGGAAGCCATTTTGGAAGTGTTCTATTATGGAAAGAGGGAGGGCCTGTGACATGGATTCATATATCATATTCATATGGATTCATATGCCAGCCATGCGTCAGCCATGAGTAACATCATTTCTTAAGATGTCAGAGTTTTTCCCAAGCACATATGCCCTCAGGATGAGAAACAACTCGTCTGTTTGATAAAAAAAGAAAAAAAAAAGAAAAAAAAAAGATTTTAGTTCAAGAATTTTATAGATTACAAATTTCAGAGATTCTTTATTCCAGTATAGAGACACAGAAATCAAAAAGAATCATCACTCAAATATACATAGGTCTATTAGGTGGGGACACCTGGTAGATGTAATTATAGTTTCATATGCCTGTATTTAATGCCACTGAACTGTACTCTTGAAAATGGTTAAAATAGTAAATTTTATGTTATGTGTATCTTACCACAAATATATATATGTATATATGCAGAAAAAACATATATAAATATATATTCATTAATTAGGTATCTGAATAGGGAGCTATGATCTTAAAAAAGATTATTTTTTCCTAAATGGCAATGTGAATTTCATGTGGCTTAAAATCTTCTAGTATGGATTTTTGGTGTTTGATAAGCTACATTATTTAAACTAGAATAATCTGGAATTATAGAGAAGTATTTGGCTTCTGGGGCCACTGGGACAGGGGCAGGGAGGGAGTGTGGGAGCAGCACCCCTCCCCAGCCCCTGCTGCTGTGGGAGTTGGGATGGGGATGGCACTTCCCTCAAAGGAGACCAATGTTCCATTGTCAGTCAACTTAGGGCACAAAACAGTCTTCAAGAGAGAAGAGGTGGAGGGGACTCATACCTTTGGTGGGAGATAAGCCCCTGCTACAGGGTAACACAGGTGAAGGTCAAAATGACTAGTAGAGAACACCTCCTGCCACTAAGGGGTAAGAGTAGTAACATGTAAAATCCAGCTTTAAGCTTTACTTTCCTGTGTTAGTATCAGACACTGCTGGTTGTCTACCTACTTTCTGTTCCCCCTTCTTACCTCACTAACGTAACTCCAATTTTGAGAGGAAGCTACCCTTTTTCATTTGTTCAACTTCTTCTTGGGAAGCTAATCTTACCCTTGACCCAACTGGCCTAAGCCACTGATAGGAATAGGAAGATGATACAATTCCGGTCATTCACATGCTCAGCTAGCTGAGGAGACATCTGTGAAACAGTTCCTTGTCCATCAAAAGAGACACATAAGAAGAAATGAGAATCATTCTTTTCCAACTGTTAATGGGTCTAGATAGGATGGCTATACTACTGTAGTTATTGTGTGACCATGAAGTGTGCTAACCTTGAGCCAGAAGCCAATGCAGGGAAATTGAAGAGTAGAAAGAAGGGAAGATGTTATATTCTTGAGTATGACATTTATGCAACTGATGTAACCATTCATTATCTCAAAGGTGGAACTATCCTACCCTTAAACTCCTTACTATTGGAACTTTTTGAATCATGATTTCTATAATGTGCTGCCAAAATCATTCTACTTAACTGGTTCAGAATTGTAATTCTTTCAGGTTTTTCCTAAAGCCATTGAAAAATGGTTTGTCATAAATGACTGTGTAGAGTTGACAGGGCCTTTGGAAAACTGAGTGGGTGCTGATGACCATACAGGGATAAAGTGGTCATGGAACAACCTCTGCGACATGAAGATATGGCTGCAAGCAGCAAGAGATAACAAGCAGGAAGGCCCAGAGCAGTGATCCATAGCATAAAGTGACAAGTGACAGGAGGGACAGGCTTGTGGGACATGTAAACAAGCCCTATGGTTCTTCAGAAATACGAGTGGAGAGGAGGTCATTTAAGACATTGACCATGTTCAGACATGCAGAGTAGAGGCTTGGGCTATGATCATCAGATACCAAAAGAAAAAGTAAAAAGATGAAGATTTTAGAGGGATTCAGATAATACTGGCTATAAGGAATATCACAGGATCTCCTGCCAAGAAAATGAGATTCCTATATGATTTCTTATATCTCTCCATATGTTTCCTATAAGAATACTAGCCATCAAAATGACAAATTCAAATTGGTATATTCAGACAAATAGAAAGAAAGTATTTCCCTATCCCTCAAATGAGTTGGATAACCATGAATGGTGAGTCAGATGAGAAAGAAAATGCAACAGCTCTCACTCAGACCTGGACAAAATGTTAAAAGATTTAGTAGGATGGTCAAAAACATAGTTTTCACCTTAACTGCTTACTTTCAACTCTTCATTGGAATAAATGCATATAGGCCAAATTAATAAGGAATAAGTAGTTATATTTTAGGTTAATAGTTGTACCATTATTAGAAAAAATCTGCCTCATATAAATGCAGCCATGAGCACTTCCTCCCCTTTAAAAACTAGTATAATAAAAGGAATGACTGATTGTACTTGGCATATTTCCCCTCTCTGTGGTTGCATTTCACTGCAGTTATGAAAACATAATATAATTTTTCCCAAGGCCATGGTTACCTGACAGAAGCATTTAAAAACCAACTACACTTTGGACTTCCAGGCACGTGTGTGTGTGAGTCATAAGACAGTTCAGAAGAGAAATTCATATTTGACATCCAGAGCTCCATCTTCCCGCCTCAAGTGTCTGTGTGGATGTACTTACTCCAGTCTTACCTGAGTTTCAATAATATGGGTTTGTCACAGGTTGTTATGGGCTCTAACTAACAGCTGTCCACTGCACTGAGAACTATTATTTTCAGAGGCAGGTCAGAAGCCCATTTCTGACTCTCACGCATTGTAAAGAAATGCTGACCCCAAAGTGGGATTCTTTCTCAAATACACTCACCCTGTAAGCACCAGGTAGAGCCAGGAGCTTTCAAAAGTGCTCTGAGTTTAAACATTTCACAGCATGAGGAACACAGCCGAAGAGAAAGTGCAAGAAAAACAATATAAAGACATTATTAACTGTGTGATCACACAAGAGTGAGGCCTCCAGATGGGCCACCTCATAGTTATTGACGAGCGTTTAGAGAAGAACATTCATTACTCGATATTGACGCTAACGAGAAAGGGTTTGAGAGCAAGTTTAAAATGTAGAAGGAGGAAACACCCAAACCCCATCCCCATGGCAGCTAATTCACTGTTCCCAACAATTCTGCATGCTATTTTTTTTACTCCCCTTGTTCATATCTTATACTGTGATTAAACCCAAGCATTCTGACTGTAAACCCTTTTTTTCTGTCTATTTCGCATAGGCTTGGTGTGTTAATCAAACTGTCAGCAAAGGAAAAAAAAAAGAAGAAGAAGAAAGGGCACATTCTATCCAAATGAAGAAAAATCTGAGCTTTCTACAACAAACACATTTTCCAGTGGATGAGCTTCTCACACAGTAATTATTTCACTTCTCCCAGAGATTACTGATTACATCACACAGAAAAACTAAATGAGGGCTGTTTTATCTTTCTCATCTCTCTGTGGTTCTTGTGCAAACTTATACTTGTTATCATGAAAAATGACAAATTTGCCATCTGATCAAAATGTTAACAAGGTAACTGTCAGTGAGATGGATCTCTGACTGTCACTGCAAGCCAGAACATGAGGATACATTGATATTTCTCAATACAGCCCCTGCTTCCCCAACGTTCACTAACTACATTTCCACAGTAAGGTAATAAATCACTCAGAAATAACGAGCTATATAGGATCTCTGGGGTATGATAGATGTGTCCTAACAGCACTATCTGCAAGATAGAAAACAATTGATAATGATCTAAAGAAAACCCTAATCAACTGCCATTTTCCATAATGGGGTAGATGAAGCAAAGATATGAAATCTTAACTATGTGATGCATGTTATGACAAAACCGGACTGCTCCAAAAAAAACCCACACAGCCCCAAACAAAACACAAATGACCTAACATTACGTAGGGTCGAATAAATGAAAAATAAAGTTAATAACACAGTCTGGATACAAACATTATATTGGACACTGGCAATGATGGGATAATCACAGCAATTGCTGGGTCCACAAACAGCTAAATAGTGGAGGGTTCCTCATATAACATGAATGAAGACTCTGGCTCAGTTATTGGTTTAATGAACTCTCCTCCAATACTTTTATGTTCTTTAAGACTCTTTGGGCCACATTATTTCTGAGCCTTTAATTCAATGGTTTAACCAATCATTTCCCCCACCCCCCCCCCCCCGCCCCTTAGCAACGTGGCCAAGTGCCACATCCAAAGGAACCAAGAGAGAAGAGGAGAAGTCCATATGGAAATAGGAGGTAATCAAAGACAGAACACAAGATAGAAAACTTCTGCAAGAAGATCATGGCTTCAGATCACAGGGACAAAGAAGCATGGCATCAAACTGCCAAGAAGCTGCCTCATAACGACATCCCTTTAGGTTTTAAGGTTAAGAAGTCTCACATAGCCACAGTTGGTCTCCTGCCTGTCCCCTCTGCTCGTTTGTCTTTGGCCATTCCTGCTTCTGCTGTTTGTAGAATACTCCAAGCGCCTTCCCTCCCCAAGACCTTGTGCCTGCTCTTCTCTCTCTCTCAGGGATCTCTCTCCTCCCTGGCTCCTTCCCTTCATCCAGCTTAAATCTTCCCCAAGGAACCTGCCTTGCCCTTCGGTTTCAAAGTAGCCTCTACTACCACCCCTTTGGTCTCTATCAGCTTCATCGATAGCAGAAAGAACCATGTCTGTCTGGACCACTGTAATTTCCAGGCTTCTAGCACTTTCTCTTCTCTAGTAGGGATTAAGCACAGTCCCAATCCTGGGCTCTGGGATACAGGACTGACTAGCCTTGAATCTAGTGCCACAACTAAGTACCTGTGTCCCACTGTGCAAGCACTCAATTTCTATGTGCCTCAGGTCCCTCATTTGTAAAACAGAGAGAATAGCAATGCCTATAAATGACAGCGTTTTGAAGACTAAATCACTTTATCAATGTAAAGAGCCTGAGATAGTATCAGGCATACAGGAATCCATCAATCAGCTGCTGTTTTTATAAGAGCAAGAACAGAGGTAATTCAGACATAAAGTGAATTAATTCATGATTATAGACGTTAGATCAATGAGTCACCTTCATCATTCCAGGTTTTTATTTTACCATTAGCCAAAACAGTATTGTGCTCCTTCTAATTCCATATTCTCAGACTACATGGAATGAATGGGTATTGGTCTTTAAGCCTCTTTGAGCAATGCCAATAAATACAGTCACTTCCAATTTGAGGGCACTTGGAATAGCAGTGCTATTGTTCCTTTGACATCTCAACAGCACTTGAAAGTGAAAGAAAAAAAAATAGATTAATGGATGTATTCCCTAAAGCAACAAACATGTTTGATGTATAAACATATGTTATGGGCAATGACGCTGTACCTTTGGTGCCACGTCTCAACAATTCTCTTTTCATCTATCCCCTAATCATGCAACTGAATGCTTCCAGTAGGCCACACAGTAGGGACAAAATGATAGTAAGACCACCTGGCTATAGATACCTGCTTCTAGAGAGGCCAGGTTCCAACCCATTACAAGCTGATAACCATATGTATGATTTTTGCTACACTGGCCAAGTATTTGGATCTTTTTTAAACATATTTGATTATTTACCCTTTGATTAGAATTTGTGAATAAAAATGTCTTTTAAGAGACACAAAGGAAGGGGGTACGGGCAATAGCTCATTACTAAAAATCATTTTAGTGTGGAAAGTGGGCTTCACTATTCCTATAAGGCAGTCATTTTCAAACTTCAGAGCATCACAAGCCCCCTGTTAGATTCTAATAGAACCCTGAGGAAAATGCACATACACATAAATGTTCACATATAATTTCTACAGGTTGAAGGACCTCCCAAAACAAAACAAATCTATCAACCACAAACTCCAGTGTAAAAAACTGGCTCTATGAAGACTTCAAATCACCCTCACTTCCTTTGCATATAACCATTTTTTTCTTCAGACAAATAAAAAATACAATTAAGTTTAATACAAGAAGAGGCTAAAAACATTAGGATAGAATATTAGAGTTTAAAGATCTTTGCCTGGTTATGGTCTAAAGATATTTGCTTTGATTAATATATGGTGTAACTCATTAATTAAATGCAAATTGAAATAAGATAAACCTGTCCCCATATCATTTCTGGTAGACAATAATGTGCCAGTTTTCTCTCCAATAAATTAGATGAGGCAAGCTTTCTGTTACTAAATAATAGCAATATGGGACAGGAGAAAAAAATTTACCATGAGGTGCTTTGGAATTATTCACATGAAGAACTTTTTATTTCTTACTTTCTTTTTCACTAAAATAGTACTTTTTCTCATTTTCAACCAATTTTTAAATATGAGGTGTTTACATTGCTTACTGTTCAAATTAGCATTGCATACTTTCAGGCACAGACATGCTCAAAATAGGAGTCTTTTGAAATGCCTGCATTCAGTATAAAACACACTGCTGGTAGGAAATGCAAAATGTAAAAGTCTTAAAATACATTTAGATATGGAAAACAAAACATTTAAAACATATTCACACTTTAACATGTTTGGAAGTATAAAGTTAATATCGTTTATGAAACAAATTTCAGGAATCATACTATTGAAACACCCTCACATCTTCAATTAGCTGGATTAAGGAAAAAAAATATTAACAATATTTAAATGCAGAAAACAGATTATCAGGAAGAGAGATCGTTATAGCACCTTGTTTTCACTAACAAGCAGAGCAGACTGTAATTGAGTTTTAGAAATCCCTGAGGTGGTAACTCGGTAGAGAAATCCAGACTTGGCAAGGAAATCAAGTTTCCCTTTAATTACATTATCTCAATCAAAGAGATAACTTTCACATCCCTACAAAGCAAATGTTTTAAGGAGAAGTCTGGCAAGGAAAGTAGGTGGAGGTACAGAGGGGTTAAGAGTTTCAAATAACTTCATATTGGTAGGAGGAACATGTAGAAAACTGAAGTACACTGTGAGGAAGAAGACAGATGCCCTGGCAAATGGTGCTGCTCCCAAAAACATATGACACCTAACACCTTGGTCCATTGGTCCTGCTTTCCTATATCAGCCTTGGTTTTGCCTTTGTCACTGAAGAAACATGGCATGTTCCTTAGTGTTGAACACATAAGCCTAAAGCTGATCTACAGTTTCTTAAGCTGATAAAAGGCAAAGCTAAAATGACTTTGGCCATGACTATGCTGTTCGGAGGAGGAAAATGAGAATGTTCAGTGGAAATTATTTTCTTGGCAGTGTCCTTACTAGGTCAGCAAACCTCCATTCTTTCCAAATTTTCCGGGTCTCCTGCTTATTTCAGGACCCATATAAGGAGGATATAAGCAGTGATGTGTGAGAGCTGGTTTGTACCAGATCACAAGAGCTGTTTGTATAATTTTCAGAAATTTTGTAAGCTGGTAGCTTAAAAAGCCATTAAAAATTAAATTGTGTAATTTGAAAGTAATAAATATTAAAAACAAAGGGAAGAAAATATTAAAAACTCTGTAATTCCTCATAATGTCACTACATTTTACTATTGTCTATGCTCTTAGGTTATATACATCTGTATTAGTCTGTTTTCATGCTGCTGATAAAGACACACCTGAGACTGGGTACTTTAAAAAGAAAAAGAGATTTAATGGACTTACAGTTCCATGTGGCTGTGGAGGCCTCACAATCATGGTAGAAGGTGAAAGGCATGTTTTATGTGGTGGCAGGCAAGAGAGAATGAGAACGAAGTGCAAGGGTTTTCCCCTTATAAAACCATCAGATTTCAGGAGACTTATTCACTACGACGAGAATGGTATGGGGGAAACTGCCCCCATGATTCAATTATCTCTTACAGGGTCCGTCTCACAACACATGAGAATCATGGGAGCTACTATTCAACATGAGATTTGGGTGGGGACACAGCCAAACCATATCAACGTCTATTGTATCTTGTGGTGGAAATACTCTCAGTAGTGTGCTACCGCACGTCTCTTTCCAAGTCTGTGCAGTGACATCAGGTTTGTAGCTTCAATTCAGCCATATGAACTGGAAACTGGAAACACTACAGATTAACTGTTTTCTTGGCTATCTAGATTTAAGAAAGTGATGGGGGAAAATAATGATTATGGAGACAAAGCTTAAAAGCATATTGTGTCAATAGCTGTTACATGGTGAATAGTACAAAAAATTAAGAAAATACCCTTTAGTGTTCTATATCTATTATCTGATTTGGCAAAAATGTCACTCATATGATTGACAAATGAGTAAAGTTTTGACATATATTCTTAGGCTTCACTTTTGTCTTGTTTATGTAAACAAAAATGTCAACCAATATTCATGTCTGAAGCACACCTGTTTTGTCAGTGACATGAGCAACTTTGCTTAATTGGGTAGTAACCAAGCATTTATTCCTTATCTGAATTTTCAAATCATGGCTGAATCACAATCATAAGTTGACTGTGATTACAGGAATTCAACAAACATTAACAAAAGCATTCTGTGAGAATCAAATTGGCTATATAGAATCTATGATAAAGATTGGTGTATATTTTATGATTACTCACAAATTGTGTGGTGCACATTTTATATCAGTAAAATTTATAATAAGCAGTCAGATGTATGAGGGTATGTGGATATATGTTTTTATATATACACACATACATACACACACATGCATACACAAAAACCAGTTGTTAATATTTACCAGCACACCACTGGATATCAACACAATAAAGATATACTTTATTGTGTATCTCAGCAAAAACTGACCACTCAACTTTTCTAGGGACAACTTTATTATGGTTGGAAACTAGAGGCTAAGACATTTATTGTGTCATTGTTGAAGTTCCGTAAAACCATTTCCTATCTCTAAAGTTATTTATTTGGCTATAATGCCAAGCTACACCAGCTACTTCCCCAAAAGCAAGGCTACCAGATGGTGACAGATTTGAAAGCTCTTTCTCATATTTTGAGGGTAGGTAGGGGAGTCACGCTATGGGACAGTAGGAAAATCCACTTTTAGCAGGCAGGATAGAATGGGAGAAGTCAACACCTTGTCAGTTGCCAATGAGCTGCTGAGAAGTAGTTACAGGGTATATAGCAGGATAGTATTAAACTGAAAGGTCATTAATGTGAGATCCTTGGGACAATATGCACTCTGTATGTCTCAATAATGTTAAAAGATTCTGTACAATATTTGATTGTATCCAAATAGTTTATAACTGTAACATTTAATTTCAAGGACAAAAATGAACTTAAGTCAACTATTCCTGTGGTTTTACATTTCAGAGAGCAGTAAGAAAAATTCACCAAAACAAAATAAAGCAAAACAAAAATGGAGTGCCAAAACAGATTTGCTAATTTTTAAAAATGTGTTCAAATAAAGATATTTTCAAATCCTTCCTTTTATTATCACCCTTATGGCGCAAAAGAAAGCTCATCAGTTTGCTATTAGGATCATTTGGTAGCACACAAAGTCCATTTTCTATATATGTTCAGAAGAGGAAACAGGATGAGCATTGGGCTCAGCCACTGGAGATCACAGCTTCATCATGGTTCAACCTCATCTTCAGACACTGAAAATATTGCTGAAGAAACAGGAAGCAGCATTGAGCACGGGGGGCTGCCATGTGTCCTCTCCACTGAAGATAGTCTGAAGGATACAGTGACCGCAGGAACAAAAATGCCCTCAGAAACAGCCCTAAAGGGCTTCTAGAAAGTACATGCTACCTGATGCTTTTTTTTTTTTTTTTTAACGATTGATGTCTCTGATTTGATTTGGTCCAAGCTATTCTGAGAATTCATGATGGAATGAGAACATCAGCAACTGCAGCCTATTGGATTTCGGTTTAGTAGAGTACAGTGCTCTGTTTGATCATCCACTTTTCAAGAGCCAGCTTCACATCCTAACTGCATCATCCTTGCAAAGCTCTGCTACTTTGAATGCTGCTTTTTTTCAGTCCCTGAAATACATGTGCCTGGGGTGTCACCAACAGGTGGGTTTTTTCCTCTGACTTCTTTCCATGTAAGCCTCAAGGCATGTATAAAGGACATGAGCGCTGCTTTCATTTTCCAAAAGAAATCAGCTTTATACTGGGAATTGCAAGCACGTGCCAGGTTTCCCATAGTGACTTATATGAACTCGCACATACTCAGGGTGAGTAAAACTAGCAGGCAGGCAGGCCTCAACCAAGAGCACATTTGCTAGTTTTTCTTGAAATGTTCAGAACTCTGGCCCTAAGAGAAGCTAATGCCAGGCAATCCCTTGCAAGGATAGGAGGGTTATGGGATCAAGGCAAAAGACACATTTGGGGAACACCATTCCATTGGGCAAGCTCTGATATGCAGAATCTAAGGCAGCTTTCTGGACCTCTGAATATCATAGCATCGCAGTGGCTTCCTGTGGCTCTGTGGTTACAGAACAATTTCTACCAAATGAAGAGAATGACAGAAGCAAGGACCTCCACATTCCTATCATATGTGACAGTCTGGAAAAAGGCAGTGTTCATTCTTACCTCTCCTAACTTCACTCGCTCATTCCCAGGTGAGCCTGAGGCCACATTTCACCTGAGCATCCCAGCTCCTACAGTCAGAGGAAAGAACAAACTTCACTCCCACTGAATTAGGACCAACTATTTACTAGACACTGTGCAGGTATTATGTTACTGTCTCAGTCTGTTTAGTTGTCACCATAAAGAAATACCTGAGGCTGGGTAATTCAAGAAGAGAAGAAGGTTTATCTGGCTTATAGTTCTGCAGGCTGTACGAGAAGCCTGGTATTGGCCTTGGCTTCTGGTGAGGGCCTCTGGCTGCTTCCACTCATGGCAAGGGTGAAGGGGGGCTGTGTGTGCAGAGATCACATGGGGAGCGAGGAAGCAAGAGAGAAGGGAAGAGGCACCACACTCTTTTTAACAACCAGCTTTCATGGGAACTAACAGAGTAGGGAGTAACTCACCAACAGAGAGGTCATTAATCTATTCATGATGGATCTACCCTCATCACCCAAACACTTCCCATGAGGCCCCACTTCCAATATTGGGGATGAAATTTCAACATGAGGTTAGGAGGGCACAAACATCCAAACCACAGCAATTACTAGTCAATTATTTCCGCAGTCCAGTGAGACAGTTTTCTGATACTTGTTTACAGGACAAGAAATTAAGTCTTTTTTGTCTATTAGACATTCATTTATTGAGAACCAACTATTTGTCAGAAATGGTGCTGCAGGGCTACCAGAGAACCAGACAAATGTGGCCCCTGACCTCATGGAATTTGCATTCCTGTGGCACTCAAAGAAGTGAGTACCTAAGCAGTCAGTAAATAACTTTGGCTGGCTGGTTGGCTAAGTGTGTATGGAGCAGGGAGGCTTGGAAGGGGGAAAGTAACAACATGGAAAGAAAAGCAATTGTGCAGGGATTCCTAGATAATAAGCCAAAGACCCAGAATTTGAACTTCAGCCTAATTCACTTTTGACTTTATCAAGTGACATAGCCTCGCAGATCCCCCATCTCTTCCTATCTCATATTAAAAACGAACCAGAGCAAGAACAGTAGCAGTGGAATCTTTCCCATGGCCCATCTCTGTTCGCTGGAGTCTGAGCACCATCTTTGGGCCAAAAGCCTGGGGAAGAACAGGATCTAAATTCCACATTTGTGGTGAGGACTAGAAAGTTTCAGAACATTGCCCTTTTAAACTCATCTTTATTAATATTCTTTAAGCGCACAGGTAATGAGAAAGTGCAAATACAGCCCCCTCTGGCTGCAGCAGTCAGAGAGCCAAGAAAAAACTGCATGTCATGCCATCCTATTATAATAACAGATTAAAAGGGCACAAACAGGGTACTAATTAGCAGTCATAAAAACTTGAAGCTCCAGATTGCTCATCTTCATATCTGGGCAGTAAAAGTACCACGTGTGCAGATAACATAGAAGTAAAATACCAGGGTGCAATTGCCCAGAGCTCAGCCAGCATCAGCTGAGAGAAGCAGTTGCATCCAGCAGCACATCCTACACTTTCTCAAGAATCCAAAGGCATTCAGGTGACTGCCCAAGAATTAAAAATCAGCCAGCCCAGAGAGAGGCAAGTGCCTCCTAACTCAGCAAGGGACAGCGGGAGACCTTGCCAACTTCTGATTGATCGTCTTCAATTCCCTTTCTCCAAGATGTATTCCTGTCCATGGTCTCTCCCTGGATTTTATGCAGAAAGCTACTTCTGAGAAATGAGAGGGTTTTATTAGCATGCAGGGGCCAAAGTTTAGCCTGAAGGAGAGATACCTTCATCAATAAAATCTTTTTTGATTAAATTCAGTCTTTTTTCTTGGGTCTGCTCAGAGCTTGGAAAATAAGACGGGTGTACTTTCTAACTTTTATCCCCAATTTGTTCCCTGAGGATTTCAAGGATTCTGTTGCCATCGGGGCACTCTGAAAGAAGAAAGGAAGGAGTATGCTTTCTTTAACAAGTTGTCTCTTAACAAATTCATACCCAATAATTCAGGCTTGGACATTCACTGTACTCACCTAGCTTGGCCAAGTGGCTCTGTATTCTATGTTAACTGTGATCTATAATTTTAAAAGTAGTCATGCATAGCTTATATAGAGAACCATCTTTTAAAAAATACTCTAAATTTTGTTCTAATAAGGAGAAAAGTGTATCTACATTGCATGTGATACTGAAACTAGACAAATTCCTTGTAGCCTTTTATCTGACAACAGCTAAAAGGCCCAAATTGAAGGCAAAGCAATGATGCAAGTGAACTATACAATAAGCACAATTGTATTCATTTTATTTCCAACATTATAATAAGGACCATATATTATTCACTGGTATATATTCTCTTCACTGTACAGTGAAATATATGGGAAAAAATCAAGACCCTTCTCTTTTAAACATTAGCTCTATATCAGAAAGGAAATGGTCTATATTTATTGATTTTCTTTGAGGGATCTAGGTAAATATCACAGGGCTATGACTGGGTCCTAGTCTCCATACCACCAGTGATATGGCTTGTCCAACATGACCTTTAGAAAGACTCAGAGTTTGGCTTTGTGTTTCTCATCTGTCTTAGTCTGCTTTTGCTGCTTTAACAGAATACCTGAGACTGGAAGATTTATAATAAACAGAAATTTATTTGGCTCATGGTTCTGGAGGCTGGGAAGTCCCAGATCAAGGGGCAAGCTGCATCCAGTGAGGGCCTTCTTGCTATGTCATAACATGGTGAAAGGCATCACATAGCCAGAAGAGAGGGTGAGAAGGGCTGAGCTAGTGTTTACAAGAAACCTACTCCCATGATAACAACATCAATTCATTCATGACAGCAGGGCCCTCATAACCTAATCACCTCTTCAAGTTCCCATCTGTCAATACTGTTGTTCTGGGGATTACGTTTCTAACACATAAACTTTGGAAACACATTCAAACCAGAGCACCATCCTATTCTCAGTAATACCCTTTGTCTTAATTTTTCCCTACTAACCTGGGATGATATTCAAAGATATTCAACAATGCTTGGGCACTGACCAATAAAAATGGGACTAGACACCAGGCATCAAGAGGCAGTCCAGCCTTTCTAATTCATACTGTCTGACATCCATCCAGTCCCAATTGTTTCAAAGGTTCTGGTGATAATAGGGGCCACCTCTCCCAAATTTGCCTTCTTAACTGGATTCCTAAAAGGACAAGTCATGAATCTCTAATCATAATTCTAGCACACGTACCACAGGCCATTAGGAAAACTATCCTCAGATAAATGAAGCCTCCCCATACCCTCAAATTACATCATGAAGGTGAGACCCTTAGCATGGTCTCTGACTCACTAGGCAACCATGGCCAAGTGATTTGCATTCTTGAGAAAAACTTACCCTCCTTATAACAGAGAGGAGGATCCCTCAAAGAGATCCTGAAAGCTCAAGTAGGAGAAGACACTACAACGTGGTTGGAATGCTTCAAAAGATAATACTTTCTAATCCTAAGACATAATTGCTAATAAATGGTTTCTTTTTTACGTAAGGTCAAAGAATTTTTAATAAATACAGTCTTTGGTGCTCATTAAGAAGACACTAATTCTTCATGGGTTCATAAGCACACACATAAGAAAAATCTGCAGCAACAGTACAGTAATAAATGTAAAATCCTAATGAGAGAACATACATTGGCTGGAAAAGGGTATTGTTCTTTTCTTCCTTCTTTTCTTTTGCGAATGATATTGTAATGAATTTTCTTCAGAGGACTTATTAGTGTCTGTTTAATATTATCTCTCTCTTTCATGTGAAAACTTTCCTTAGAATCTTAGGCAAAGCTTTAGGCCTTCAATGAAGACGTCATTAAAAAATAATATCTAAGCAGTGCTCAAAATATCACATTACAACAAGTTAACAGCACTGTCATAGGATATAGAGATGGGATGATATTAACTATCAGAGATTCCAGCCTGATCTATCAGTAATTTCATTATTTCCAAGTACGAAATTAACTTCTTTGAGAGGATAAAGCCTGCAGGGCTCTGGAGGCCTCTTTTGATCTAAGCAGATTATTGCCCTGTGGGGACTCCATGGTGGGAATTAGATCTGCGTTCTTGGTGGTGTCCATAGCTGGTTCTCCATTTTCTACATTCCTCATGTTAGAATGGCCATAAATACGGACTGAGCATCAATCTGGGACTCTTTTTCAGATTGCCTAGAGGGCCAAACACTGGAAAAGAAAAGGGCTGCCCGTGAAACTTCTGGTTCCTGCCTTACTGAGGGCTTCAAGGAAAGGCTGGGTTTAGGGTTCCTGAACACTCTGTGCTGCCTCGGTTCATTTCCTGTTGGGGAAGTTCTGAAGTTCATCTGTTACATTCCCAATGCTTATGTTAATTCATATGCAAAATGGGAACCCGCTTAACTATTGCCTTTTATTACTCTGAAATCAGCCAAACCAGCTTATGCATCTTAGCAGTCTTAAATCAGCGTTTCCCAAGTATGATCTTTGAAACACTATTACCAAAAAGCTGCTCAAAAGAGAGAGAGAAATTATAATAAAAATATCATAGTTCAAAGTACTTTGGAAATGCTGCTTATTATCTCTCTTCCGTTAGTTTCACGTACAATGCTAAGGTCAAAGAAGTTCTTCAATAAAGAACAGTATTTAATTTTGCTTAGCTGAGCATTTTTCAATGTTACTTGCCATAGAATTTCCTTCATTTCTCCCCCCCAACACTGGCTCTCATAATCTGTTATCATTCTGAAGAACAAAGAGCACACACTTTGAGAAGAGATGGCCCTAAGTTAATCAGCACACTGCATTAGGTGGCTGCTATCAATTTTGATTTAATTACACAAGCATGCACTCAGCATTTATGCAACGTAAGGTCAGAATAAGGGTTATGTACTCCTCAAGGGTAGGTTCCCAAATTGGTGGGATATGTTCCAGCCCCTCCAAGGACTTACACACTTTCCTAAGACCTGAAAAGCTATGGTTTAAAAATAGTTGATCAATCCTTCCAGTTGTCCAGCTGGGGTCAGTTGCCAACTCTGGCGGGCAAAATATCAGGAACCAAGGACACAAAATATGAGGAAGGCGTGGCCTCTTCCCTCAAGGAGGCTACCATGGACAACTAACCACAAACCAGGAAAAGCATGATATGGAAAAGGGAGTGGTTTATTCTGCATGAAGGGAAAAGGAAGATTGGTAAAGACACAGGCTGCTAAGCGGGGCTCCAGTGAGAAGAATTCCCATTGCTGGGTAGAAGAGGACAGATGGGTAAGCAACCTGAGAAGGACTGAGGCTGCAAATGTGCAGGGCATGGCCGTTCTAAGCCAGTCATCCCCCCGACATCACAGATGAACCAACAGGACAAAAATTTAAGAGTTCCATGATAGAGGAGGCAAACCTTAGCCAATTTCTTCACACCAGGAAGCCACTGTGCCTATATTCTGAACCTTGCTGACGGTAGGTCTGGAGTGGGCCTTTGTGTCTCCCAGCAGCAGGCATACATAGGAGTCATCTCTTCGATGGGCATTCACATAGGGCTAGGTGTGCCCTTGCTTTATAAAACATATGGGTTCTTAAAAATTGGATATTCCTGGATGTCTTGTAAGTAAAATCATTTTACATGACCATGAGGAGTGATCCATTTAAAGGATCCTTGCAGGGAAGACTCTGGGGAACAAGGAATCCACATGCACTCTGAGATTTCTGTTTAGATTTTTCCTGAAGAGCTGCCTCTTAGGGGACTTCTGAATTTAAAGAGACGTTAGAAAGCAGACATGATGAAACTGCGTTGTCTCCAAACTAAAAACAAAAAGATGAAAGTAAACTTAAAAGCTACAGATGCCATTCGACAATGATTTGATGTAAAATAATAGTCCATCTATAACTCAATTTAGCCAAGTCCATACCTTCTGAGATCCTTGACTTACCTAAAGGCTCTGTCTAAATAGTGACCCTATATCATACAAGTTGAACAACAACAAAAGGAGAAACTAGCAGATTTTTACATCATCGGGAGGGACATAGCTGGTCAAACAGGCAGTAAAGTTTGAGCACAACAAAGCGAGCTTTGAACCTCCTAAGCAAACTGACAAATTGCGCTCAGGAGTCCAGTTCCCAGCATCAGCACCACTTTGCCACAATGGCTTGTCTCCTATCTCTCCTGCCTAATGGCTTTCCATGCCAAGGAGGGCAGTCAGTGTGATGAAAATAACCATCAACAAAGCATTTGGTGATTAGTCGTCTGCTTTTTTAAATATAATGCCTGCCAGCCAAGATTGATAAATTATTTTGGTCATTAACAATCTATTTAACAACTGTAAATTTAAAGTGATCACTTTCCTGAGGCTTAGTGTTATAGAGGTTAGGGGGTAGAATCTATTTAGCCAGAGTTAAGAGCTGGAAAATTAAGCCAGAACACGAGAAACAAGATTACAAAGTAGTATTCCTCAGTGAGTGCTGTGAAGCTATATGGAATCAGGCTATTACCAATGGTGGGGGATATGTTTAATCACCTCTTAAAGGAAAAACAATCTTAATTAATGTTGTATGTCATAAAAATATAATTTAGATGGGGATGGGAAATTGCTAAAGACGAAACCCAGAGCAAAGTGAAGACTTGGTTCAAAATGAACCACCCACCCATCAATTATAAAAATATTGCCCAACAGCAAATCAAAGAACATGCTCTTTGGTCATATTTGGGCAGCCTGAAAACACTGATCCTTGAAAAGCGTTTTCATACTTTATACAAAAAAGATAGGAAATATTTAAACTTACTTTAAATTAGAATTTTAAGTGCCATATTTAAAAAGCTGAATTACTCATAGACACAGTCAAAGTTAACACACTATATTTTAAAACTATATCTAAAAAACTCATAAATATGTAGTCAGTTGTGTTGGTCAGTGAACAATATTATTATCTTTATGCTGCAACATTTGGACCGAACATTTCACCTGACTAAAGTTTGGCATTGGTCCACTTGTTTTATTTGATGCTTATAGGACATCCAAAGGGAAACATAGCAAATTGTTTCTGTAGCCTATTCATTAGTAGCACAGAGAACCAATCCCAGCTTCAAGGTGTCAACTGGTGTTGCATCCCAGGCCCCATCTACCAGTAGTTCAATAAGGAGCAAGATGGCAGGAATAAGAGGGAAATGCATCTCCCTTCAGCTTTCAGGTTTTAGACTACTGTACATGGCTCTTTCCAAACAAGAAGAAAAGAATATAACATGAACTGATTGGTGCAGTAAACTAAACTGGATTTATATGCTCTAATATGGAAAAAAGATCCCTAGAACTGATCCTCAAAAGCATCTCCCATTAATGGAGAAATAGGAGAATGTCCCCAAGGGTGAAAGTCTGGGACCAGCAATATGGCAACATTATAAGTGCGCTGAACAGCATTTTTGTAGGAAGTGTGTTCTAACTGCCTTTGTAAAAGGAAAAAGGAAAATAAAACAAAGCAGCTGGACAATACCATTTCCACTGATTAAAGTTCAGGGGAGCCTGAAAAGTTACTTATGAGATATAGTTCAACCATTTTCCCCCTTGCTTTCAGATTTACGTGATATTAACTCCTATGCGTCCACAGCAGCCCCATGATCCGCCTCAGAGGAATTCAGTGCCTAATACTTGACTAGGAAGAAACATTAGGTATTGATGGGCAAAGAGTTTTCATCTCAAATGCCTCTCTGATCAACTAGCAGTAGCTCTTGTTGAGGAGTCCGAGGCCATATTTAAACTCAGTGGAAAACAGCAGCATGGGAAATTAGCAGTTTGGCATAGAGATTAAGAACATGGATTCCAGCAGGGAGCAGTGGCTCATGCCTGTAAAATACCAGCACTTTGGGCGGCCAAGGCAGGCAGATCACTTTAGACCAGCCTGGGCAACATGGCGAAACCCTGCCTCTACAAAAAATAGCCTGGTGTGGTGGTGCACGCCTGTAGTCCTAATTATTTGGGAGGCTGTGGTAAGAGGATCACCTCAGCCCAGTAACGTCAAGGCTGCAGTGAGCCATGATCATACCACTGTACTCCAGCCTGGGCAACAAAGTGAGACCCTTTCTCAAAAAACAAACAAACAAAATGATCATAGATTCTAAATACATATGGATGTTTGAATCCTGGCCCTATTCCTTACCAGCATAACAACATAACCTTATGAGGTTATTATGAACATTAAATAAATTAAGGCAACTTTCACAATGTCTAGCACATAATTTACACTTCATAAACATTAGCATCATAACCAGGAGGACTAATTGCCATTGTTGCTAATTGGCATTGCAGAGTAGAGTTGTGGCTTGTCTTTTGCCCATCAGGCTATCTGTGTTTCAGAATCTGCTCCTCAACTCAAGTGTAAAACTTACAAGCAGTGGTGGAGTGGGACAAGTCAAATCTACACAGTTCTTTATATGATTGAATCAGTGAACTGGATAGACTCTACCACCAAGATGTGATGTGTTGCGATGGTGGTTCTGTAGTATGTTTGGACCGTGAAAGATCAAAAAGTCTTTCAATGATTCATATTTTCAGGGCATTGCAAAGTGATCAATTTGGTACATTCTTGACTTAAAACAATCACTTGGACTTCTCCAAACTTCCCAGACTGCTAATAACATGCAATCCTACTTCTAACCAAAGTGAATAAAGCATCAAAAGGAAACCTTGGTTTCATCCCAAGTGCTACCAGCTGCTTTCACATATTGAAAGTTTGGCTCTACCACTAACAGGAAAGGAAACACTTTCAAACCTGGCAGGTGATGAGAACAGACTTCAGAACTTGGCTACACTGTCATCAGACATCAGGGGCTGGAATTAGGGCAGGGGTTCTCAACTGGTGACAATTTTGTCCCACAGGGGACATTTGACAATGTCTGGAGACATTTTTGGTTGTCACAACTGGGTGGGAGGTGTTTCTGGCATCTAGTGGGTAGAAGCCTGAATGCTACAAAACATCTCACTATGCATACTCTCACTCCCCAAACTCTGAATCTTCGGGTACAAAATGTCAGTAGTGCCAAGACTGAGAAATCCTGGATTAGCACGGAACACAGAGCAGTGTGGACTCATTGCTAAATGTTTTCCTCACTATACTGGAGGCTCCAGGTAAGTAGGAATCATTGTATCTTCAGTGCCTAGCACAGTTCCCAGTACTTAGCAGGGGCTATATTAATTTTTGTGGAGTGAATGCACTATAATAGCAGATATTAATGCAGGTCAGCTACCATTTTTCTTCACAGCAGAGCAAATATTTCTTCAATATTAAAGTCAGAAAGCAAGGTGAACAGAGAAGACATATCAGAACATGACTTTGCTTATTTGGGCATCTAGCACATCAGACACTTCCAATAAATCTGTCCCACTTCCTTCATTCCCTATCTTCCCTAGAGAAGTAACTGATGCCACATCCAGAACCTAACAATAAGTTACGTCAACTTGACCAGCACCAACATATTTCTAGAATCCACTTGCTTCTCTCCTTCCATGAAGCCTAAGCCACCATCATCAACATCTCTAATGAGTCACTTTGCTTTTGCTCTTGACCTCTAACTTCCATTCTCCACAGAGCAATAACCATATGTCCTGTTAAAGGCGTTAATCAGATTACATCCCTCTTGTGTTTAAAACTTGCTAACATCCTCACGGGGGCTTAAAACATCTTACAAAGTCTGGCACCTGCTCAACTCTGCACTACAATCATAGCGGTCATCTTCCTATTTAACCAAATTGTCCAATTCCTTTGCTTCTCAGAGCCTCTGCACTGGCCTGGGAATGCTCTTCATCTAGATCCTTACATGGCTGGCACTTTCACATAATTCAGGAAGTGGTTTAAAGTCAACTCGTCAGAGAAATTTTTTGACTGCACAGAATCTTCACCTGTGTAGTCAGACAAGTTTTCTTGTCTTTAGATTATGAGGCACAATCTGAGAGCTTTATTTGCTCATTTACGCTTGTACACTGGCATCCCTCCCAGACTGGAGTGTCAGCTTCATGAAAACAGAGAACCTGACTGTTTTGTTCTCTGCTGTGTCCCAAGCAAGCACAGTGCCTGGCACAATGTAAGAAGTCAATACACATCTGTTGAATGAATAGATAACTGAGGAATAAATCGATGAAATAAACAGTTCATATACATGAACTAGTCAGAGAAAAAAGAACTCATCTAAAAGAAAATATGTGTTAACTGTCACTTACAAAAGAGTTGCCTAGAATTTTCAAATTAAACTCCAAATAGCATCCTTTATTTAACTGCGATCAATTCAACATAAGACTGAAAATCAGAATAATAGAGGGTAGTTAGTGTTCATCTAGCACCAAGAGTAACTCAGAAATTAAATTAACAGTTTGTTAGTATAAATCTCCCTCGTTCTCTTTATGAGTACTAAATTAAAGTTCATCCTATATTTTTAAATCTGTTACAAGCAAAGAGACAATGAAATAATGAAAGTATAATGAAATAATTTTACTAATTCTTAATACATAACCATAGCAATGATTTTGTAAGTTTCCAAATATGGTTCAGCAGTGTGGACCAGCATGGCATGAAAATAAATTTAAGTGTGTTTTCCTTTTATAATTTTTATTACTGTGAAAGAAAATAATTAAGGTATTTAATATTCACAAGCAGTATCAGAGGCAAGAATACGAGTATGACATTACTGACGAAATCTGGAACATAACGCAAGTGTAATGTTGCTTTTTTTGGACCACGTGATATATCTGAATGCAACAAGGAAAGAAGCCAGAAACATGTTAGCAACGATTGGGAGGGTGAGTTGATGGTAGCATGTAGAGTCAAGCAAAGTCAGAGGCTGTGACAAACCATGCTGAATTAGCACATGCAGTTCCTCTTGGTCTGCCTCCCACCCACCTTTCCAACTGCAGTTCTTATCACTCCAACAACATCCCCAAAACTTGCAGGGTTCTAAAGTTTATATAGTCTTGGGGTATCTGTGTCCTTATTTACACCACAGCTGAGTCTAAAAGAACTTTCTGCAATGATGGAAATGATCTAATTCTGCACTGTCTATTGCTTCTGTATCGAGAAACTGAATTTTGCAAAGCATTTAATGTTAATTAACTTAAATTTAGCCACAGGCTGCCAAATTGCACAGCACAGCTCTAGACACCCTCCCTATAGTCTGCAAACTCCTGCTCGTCCTTCAAGACCCAATTCAAATGTCTCTTCCTCCAGAATCCCCTTCCTCTTCCTGTTCCCTAAATAGCAGGTTTCATGGCTTTAATGATAACCATTTATCACATTCTATTACAATCATTTTATGGTATGTTGGTCCTTCCAACTACATCAAGAATCTCTCAAGGGGACAGACTCTGCCTGACTCATCTCTAAATACTCAGTTCCGTGCTTGGCACATGAGAATTATTTGATAAATACTTGTTGGATGCTCAAGTGAAATAATGAAGCCATCTTTAGACATGAACAAATATAAGCACAGCTTACCAGAAAAGTTCTTCCCAGGGGAAGGTTTACTCCATTTATATAAGAAGCTGCAAACCAGATATAGCTTGAGCATCCCTAATCTGAAAATCTGAAATGCTCCAAATGCTCCAAAATCTGAAACTTTTTTTTTCTTTTTTTTTTTTGAGAGGGAATCTCACCCTGTTGCCCAGGCTGGAGTGCAGTGGCGCGATCTCGGCTCACTGCAAGCTCCGCCTCCCGGGTTCACGCCATTCTCCTGCCTCAGCCTCCCGAGTAGCTGGGACTACAGGCACCCGCCACCACGCCTGGCTAATTTTTTGTATTTTTTAGTAGAGACGGGGTTTCGCCGTGTTAGCCAGGATGGTCTCGATCTCCTGAACTTGTGATCTGCCCGCCTTGGCCTCCCAAAGTGCTGGGATTACAGGCATCAGCCACGGTGCCCAGCCCAAAATCTGAAACTTTTTGAGCACCGACATGATGCCACAACTGGAAAATTCCACATGTAGTGTTATGATGGGTCACAGTAAAAATGCAGTTAAAACTCTGTTTCATGGACAAAGTTATTTAAAATATTACATACAATTATCTTCAGGCTATTTGTACGAGGTCCATATAAGACATAAACAAATTTTGTGTTTAGACTTGGGTCCCATTCCCAAGATATCTCACTATGTATACGCAAATATTTCCCAATCCAAAAAAAATCTGACAACTGAACCACTTCTAGGCCCAAGCATTTCAGATAAGGGGCAGTCAATATGTATGACCTTCAGATTTGATAGTATTTCACCATATTTGTATATATGTGTGCGTGTGTATGTTTGTGTGTGTGTGTGTGTGTGTGTGTGTGTGTGTATTTGGTAGACACTGCTTACCAATGTTAAAAACAGATTTCCAACATTTCTTGAAACAAATATTAGATCTGGCAATTTTAGTCCCATATTTGGGCTTGGCAACAATGAACTAGAATGTAACAAGCAGCTGCATCATTTAGATAATAAATATCCTCTACAGAATCTTTTTTTTTCTTCTTTTTTTGGTACTTTTAGTCCACTGTTGTCATTTATGGTCTCTGTCTTTCTCCTGCAGCCATGTGACCTTACAACACCAGACAATGAATGAAGAGACAGAAATTTCAAGTTCAGACATTGATTTCTCACCGACATTAGTAAAATAACAACAGTGACAATAATAGCTGCAAAAACAACAATAATAATGGCTGGTAGTATTTATTGAACATGACATGCCAGGTATTATACTAGGCAATTAATAGACATTGTCAGATAGAATCCTCCTCCATGACCTAGAAAACAGCCTTAGCTTCATTTTATCAATGAGGATAGTGAGATGCTAAGGGGCAAGCTGAAAACAAACAGAAAGGTCTTCCCCTAGTCTGCCCACCATCAGAGTCCTCACTGCCATCTCTTCATTACAAGGCGACATCCCTCTTCACTCCTCCATGTTCCTCCCAGCCTGGATTTAGACCCAGAGCACAAGACAAAGTGGGACCTTGGGCAACTGACATAACCTTTCTGCATTTTGCTCCTCCACTCACAATGGACTTCAGAAATAAGAGCTGACATTACCTCCAGGGTCACATGCGGGCACATGAGATGATGTAGGTCAAACACTGAACTTCTCAGACACTTTTCACAAATGGAAAATGATCTCATCTGAGCAGGCAGAGAATGGCTGGACAAAGGCTGACACATCTGGAGTAGGGAGGCATGGAAAGGACTGAACTCTCTTAAGGTAAATAATGGCCTTGTGGCTTTTGCTAGCACCCACCCTCAAGGAGCCCTCATCTAGGGAGAGCATGTCTTTGTGGAACTAATACAAATTTGGCTCCATGAGGCTTGCCTAGCTTCGTGCCAGTTAGGTGATATTGAAAGGATGCAAGTCAATGGAAGGTTTAAGAATCAGCTATTGTAGGCCAGGCGCAGTGGCTCACACCTATAATCCTAGCAGTTTGGGAGGCCGAGGCGGACGGATTGCCTGAGCTCAGGAGTTCGAGACCAGCCTGGGCAATATGGCGAAACCCCGTCTGTACTAAAATACAAAAAAACAAAAAAAAAATTAGCTGGGTATGGCAGCATACGCCTGTAGTCCCAGCTACTCAGGAGGCTGAGGCAGGAGAACTGCTTGAACCCGGGAGGCGGAGGTTGCAGTGAGCCATGATGGTGCCACTGCACTCCAGCCTGGGTGAGAAAGCAAGTCTCCTTCTCAAAAAACAAAAACAAAAAAAAGAATCAGCTATTGCAGGCCTAGCACTCTGCCAGGCCAGGAGTTGGCAAACGTTTTCTATAAAGGTCCAGATACTAAATATTTTAGGCTTTGCCGGCCATAGGTAAACAAATGAGTATGGCCATGTTCCAGTAAAACTTTACTTACAAAACTAGGCCAGGGCCCACAGGTATCGTTTGCCCACAACCCCTGTGCTAGGCACCATGGAGGCAGAGCAGAGGCTCTTCACAGTCATCCGGCACAATCACCAGGGGCAAAGCATGAAGCAGCCTGTTGGATTCCCCACTCTGGTAGCCACAGTCCTCTGAGGTAAAGGCCTGGACAGCAAGAATGACTTAAGCAACAGACTTTCTTGGTGGCTCCAGCCCCAGACTCACCCCACAGGGCATGAGGAGAGTGAGCCTCTCTTTCCCATGAATGGTTCCTCCCAGCAGTTGTGCAGGCCTGTCCGCAGAACAGGTGAGGCTACATGGCCTTCAACCACGTGATGTATTGGCTCCTCTGACTAAATCAAAGTCCACAGATGATAGGCCTACAATATCCAAGAAGTTGCCAAACAAAGATGCTTAAATTGATACAGACAAAACTAAATACCTCTCCTTCCCTTGTGCCTGCTTTGACTCCCCTAGATGCCATCCCTGGTGCCACTTCACACTGAGCTATCTCCTTGCACTTGAATCCCCCATGTCTCATTACCATGTGTATATCCCAAGACGGGGTGGCTCCTGTTGTAGGCCACATATGTTTGGTTGTTGTTTGTTTTTTTTGAGATGGAGTTTCACTCTGTTGCCCAGGCTGGAGTGCAGTGGTGCGATCTCAGCTCACTGCAAGCTCCGCCTCCCAGGTTGAAGCAATTCTCCTACGTCAGCCTCCTGAGTAACTGTGATTACAGGCACCCACCACCATGCTTGGCTACTTTTTGTATTTTTGGTATAGACGGGGTTTCACCATGTTGGCCAAGCTGGTCTCGAACTCCTGACCTCAAAGGACCCACCTGCCTCAGCCTCCCAAAGTTCTGGGATTACAGACGTGAGCCACTGCGCCCGGCCAGGCCACACTGTTTAAAATCTATGCAGTCCTTCTTTGATATGATAACCTTGGGGTTGTTTATATTTCTTCCAAGTGTATGACCAACAGGATGCAGAGAAGCAAAAGTTTTCTTACTGTTTTGTCTGTTAACGTAACCTCCCATTGTCTTTATGCTTTTGTTTCTGTTCTCATTTAATCCTGTTTTCCTTCACAGGATTAAGTCTGCTCATTTCTAAACTATTGTCTGAACTTTAATATTCTAACATGTCTTAGTGTCATGTTTACTCTTCACTGTTTGACTTTCTGAGTGAAATAGTGAAGAATATGAGAGTGGAAAAGGTATTTGGAAAGATTCTAGGTTTTAAAATTTCAGCTTTAGTTGATCCTTCCTACCTGTGGGACCTTGGGTAAATGAGTGAATAATCTGAACTTGAATTGCTTCACCTGCAAGACAAAGGTAAGTATGCCAATCTCGGGAGAGGTATCATGAGGATTACGAGTTAAACATGGAAAATTCCTCTTCCAACTCAATAATAAAAACACAAAAAATCCAACTTATATGGGCACAGAATCTGAATAGACATTCCTCCAAAGAAGCTATACAAATGACCAAGGGGCATGTGGGAAGATGCTCAATATTAGCTATCAGGGATGCCTCACCCAAACAAAAGGACAATGAGATACCACTTCATGCTTATTGCTTATTCGGATGACTATAATAAAAAGTTACAAAATAACAAGTACTAGTGAAGGTATGAAGAAACTAGAATCTTCTTACACTATTGGTAAGAATGTAAAATGGCAACGCTGCTTTGAAAATGGTCTGGAAGTACCTTCAAAAATTAAACATAGGGTTACCTTATGACCCAGAAATTCTATTCCTAGTTATATACCCTAGAGAAATGAAAACATATATCCACACAAACACTTGTAATATTAACAGCAGCATTCACAGAACGATTATTCATAAGAAGCAAAAAGTAGAAACAACTCAACTGTCTATCAAATGATGAACAGATAAGTAAAATATGGCCTAGCCATACAATGGAATATTATTTAGCAATAAAAAGAAGTTTGTGAAGAGCAAAGAAAACAAGCAACATAGTGAAGAGACAATTTACAAAATGGGAGAGCATATTTGGAAACCATATATCAGACAGGGGATTAAATTCCAAAATACATAAGAAACCCATTCAACTCAATAGTACCCTCCCCTGTAAAATAACCCAATTAAAAAATGAGCAACGGACCCGCATGGATATTTTTCCGAAGGGGACATACAAATAGCCAACAGGTTTATAAAAAATGTGAAATATCACTAATCTTCAGGGAAATGGAAATAAAAACCACAGTGAGGTATCATCTCACACGTGTTAGGATGGCCATTATCAAAAAGTCAAAAGATAACAAGTATTGCTGAGGGTGTGTAGAAAAGGGAACCCTTCTTGGTAGAAATGTAAACTTGTACAGCCATTATGGAAAAGAGTACAGAGTTTCCTCAAAAATTAAAAATAGAATACCATATGATCTAGTAATCCCACTCCTGGATATAGAACCAAAGGAACTGAAATCCCCCATCCAAAAGAGATATCTCCACTCACATGTTCATCGTAGCATTATTCAAAACCACCAAGACATGGCATCAACCTAAGTATCCACTGACAGATAAATACAGACATGCGATGTATATATCAATAATGGAATACGATTTACTCTTTAAAAAGAAGGAAAGAAAATCCTGCCATTCGCAAAAACATGATAAAACTAGAAGACATTATGCCAAGTGGAATAAGCCAGACACAGAAAGAAAACTACTGCATGATCTTACTTAGATGTGTAACCTAAAATATTCAAACTGTTAGAAACAGAGCATGGAATAGTAGTTACCAAGGGCCAGGCATGGGGGAAATGGGAATAATCTGGTCAAGGGTACAAACTTTCAGTTATAAGATAAGTAAGTGCTGGCACTCTAATGTCTGGCATGGTGACTAAGGCTAATGATAATATATTGTATACTTGAAATTTGCTGAGAGAGTAGATCTTTACTGCTCTCACCATGCACACACACAAAAGGTAACTACGTGAGGTAAAGGATATGTTAATTAGCTTGGTTGTGGTAACCATATCACAATGTATACGTATGTTAAATCATCACACAGTATATCTTAAATATATATAATTTTTGTGAATCATACCTTAATCAAGCTGTAAAAAAAGAAATGAAGTGCGGATACATGCCAAAAGATGGGTGACCCTTGAAAACTTTATGGTAAATGGAAAAGACAGTGGCACACACCACCACATAATGTATGATGCCATTTATATGAAATGTCCATAACAGGCAAATAGAGACAGAAAGTAGATTAGTAGTTTCCAGGGTTATGGAAGGGGAGGAATGGGGAGTGACAGCTAATAGGCACAGGGTTTCTTTTGGGGGTGATGAAATTATTCTGGAATTAGATTGTAGTGACAGTTACACAACTCTGAATATACCTGAAATCACTGAATTGTACATTTTAAATGGGTGAACTGTATGGTATTTTAATTGTATCTAAATAAAGCTGTTACTATATGGAAAGTTCTTAGCTTCATGTCTGAGACAAAGGAAGAAATAAAAATGGTCACTACGGTTATCATTCATTCACCTGCATTTTAAAAATGCAGTCGGTTTTTCTAGAGACTTTTCACCCCTGTTATTCTGAGAATTAAAATACTCAAACATATGTGTGGTGAGGTCTAGAAGAGGAGGATTATTGTAGCCTGGAGTAGTTAGAAAAGCCCTCGAGAAGTTTAAACAGAATAAAGGAGGAGGCAAAGGAGAAATCACCAAAGGCAGCAATCTGAAAGTGAAAAGGTGGGAATAATTTGGTTCCCTGTGAGAGCCATAAGGAGGCAATTCGATTAAGCAAATGGCTCATGAATGCAAGGGATAAGTTGAAGAGAAGGCAAAGTTAGATTTCCAAGGGTCTTGGAAGCATAGGCCAAGATGTTTGGGCTTCCTCCAGCTTTGGAATGTCAGGAACTGAATTTAAGGAAAGCCATCCTGCCAGTTTATGTGGTACAAAAGGGACTGGCTGAAATCAGAACCCAGGAAGTATGAGTTAGTTAGGGCCTGAAGAAAGATAATAAGAATGGAAATAGGAAAGAAATAGCACAAAATAGTGGCTACTTCTTTTTTTTTCTCCCCCACACCCCCCCGCCCCCGGACAGCCAGTTGTTCTAAAGGGGCTATTTCTTTATGATAAAGGTGACAGAATACAGAAGAAAAAAAATCTCCCTTCCTCCTTCATCAACACCTAACAAAAGGAACAATAATAACCATAAAATCATGGTTAAAAAAAAAAAAGGGAAATTTACCAGTAAGCTCTAAATAAGGAATTAAGCACAAACTTGTGCCATAAAATTCAAAAGAGGAAACTAATTAAAAAAAAAAAAAGGAAGGCAGGAAGGAGCGAGGGAAGGTGAAAAAGCAAATAGGAGATGATTTTCATGCAATTTGAAGTTGCATCAAAATCTTCCACCTCAACTGTCAGAAACAGATTGGAGAAAGTATTTGAGTTGACAAAATTATGGGATTTCCCTTCAATATTCCCCACAATCAGGAGACAAGTAGACTGAAGTCATGATTTTGATGTAGGATTTTTCTTCTCAGTCACTTTGCAAGCTGGGAACCCCTGGCCAGTGATGCCCGTACCAGGCCTTGCTTGGCCATGCTGGTGTGCTCCAGCTTCTTGTGTTATAGCTTGTACCCGTGTTTGGTGGTTCCCTGAGCTCTTGTACCATGCCCAAGAAGAATGAGGATACACTGGACATTGAAGGGTGAGGAGGGCAGGGAAGAATTTTACTGAGTGACGAAAACAGTTTTTAGCGAAGAGGGGATATGGATTTGGTCTCCCTACCTGAAGGTGAGAAAGTTCCCCTGTGTGGCTGGGCCTGGGGCCTTTTCCAGACTTAGAATGGGAAGTGCCTGCTGATTTGTTTGTGAGTCTGCAAATAAGTCTAAAGCAAAGACACCACTCAAAGGTGGGCACAACAGTGTAGAAAACCAATTAGGAAAGCGCAGGTATATGTAAAACAGGTGAAGGGTGGGGACCAATCAGAGGAGAGCTTACCAAACAGAAAGGGAAATTCTCAATCCAGTCTGAGGATTTAACTTGTAGCTTGGCTTTCAGGCTTTAAACTCTCTTCCACTTGAGGTGGGGTTTCACTGGGGACCCACCCCTATCTGCCTAGGCATTTGCCTGCCTCCTGTTGCTATCAATTTGGAAACCTTGGTGAAGCCCCAGAAAACCCTGGGGAGTACAATCCCAGAACTTCAGCCCAGCCAAGAATAGCAATAATTATGACAGGGGCTTGGCAGGAAAAAAGAATTGATAGAACTAGAGAATGACAGCATACAGAGGACGAACTTCAAGAATAAACTGGAGATGACCCAAAGTTTCTAGCCTGGATTTTTCAGAATGGGGGTGATACCAGTAAGACCAGGGGTCAGAATAGGGGAACATTTTATGGTAGAAGGGCATGCACTCTGTTATCAGATAAATTAAGTTTGAGCAACTCATCCCTTGAATTCGTATGTCTGTATAAACCTAACCTAGTGCCTCTCACGTAGTAAGCCTTTTATAGGTGTGTGCAGGAGGGATGAGGCATATAAAATTTAATTAAATATGAACAAATGATGGTAACAATAAACTCAGATTTTAAAAAATGGTTTTGTTTCAACCACTGTGGAGTCAATAGACTCTATGAGACTTAAAAATTTTTTAATTTTAAGCTGTCTCTTAGATATTATAAAGCCACAGTGAGTCATCTTGCACTTAAAATCCAGAAAAGCCTATAAAAGAATAGAAAACCCGAATACGTAACTTCCTCCTGTGACAGAAGAACAAAAACGTCAACGTTCACAGCTTAAAGACATTTAGCACCTCAAAAAGATGTATCATAGGTAAGTTTCTATACTTGAATGATATTATATAATCATAATGCATTGGAAATTAAGTCAATTTACAAAAAAAACCCCTCAGAAATGCAAATAACAGTGCTTTGTAAAACTGTATGGCCTGTTTTCTGGAAGGTACTGTGTGATTCTGGGACTGGACTTTTCATTAAAAAGATAAGAGATTCAGGCATCAGACATGTTCAATTATTGGCTCCCTAATGAAGTTCACTATCCTGTCTAATGGATCTTTCCTTTTCAAAAGACCCCTTCCTCCTTGTGTATTCTGGCATTGCGTGTCTCTGGCATTTGCTCTATGAGAATAACTGGACAGTACAATGCTCTTGAATACAGAGAGCTGGAGCTTGAATGGACACCATAGCCCCAAGGACATGAAAACTATTTTTTGATTGTGTGTGTGTTTATAAAACTTCTTGCATAAAATCAGTCTTTGTAATTTCCTAGACTTCAAGGGCATTCTTTTCAAGTTGGGGCTTCTTAATGTGGCCCTTAAAAATCCTAAAATTAAATGCATTTTTAAGCTATCTGTGTAAATATATTAAAAATTTCCCTCATTAGGAAGTTGCCAGTTTATGGCAAAGCTTTCAGAGGAGTCTGTAACACAAAGTGGATCCAGAACCACAGCATGTAGACCCCTAAAAATTAAAAACATTGAAACCTATTTAGCAAATCTGCATGAAATGAGCCAAATTCATACTGCTTCTGTGGAGTTGGTTCCTGGAAATCTAGGCATTTAGTGGTGGAGTTACAGATGGATCTCAATGGCCTGCGTGATTTTCCCAGCCTATTGTTTTCGTATCTGATTAATTATTCTCTTAAAATTTCCATCCATAAAAAATTTCCAAAGATATTAGGATCTCTCTTCACATAGTCTTTCCTTCTTTTGAATGATGCTATTGTTGTCACTTTGAAAACTGTAAATAGCATTCAAGATGATATTTAAGTTTGTGCCAACATTTAGTGGAAATGTCTAAGTTTTGAAATAGTAGGGAGCTCACATTCCATCTGGTGTGTTTTCATTTTATCTCCTATTCTCAGTGAATTTTAAAAGTCAGCTGCAGTGTCAATACCCTTTCTGCTATGCTAATGTGACCTCCACGTGGAAATCAAAGGAAAGGAGTTCTCAGGGCAAGTGATTCTTTCTCAATTGAACTATTTAGTGTCATAGAATCACAAAGTATCAGAGCTGAAAGCAGGCTTACAGGTGACCATGATGAATACCTCTCAGTTTGAAGGGAAACTGAGCCTCAGGCAGAGGGAACTGCCCATAGTCTCATTAGCCACAGGGACAGGAGTTGAACCTCGATAGGAAGCCTTTCTGATGGCCCCATATCAGGTGGTCACTTCCTTCCCCACACTTCCATGGCCCTTTATCAGAGACCACCATCCCATGTTACTTAGCGGTTTCAACTTTGTAGCACAGTTACTGTCACTAATTTCTTACCCATGTGTAGCAGGCTAATATTTCAAAGTAATCACTGGTGTGCCATTTCCTTCCTGACCATCTCTTGGCTAAAGGGAAGTGCATCTATTGCTTAGCAGTAGTCTCCTTCACTCACCAGCTTAGCCTTTAATTCAAAAGGCGCTGCCCCAGTGTGAGAGAGAAATGATTCATGCAGGGATAAGGACACAGAAGAGTTCTAACTGCCCACCCCCAGAGTTTAAAATAGAGTTTCAAGCTGGATAATGGACAGAGTCAAGAGAGATAAAGCAAGAAAGAGTGCATGTGTACATGAGTGGGCACGTGCATGCATGTGTGTGCATGTGTGCACTGGGGCAGGGTGTGCTCTACCCTTGCCTTTTCCCCAACCCCCAGGCTGAATCCTGAGGTTGGGTAATATATGAGTTTTCTATTTGCTACTATAACAAATTTCCACAAACTCAGTGGCTTAAAACAACACAAATGTATTATCTTACAGCACTGGAGGTCAGATGTCCAAAATGGGTGTAATGGGTTAAAATTCAGGTGTTGGCCAGTCTGCATTCCTTTTTGGAGGCTCTTTGCCTTTTCCAGCTTCTAGAGGCTGCCTGAATTCCCTGGCTTATGGCTCAATTCCATCTTTAAGGCCATTGATGGCCAGTTGAATCTTTCTCATATTGCATCACTCTGACACTACTTATTTTGCCTCTCTCTTCCACCTCTGTGATTATATTGAGTCCACTTGGATAATCCAAGGTCATCTCCTTATCTTAAAGTTGGCTGACTAGCCTCTAATTGAATCTTCTACTTTAATTCTCTTTTACCATCTAACATATTTACAGGTTCTGAAAGATTGGTACATAGGCACCATTTGGGAGGCTATTATTTGGTCTTCCACAGCTGACTCACTGCAAGCCATCCCTTTGAATTTGAGACTCTAAGAGTAGATTGAATGTGCATTCAGCTTTTTCCATCCAGAATTCTGGTAGTACACAGCTTTGCAAAGAGAATAATGAAGGACTATAGCAGCAACATGAATGTCTGCTGGAGGCACCTAATTTCCTGCAGGTCTTAGCAAAGTATGTAAGAACAGACAAGTTTTTTTTGAGCCCATGAGAAGAACTCTGACAAGCTGGCAAAGGCCAAAGAGTAAGTGTCCTTCATGTGCTTGTGACAAGAGACTATGTCAGGACCATGGACACCTCTAGGAATGTAGGAGGCCAAAGGTCACCATCCTGCAAAGAATGATGGCATTCCTTACGGGTATCAGAATGGACCAAAGATGCACACAAGGACCAGGCAAAGTGGATTACTTGGACACCAGAGGCCAAGGAAACAACAGCCAAGGACAACAGAATCCCTGCCTACCCCACACGACATGTTGCTCATTAAGGCCCCAGAATACAGAATCTGAATTGAGAGATTATAAGCCAGAATATGACTGAATGAATTACAGGCCTGAACTGACAGAAACGGCACTGAACTTGCTGAGCAAAACCTGGCCCAGGGCTGATGAGATGGTTTGCTTTCACAGCCAGAAATTCAACTGAACTTTGGGAGTCAAGAACATTTCATTTTTTAATAGTCCAACTGGTGACTGTGAAAGTAATCATTGTTATACTTGGCACTCAAATGAACCTCAGACACAGCAAGAGTTGACTTGGTGATTGAGAAGAAACTGGAGACAAGACAAAACAAATGGGAATATAAAACTGTAGACTATCACATCAGCACAACTGGCTAGTTTATTTTTATTTATTTATATTCCTTTTTATTTTTTTGAGACAGAGTCTCGCTCTGTCACCCAGGATGGAATGCAGTGGCACAGTCTCGGCTCAGTGCAAACTCCACCTGCCGTGTTCAAACAATTCTCCTGCCTCAGCCTCCTGAGTAGCTGGCACTATAGGCACGCACCATCGACCCAGCTAATTTTTTGTATTTTTAGTAGAGATGAGGCTTCACCATGCTGGCCAGGCTGATCTGGAACTCCTGATCTCATGATCCGCCTGCCTTGGCCTCCCAAAGGGCTGGGATTACTCGCATGAGCCACTGCGCCCGGCCCTACTTTTTATTTTTTTAGGTGGAGTCTGGCTCTGTCACCCAGGCTAGAATGCAGTGGCATGATCTCAGCTCACTGCAACCTCCTCCTCTGGGGTTCAAGTGATTCTCCTGCCTCAGCCTCCTGTGTACATGCGATTATGGGCACGCACCACCACACCTGGCTAATTTTTGTATTTTTAGTAGAGACGGGGTTTCACCACGTTGGCCAGGCTGGTCTCAAACTCCTGACCTCAAGTGATCCGTCCGCCTCTATCCCAGGGAGTATCTTTATTTTTTTTTCTAACAAGTCAAAGAGTAGAAATACCAAAAAAGTCACCTCTTTGGGTGTTTCAGCTACTTAGCTAGCTCACACACACATGTATTTCCCATGAGGTTTTGATCAAAACTAAAGTCAATTTTTTTCACTAGGTTCACCAAACAACTGCCAGTAAATATTGGCTTCTGCCAATGAATGAAAAAGAACACAGGATGTCTGCTCTTAAAAAGTGACCCCTGATGTTTCCTTCACATTATCAAATTATTGCATACTCATTATATTATGTTTGGGAAATGCAAGAGAATATGAAGAAAGGAACAGGAGTGTAACATTCTATTTGAAGCTACAATCTCTCTTAATTTCAAGGTACATGTGCTTCCATTCCATTCTCCATTTATATGCCACTCTTTCCATTCAATATTATATCCCAATGTATTTTTTCCCAGTGAATTTAGAAAGCTTATTTTGCCAAGGCTGAGGAGGTGCACCTGTGACACAGCCTCAGGAGGTTCTGAGGACATGTGCCCAAGGTGATCAGAGCACAGTTTGGTTTTATACATTTTAGGGAGACATGAGGCATCAATCAACATACATAAGATGAGCAATGGTTCATTCTGGAAAGATGGGACAACTTGAAGCAAAGGCAAGAAGACTCTAAGTGGGGAGGGAGCTTCCAGGGCATAGGTAGATAGGAGACACATGGTTGCATTCTTCTGAGTTTCTGACTAGCCTCTCCAAAGGAGGCAATCAGATATGCATTTATCTCAGTGAGCAGAGGGGTGACTTTTAATAGAATGGGAGGCAGGTTGCCCCTAAGCAGCTCCCAGCTTGACTTTTCCCTGTAGCTTAGTGATTTGGGGGCCCCAAGATTTCCTTTCACATTTCCCCCCCTTCTCTTTGAAAAAATCTTTTGGAGGAAGCATTTTAGAAGAAAATGAGTCTCTGGTCTCAGGTTTTGTCTCATCTCTCATGGCTAGGATGGCTTATTCCTAGATGGGTAGGTCTTGAGTTATTAGGTATGTTCATTTTTAGCAGGTTGTAAGTCTCATGTTCTATAAAGAAAAAATAGGGGGAGGAAGGAAAAAACAACAACAACAAACAAAAGAACAAGCCTGTAAAATCCATATAGGCCATATTACTCTGAAGTCCATACATCAGTAGGCAGGTATGAAAGTGGCTTATGTATGTAAATAGGTTGCTGTTATCTTTTTCTGAAGTTTCCGTTGTCTAGCTTCAGTTCACTTGGCTTTACGAAAGCACAGCTTAGTTTTTGGTGACTCCAAATTAGGAAAGATGGGAAAAAAAAGAAGGAAAAAAAATTGAAAACATTGTTTTGCAGACTTGTAGCCCAGAAAAATTAGAATTCATTCCAAACCACAGAAAATAATAAAAACAGGCAAGACTAGAATCTAACAACAGGTATACTACAGTTTTTGAAATATAACTTTTCTCTCTCCAGTTTCCCATTTTTACTAATGATAAATCATGGTAGGACTAATTTGCTTTATTATTCTTGGTCTGATTATTTGTGTACAGTGTTATATCATTAATATTATTCATAAAAACTCATTTGATGGCTACATAGATGAATATATAGTATTAAATATATTCCTCTATTATTTGGCATTTAAATTGTTTCCCAGGTTTAGATTTTTCAAATTAATTAGATCAGTTGTCCAAGTTTTATAGACACACACTCACACACACTCTGATGTAAACTGGAACCATAATGCAGGTAAGAGCATTTTGAACGTAGAGGGGATGACACAGAAATGCCTGGTATTCTCTGGGTTGGGTGTAGACACAGTTCCATACATGAAGGTGTGTGTTGACCAGCCTATTTTGGATTGTCTATCTTGGAGAGTACTGGTGGGCCTTTTAGGGGAGCAATTTATCAAGCTAATTTTCAGGGAGATTCCAGAAACGGGTACAGGGGACAGAGCTGGCCTTGGTGATTTGATTCTGGAGTTACCCACAAAGTTCCACTGTGCCTCTAGACTAAGCCTCATATTCCAGCTTTAAAATCCCATTCTTTTCTCAGCAGGCTTTGTTGGTTTGAAAAAATACCTTGGCATCTCAGGAAGGACAACAATTTGAACTACTATTGTAATAACTGAGGTAAAAGTTCTTTCTCAGGGGGAGGTTTTGACAGGAGGCAGGCAGTGCCCAAGAAGTGGGGAGACTTGCAGCTGATAAAGGAAAGCCACGGACCTGAGGATTCGGAGAACCAGGCTTTGAATGCAGGGGGCTGGGGAAGTGCCAGGTTCAGCTCAACAGTCATTTCTTGACAACCTACTCTATTATGAAGTGGTATTTTTTGGGTGCCGGGAGGCAGAGACGATGAAGATGAGTAAGATGCCTCTGGTAGTTCATAAAGGCAGCAGAGAGAAAAGAACCCAGACTCTGGAGCCAGACAGCCTAAGTATGAATCTCAGGTCTGTTTCTTACTCTCTCTGTGTCCTCAGAAAAGTTTTCAAGTCTGCCTATGCCTCCGTTTCTACACATGATGGAGATAAATGTACCTTAATGCCCAAATGAGCACTTCATTGTATCTACTAACTCATCAGTATGCTAATGTCATTATCATATCACAGTCTCCCTCCACATTTGAGGTATCTCCAACTAATGAAAATTTTGTTTCCAGCCTCTTTCAAGGAGTCCAATTCAGCCTTATCCCAGATCACCAATAGATGAAACTAGCCCAATGCCCCAGGGAAAGAAGGTAAATGGTAGACACCGCATGTGGATGGAAAATAATTTAGGAAAACAAGTGCAGTTGTTTATTCCAGGTCACGAAAAGGAAATTCAGCCTCAGTCTTCAATATCAACTGATAGGGTCAAGATTACCAGAGAAGCCAGCTGAAATTTCATATATAGATTTGACCTAAATGTGCAATGTCCTTTCAATAACTCTGAAGAGCTTACTAAGAGAAACAATTTTTTAGAGTCGCTAAAAGGAAATTCAGCCTCAGTCTTCATATCAACTGATAGGGCCAAGATTAACAGAGAAGCCAGTGAAATTTCATATATAGATTTGACCTAACTGTGCAATGTTCTTTCAATAACTCTGAAGAGCTTACTAGAAGAAACAATTTTTTAGAGGGAAAATATATGTTGGAGCAAGGTTACATTTCCGTGCAAAGGGAATATTCTATGAGTTCCTTAGTTACCACTAATGTAAGAAGGATTTCCAGCAGGTACTGGTGCAACTGGCCTACAAGATATTTATGGTCCATTAAGAGTTGTAAGCAAGACTGTTTCTTTTTCAGAAAAAAAGCAATTTTCTCTTAAATATTTTAGTGTGTTATGACATGAATACACTATAGGGCAAGCAAAAGTATTTAAGTGGTTCAGCACACAAAACCAGCTCCAAAAGGATGACCTTGGGAATTTTAGAAGCTTGGCTAGAGCATGTTGATGACTTCCTTGTGTTTAACAAAAACTATAAAAAGGAGTTATAATAAAGTACCTAGATGGGGACTACTGGGCCATATCCTAAAAGCAGAGAAAATTCCTGACTTTGTAAAATGTCATTTCTTTCACTGTAAGTCTAAATTACTGGTAGTGTGTCTAGGACTTATAAATTTATTGGAAATCCAGTGTGTGTGTTGTGTGTCGTGTGTGGGTGTGTGTGTAAATGTCTCTAAGGTTGAACAGGGATATGAAAACCATTTGGGATTTAGTACTGGAAGTCCCAGTGTCTAAGAAAATCGCTTTTCTCCCTATACATGGGTTTTCCATAAAATTGAAGGATAATATTTTCCTTAGGCTAAAGCAAAGGGTGATAGAAACAGGGACGGCTTTGTAGTCAAACAGACTTTGATATAAACAAGCTTTGCCATGAGCTGGTTATGAGGTTTTGACATAGATATTTACTCTCTGCAAATTTAGTTTCAATTCAATGGTATGAATGATATGCTTGGCACCTAGCAGACAGTCCAGCCCAATGTGTATTCTCATTGACAGTAATAATTTGATTATTATTCTCAAATATTACATTTATTTAAAATAGATGTATTACTAGTCTCAGTGTATTCTCAATGACAATAATAATTGTATTATATTATTATTTTTCATTAGTGCTCTCCCTAGGAGCAAAGACTGCGAACTATAGTTGTTTATGACCACTAACCTTACACTAGAAGCCCAGTATG
The DNA here is from genome assembly GCF_000001405.40 of Homo sapiens. Classification (NCBI taxonomy): domain Eukaryota; kingdom Metazoa; phylum Chordata; class Mammalia; order Primates; family Hominidae; genus Homo; species Homo sapiens. The sequence goes on from NC_000003.12 coordinate 59,913,742, forward strand.
ATTGGGTATTTTTCCCCCATTTTAAATATGGGAAACATAAGATACTGAGATTTAAATAGCAAGTTAAACATTAAACAGTTTGCAATAAACCACTATGTTGACTCAAGGTGGAGAGAATTTAGAGCTACACAGGTATACCAGCTATTTCTTGATTTCCTTGATTAGAAAGAAAATCTGGCATCATTCAAATTCCTATTCTAAATCTGGGGAAGGTCATAACAGTCTCCACAAACAGCTGCTTGCCAGTAAGCTGAAGCAGTTTGAAAGCATTCTAGAGCAAAACCATCCAGAAGAAATCTAATGCATGATACATATGTTATTAAAAGTGTTTGGTAGCAACACCAAAACAAGTACAAAGAAACAGGTGAAATTAATTTTAGTGATATAATTTTTAACTCAACATTACCAAAATATTATTTCAACATGTAACTATTATAAAACATTATTAATGAGATATTTACTTTTTTTTTGGTAGAAGGCTTTGAAATCCAAACTGGATTTTACATTTACAACGCATCTCAATTCAGACTGGTCACAGGTGGCTAGCTGCTACCAAATTGAACATTAATGGTAGACGTCACCCCGCAGTGACAAAAATATAACCACATTTGAACACTCAAGCCGGGATTCTAAACATCAGGCTATGTTTCCAGGACTCTATGTCTCCAAAAGCAGGCAACTTGGAGGCCTTAGGATTCCTTCCTGCTGGCATGTGGCACATGAATGAACCTTGCTCCAAGCTAAGAGGTTACGGGATTTATTTATACAGGTTGTTTGAATTACGTGTATCATTCTTTTGTCTAAAGAATGACAGGTGATAATTTAAAAATAAAAACATTTACAAATGCTTTGGGACTTTAAAATTGTATTAATTTTTATCTTCTGTTTCCCCCTAATTCTTGCTTATTTTGATTTTCTTCATTAAAAGAGAGATAAAGTTAAATGTTTGGGGGCTTTTCACTTTGGGGCCATTATAATTTATATTGAGGGAATCGTGTCAATGCTTAATTCATATCTGTTTTATCTTTACCTAGTTTATCCATTTCTGATCATAATTTATTTTTCCAATAGTCTTTTTTTTTTTCTATCCTTAATCCCTATACTCTCATTTCTCTAAGTAAAATAGATTTGGAAAAACTACTGAGGTCTTGGTAGTTTGCTTTAGCAGGTTAACTCCAAACTTATCAAAACTTTTTGGACAATTTTAAGTGACTGTTTATTAATAGCTATGTCAAGAACCTTGAATGTAAACCTAAGATTTTTTTAAACACTGAAACAGCCCATTATTCAAGCACTGTAGTTAAACTTAGGTTTCATTGCAGCAGCCACTGTGAGACTGAGAGCAGAACTGTGAGAAGCAGGTAGGAAGACAGATGGACTCCAGCAACAAGGACACCTCGGAGGAGGCATTTTCCTCCTTCACCGGCAAGCACCTTAGAGCTTTCTGATGGAATGTATCTGGTTGGAGCGAGAATTCACTGTGGAGGGCAGATAGGACTCTGCACAAGAAAGCCTGATTCGTGAAATAATGAGAGAGGACCACATGGAGTGGTTTGATAGAGTGGATTTACTATGGATGCTATGGATAGAGTGACACGTGATTAAATTTTTCTTATTTCTCACTAACATGCGATTGAACGTATTCAAACAACATAGGAGAGCAATTTTGGGAAACTAATCTAGGGTGGCTTACCTCAAAGCAAACTCTAGGAAAAAGCCATGGCATCCTTTGCCTTGAAGCTCAACCTGTAGATACCTGCATCCTCCTCATCAAGCACTCTTCAGCCTTCTTTCATTACTTTTCCTCTTTAGTGTCCAATGACTTCATGATCTTCCTTGGAGGCTCCAGCTCACCATCACTACCATTATAGCCCTCCATGCTTCTCAACATTCCTCATTTGCTCAGCTCTAGCCTGGGCTGGGCACAGTGGCTCATGCCTATAATCCCAGTACTTTGGGAGGCCAAGCCAGGAGGATTGCTTGAGGCTAGGAGTTTGAGACCAGCCTGGACAACATTGCGAGACCTGTCTCTACAAAAGCATTAGCCAGGTGTGGTGGTATGTGCCTGTAGTCCTAGCCACTCAGGAGGCTGAGGCAGGAGGATCACTTGAGACCCGGGGTTTGAGGCTGTAGTGAGCTATGATTGGGCCACTGCTGGCCAGCCTGGGCAACAAAGTGAGACCCTGTCTCTTAGGGAAAAAAAAAAAAAAGAGTTAATAAAATGACTAACCTGAATCATATATTGTGACAGTTAATATTGAGTGTCAACTTGATTGGACTGAAGGATGCAAAGTATTGTTACTGGGTGTGTCTATGAGGATATTGCCAAAGGAGATTAACATTTGAGTCAGTGGACTGGGAGAGGCAGACCCACCCTCAATCTTGGTGGGCACCATCTAATCAGCCGTCAGCATGGCTAGAATAAAGCAGGCAGAAAGTGGAAAGAGCTGACTTGCTGAGTTTTCCGGCCTTCATCTTTCCCCTGTGCTGGATTCTTCCTGCCCTCGAACATCGGACTCCAAGTTTTTCAGCTTATGGTCTCTTGGACTTATACCAGTGGTTTGCCAGGGGCTCTCGGGCCTTCAGCAACAGACTGAAGGCTGCACCGTCAGCTTCCCTACTTTTGAGATTTTGGGACTCGGACTGGCTTCCTTGCTCCTCCGCTTGCAGATGGCCTATTGTGGGGCTTCACCTTGTGATCATGTAAGTCAATACTCCTTAATAAACTCTCCTTCATATATACATCTATCCTACTAGTTCTGTCCTGCTAGAGAACACTAATACATATATTATCTGAATATTTGTTTCTGTGAGAAAAATGGGCACAAATAACTTTTAACCAGATAAATGCTTTTCTGCTAATTTTGTGTCTCTCTTTTGAGGAACATAGAGATTTAGCTCAGTAATAATCTGACATAGGATAGGGTAAACCAGATGCTTACCCAGCTTTCTCATTACTAAAATAGGTAGTCAAAGAGCATTCATAGATACAGAGGGAGCATTTGAGGTCATAGGTCATTAAATTAGCATTACTATATGCTTATTTGTTAGTTTTATCACATCTGGTTCTTTGAATAAAAAGTCTCCATTAATTTAGAAGAACATATCAAGTTGTTATCTTATTCTGAGTGAGAGACACCAAAGTTTTCATTCCAAAATTCTGAAATACCCAGAAACTTACCACTCAGTGGGAGGACATCAGTAAACCCAGAAGACAAAAAGCTAATTAACTGTCTCACTGAAACATTCCTTCCTTTTTGAAAAGTCAACTAGGGACCCATGGACTCTGAGCCCATTGTCAAATGCCGTGTGAAAGAGATCCAAGTTCAACAACAAATATCATCAGCAATATAATGGTTCTCTCCAGCCCTCAGGGCCAAATGGCCTGCATTTTAGCAAGTTGATTTTGCTCATGAATTGTGTTAAGCCAAGCAATTGTTTCCCATGACATGCTTGAACCCACAGTTGCTTTGTCTATGAAATTCATGGTTGAATTTGTCCAATTGCTGATTGCTATTCCCACTTGCTTTAGTAATAGTCACTTCCTTCATCAGTAATGGGTTTTATATACAGTGCACAGTCACAACCATTCAATGTCACCCATAAGCATTTGATGAATTGTCCAATACAGTTATGAGAGTTGGTTATTTGGGATACAGCTAGGGTAAGTCTTACTGAGTTAATGAAATGATATGACATTAGGCCATGGGTGTTTCCTCCCCCACATTGGCTATACACACTCTTTTATCTAAGGACGCATTTGGGTCATTACCATAATCTTCATCAACTTGTCAAGATAATGAAGGGCCCATTGAGTTCAGGGAAGGCTTGGCATAATTCATGAAAATTTAAAGAACATAGATGTAGAAAGAGTTTGGGAGCTACAGATAAATAAGATCTGCATAGACAACCACAAAGGAAGAGCTTCAGCAGACAATCTGCTTTGGAAGGGGGAGAGTTTGAGCTCAGTTTTGAGACAGAAGAGAGGCTCATACTCTGAAATGTCTAAGACATACTGCTGGAGGAACAGAAGGTGAAAACAAACTTAGAGATGATAATCAAGATTGGAAAGAAAGGAAGAGTAGCTCTCGAGCCTGCTTTCAGCAAATCCTACATCTGTATTTGTTATAGCCACCACACAAATCTAGGTTTGGTGGGAGGGGGCAAGTTAGTTATCAACTTCGACATGTGCCTATCAGACTTGCTTAGCAATCAGACAAGGTTTATAATTGCTTCCGCTAACCTTTCCAGAGTACCACAATTTGTAGCCTTCTGCACACTGATTTCTGACCAAAGGATTCTGTTCCATCAATGCCCCATTAAATTCACCTCAGATGGCTGATGGCACCATGTCGAAGTCTCACCCAGTGTGGCTATGAGTTAGTGAATTGACCGTCTGAAGAGCAATATATAGTCTCCTTTTAAATTATGTTAGAACTAGCAGAGAATTTCAGGTTCTTCTAGTTCAACACCTTGTTTTTTTTTAAATGTGTTCATTCATTTTCAAATATTCACTGAAGGTCCACCCTAGGCCAGATTAGATCCCTGCCCTAAAGACTGTAACACATAATTGGGGGATGCAGGTATTGAATAATAAAGTAATAAATTATGTCAAGTGTGGGAGGTGTTAAGAAGGAAATAGGTATGGCGATATAGTAGAGTTACTCTAGAGGGGACAGAGGATTAACTATTACAGATGAAATCAGAGAACAGTGAAAAGGACCCTTTGAGGAGGTTCTGCACATGTATCCCAGAACTTGAAGTTAAAAAACAAAAAAAACTCACCTGGGGCCAGAGCACTGTAAATGAATAGGCAGGGAGATTAAACAGATGTTTCAGTTAAACAGCATGCCCAGTATACCAGACAGAAGATCCTGGGGAATAGTAATCTTTGAGTAGCAGAGAGAAGAGGAGCAGCCCATGAAATAGGCAAGGATCTTAAACTCCAATGCCTTCAGGAGCTATGCATGCACCATTAGCCAGTGAAGCAAGCCTAGGTAGAAGGCAGTCGTGGCAACTGTATAGGCCTAGAGAATGAGCAATATGCCTAACAGCATTCAAACTCATTAAAAAATACTTTACAGTCACAATAAAGCAAATCACCAAAAATACTTTGCAGGCAAAAATAAAACACATGTGAAGAGGCAAGCAAAGCCCAAGGACCATCAATATGCAATGCTGAGCTGCAGGAAAAGCAGGAAGTAGGCTGGGAATGAGAAAAAAATAAATACAGTGTGGTTTCCTCTAAGTTAAAAAGAAAAGGTTTTACCTTTTATTTCCATGAACTTAACAATGAAAACAATATGTTTCACTAGGCAGTCACCCAAACATTGCAATACTGATCACAAAAAACCCCCCACTATTTGTTACAGAACTTGTAAAACCTGAAAATGGCGGTAATGATCAAATGGGTCAAATGTGTAAAGAGAGGCACCACAAATCCAAGTGGCCCATGCACTGACCAAATGTAGATATCCTCTTGAAGAATTGTGGCCATGTGCTCTGTGCTTGAGTGAATCCAGGGATGGGAAGCTCACCCCCTTGGAAGGCACTCTTTAAGTGTTCATTTTTTTTCACTTTGACCCGTTATTATGGAGAGCTAATGATATCTGCCACTTTGTAGTCCGATACTCACAGATCTGCCCTCTGGAGCCACATAGAATGTATTTAATATCTTTCCACCTGCCAGCCCTTCAGATATTTGGAAACAGTGACTCTGTTACTATCTTCCCTCTACAAGTCTTCCTTTTTCCAGGCAAAACATTCCCACCATCAATTAGTCTCCAAATCTGTTTTCAGACCCAACCACCTTTCTTATGAACCTTCTTATTTGTCACTAACCATCTTAAAACAGTGCCTAGAAAGAACACAATGTTCCTAGCCAATTTATACTCTGGGGCTTCTTTAGGCATAATTTTCTATGTCTGCAGCAGTAGAAATACAATTACATTTTATGGAGCTCAGTCTCCTGCTGTTCCTGTTTCCTACCTCCCACCCTCCAAGGCAGTCTGTTTGTTGAATGTCCTGAACAGATGCATAATCTAGAGCAAGTGCTCCCATCAATATAAAGAATGCCATCCCTCATCACTCCATCGCTTCTGATTAAGATCATTTGGTCTAATGTACATTAAGTTCTATTCCAATAATGCCTGTGCGGTACTGCATGCTTTTCATGCCTCTTTCTGGACACTGTGTTATTAGATACTCAGCCTGGAGAAACATTTCCATACAAAGAGGAAGATAAAACTGAGAATGAATGGTTAAAGGCAAAGAGAAAATTGGGAATCTCACCCTTGGAAAGAATGGTAGATGGGAACATCCAATGACCTGGCTTTGAATCTGGTTCTCTATTTACTAACCATTGCTACTTAAAGAAAAATAGTAATAATAACAGTAAGAACAGAAACTACTATCTATTAACAAATTCTTGGTAAGTACCAAGCCCTGAAATAAGCCTTTCAGGCTACAATATCATATGGTTAGTAGATGCCACTGGGATTTGAACTTACTTCTGCCTGTTTCTAGACTTCAATCTCTACATAGTCTTGTACCACAATTTCCCTTAGTGGATACTGTCTATACTACATATGACTTATACCACTGATTTTTAAAAAAAGAAAAACTCTCACAGTAATTACTTCTCCTGAGATGATCCTCCAAAATGTGGGAAGTAGAAACATGTGTTTTCTTTTCTGTGGGGCCATCAGAGCATGCAGACAAGGGCAAAGGAATAAGACAGGAGAGAGAGGCCATACACCAACCACAGCACTGTACATTGTGTCTTGAACTGGGCTGAAAAGTAACCATGCAGCTTCATTTTAAGCACAGTTGGAACATCGACAAGATTTCAAGGTGACTGTTCAGCCTAAGGAAACAGTGTTTTCAAGCACTTTTATGCTACTTTAGCAGTATTTACTAGTATATAATTCACGTGCTAATTTATTCATTAAAACAGTCGTATTTGGCAACATTAACCTTAGTTTACATTAGTGAGATTGGTATTTGTATTTTAATTACATCTCTTTATAATTACTCTATAATTCTGATTTTCTTCCAATGTGAACTAAGCCCTTATCAATCCCCAAACTGCATTCCACATCCAACGAAAATGAGTTCAAATTATAGTTTTACAGAAAATGGCTTTGTAAAACCCAGAGAGCCTATTCCCAAAGGTAGTCATGCATCAGAGTCTCCTGGGGATTTCCTTATACAATGACTGATTCCTGAGTGCTGTGCAATCTACTTGATCAGAATCTCCAGCGACGGGACCTCCTGGGAATTGAGACCTGCAGCAACTGGTCCACAAATCAGCACTTAGGGACTGGTGACTAGACTATTTCCACTCTACACACATCCAGTACAGCTCTTGGAAAACATACAAAGCAAAAGATAGTAAGGGTTATCCTAAAGGCAGAATAACCAGCCACCTCACGGAATCCAATGTGTTCCAGAAACATTAATTATACGTTTCATTATTAACTGCTGACCTATTGTTCTTTATTTTCAGGGTTTGAGTTGCTGTTTTAATTTCATCACTGCAAAGAAGCCCTATAGACACACACACACAAAAAGATGCATAGATTTTAACTGGTCCCTGGAAACAAGGTAGAGATAATCATGTGGTTTATTTGATAGAGCCACATGATAAACAATCGAGATAAACAATGTGTTTTAAAAAGCATTCTCAAAGAGTTAGAACAGGAATGTCAAAAAGACGGCAAATATGATACCTACCTCCTATCCAATGCCCTTGGCAGGCGTTGCTAATCAATCACAGCATTTTTCCTTGCATCCACAAACAGCCTCAAAGTCCATTTAACCAATCACTCCAGGGCACTAGTGCTATCTAATCTGCTCTACCGTGTGGGGGACATACTTTCTCCTCTTTGGCTACAATAAACAGGTAAATTGAAATCACCTTATAACAGCCTGATCCATGACAGGCTGTATGCTCCACAAGGTGGAAATGGGCATCTGAAAGTTCTCATGTAGACAGGGCTTTAGGCGCAGATCACCTGGCTCTTGCTGGTTCATGTTTGTAGTGGTTTCACACTTGTATCTTTGAATGGGAGTACTTAGAAATAAATTAACTGCTTTAATATTTATGATATGTGAGTTACACTTACTCAAACCAACCTAGTTTTTGCTCATGATAATTTACAGTTTCACTTTGAATAAATGCTGTTGGGAAAGACAAGCTGAGTTCCAAAGTGTTTTAAAAATTAAGTGTAGCATTTGACTAAAAGAATCATATATCAATCTGCTTGATTTCCAGTGGTAGCACTGTAGGTTTTCTTCTATGGAGATTCTGGGCCATATCTCCATGCAAATATTTACTGTCCTGGTAAATGACAGGATAGAAATCACAAGGACACTTGGTTTCTGCTGGTTTTCATTTGAAAAAGAAAATCATTATAATTAATTAGTCATGGGTTCCCACGATGGCCATTCTTGACTCCTTGGCCTCTATTGCCACTTTCCAAGTCTGGCTAAATAGAATTCCATTTCAGACCATATCTAGGGTAATACTTGATTCATTAGGTTGATGTCATCCCACCGACAGTCCCCGTGATCAAACAATAAGATCAGAGAGAACAGACCCACCTCCTCATAGATGCTGTCATTCCTGTGAAAGTCTCCAGCCTTCCTGGGAAGAACATGGACGTGAACGTGCTGAAAATGTACAAGAAAGAAAAAAAATGTGATTATCTCCCCATGTATTTTTAGACTTGACAGTGATGCTCTCATGAAGCCCAATTACTCCACGATGGTTCCTGCTGGGTTATTTTTCAGAGGAAGTTGATATCCACCTTCGGTAACTATACCTGAAATCTGCCGAGAAGAGAGTGCACTAAGCAAGAGAGAACAACTTGGGGTATATATGAGAGTTGGTGCGAAATGCTAGAGTGTTTCAGAGTCTCTGTGGAATTATTCATGGTTGTCAGTCTTGGTTGTAGTTAGCCAGTGCTTTGAAATGACAGTGCATCTTCAAAGGTGACCATCATGACTCTGAAACTGACAAGAAATAAGAATTGGCTAACAGAGAACTGCATAAGTAAAGAGCGAGTGAATGAGGTAGCAAGTAGTATGGGCAGAATTACAGACTTGGGGCTTCGAAAAATAATCATATAATAGTAATACAAACAGTTCTCATTTAGTAAGCATTTATTTCCTATGATAAGGAAAGCTCTGTGTTTGGCATTCTTCATTTAGTACTCTTAAAAATCCTATGAGGTGGCCGGGCACGGTGGCTCATGCCTGTAATCCCAGCACTTTGGGAGGCCGAGGTGGGCGGATCACGAGGTCAGGAGATCGAGATCATCCTGGCCAACACGGTGAAACTCCGTCTCTACTAAAACTACAAAAACAAAAACTTAGGAGGCTGAGGTGGGAGAATGGCCTGAAACCAGGAGGCGGAGCTTGCAGTGAGCTGAGATCGCGCCACTGCACTCCAGCCTGGGCGACAGAGCGAGACTCCTCAAAAAAAAAAAAAAAAAAAAAAAAAAAAAAATCCCGTGAGGCAAGGTCTACTATGATCTCCACTTTACAGAAGAAGATATCAATGTTCGGTGAGGACAGGGCGCCACAGGAAGTAAAAGTCAGCACCGGAAATGAGGTTGCCTGGCTTTGGCTCCTGTGTTTCATTAGCACATGCACTGATTCTGCGAACTTAATCTTTTAAATAGCCCATTTCTCTAGTCTACTAAAGCACCCAGGTAATATACATAGCAATGCTATTATGCAATGATGGTGAATCAGGGCTCAGAGCATATCTAATTCAATATATTCTTCAAAGCTAAACTGCTATTTGAAAGTTTTACTTTCCAAATAGCCTCTATTGTACCTCGGCTGAAGTTAAACCTCATTTCTGCCCTTGAGCTATGTTCCACTTTTATTACAAACCGTGGGGAGGAATGCGAAAATGAAGAGCTTAAATAGAGAGAGGCAGACAGAGGGTCAAACCTCATCCCTGATCACCCACCCCTTCCTGATTACTGCGATCGGGTTCCGAGGCTCCAAAAGGCCTCAAGAGAACGTAAGATTTAAGTGTCCCTGTGGCTTCGCTGTACAAGGAGGGGGAAAGTGACACGCTATTAAAGCCGAGGCAGGGTGCAACGTGGTCCAAGGTGAATGAAGCAGAGAGGAGCTTCAAAGCAGCCCCTGAGCACAGTTCCCAAAGAGTGACACGCTTTTGCCAGAATATTCGCCAGTCAATGATAAAGCCAGTCACGGATCTCTCAGCAATTGGGCCAAGTGTGCACTTCAGTCACAAAGATTACGTGAGCATGGAGAGAGAAAGTGAAAGAACAAACAAGGAAAAAATAAATCACAAACTACCCATGAAACCAAATTCTTAGGAGAAAGCCAGGCAGGTGGGCCTGGGCTGAAATCTACTGAAATCTCCAGATGGGCTGACTTAAAAGCAAAACCAGGAAAATAACGTAGAACAAGGATACAGACAACCCTTAGAAGGAGCCTTCACTCACTCTTTAATTCCAGAATCTCCTGCCATCCTTTCTTCTTCTCCTCTTTTTGTCCTTTCTTCTTTCTGTCCCCCTCCTCCTTTCTTCCCCTCTTCCTCCCTCCCATCCATCCATCTTTCATCATCTCCCTTATACATTCTAGGAAGTTCCAGACCAGTGTCTTCCAGTCAAACTTCCTAACACAAATCCTGGACCTACCACAAACTAACTGTGTGACCTTGTCTCACAAAGTCTATGTGTCAGTATCTTATCTATATGGGGATTATAATGGTTGCTACCTCACAGGGTTGTTAAGAGGATTAAGTCTGCTAACCATGTGCTGAGCATTCAGCTTTGCATGTAGTTAGTACTCATTACCTAGAACTGTACAAGAATTAGTTTTATTATTTAAAAAAACAAATTTAAACCTGAAGATCAAGTAGACATCACATTCAGGGATTGATTTCTGCACCAGCAAAAAAATAAAATAAAGATATTAAGAAGCTCCTTGAATGAGGGCATTGTTCAAGCATCTCTTTTGTGAAAGCTGATTTCTGTTGCTTTGACTAGCCATTCTCAATCTTCCACCTGTACTTGGGGCTTATTAAAATGCAGACTGCAGGGCCCTAAAAGTCTGCATTTCTAACAAGCTCCCAGCTGATGCTGGTCTAATGCCACACTTTGAGAACCACTGGCTTACAATATCCACCTGGTTTCTTACCTTGCTTCTGCCAGTGTGGGCACGGAGGTCACTTGCTGTTTTGCCTGCCCTACTGCATTATGTGTAGACTCTTTGTCTCTTTTCTTGTTTTTTCCTCTTTTTTTTCCTTCTTTCCTTCTATCTTTTCTCTTTTTTCTTTTCCTTCTTCTTTCCCTCCTTCCTATTTTTTTCCCTTCCTTTCCTTCTTTTCTCTCTCCCCACAGAATCTCACTCTGTCACCCAGGTTGGAGTACAGTGATACAATCATAGCTCACTGCAGCCTTCAACTCCCAGGCTCAAGAGATCCTCCTGCCTCAGCCTCCCAAATGGCTGGGACTACAGGTGCATGCTACCACATCAAGCTAACTTTTTTTCATATTTTTAGCAATGGAGTTCTCACTATGTTGCCCAGTCTGGTCTCAAACTCCTGGCCTCAAGCAATCCCCTCTCCTCAGCCTCCCAAGTAGCTGAGATTATAGGTGTGAGCTACTATGTCCAGTATGTGGAGACATCTTTCTGAATGCTTCTCTGGCTTTCTGCACTCTGACCACTCTCCTTGCGTGGTCCTCAGGAATATGCCTGTTAGTATCCACTACTAACATATGGGGGGTTGCGAACCTGCACTTGGGAACCTCCAGGGTCCAGGTCTATCCCCTGCCTACTATTCTTTACCCTCGTCTTCTCGATTTAGTTCAGGGCTATCTCTATAGGCTGTGTTACCACTAAGTTCTAGAAAAGCCACTCTTGATCACTGGTAACCACTTGAAATTCGCCGTGACACACTGAAACCGTAAATAGCTCACTGTACAGGTGGTTTTTTCCCGAGGGCATAGATCTCAACCCACCCTGATATCGTGACATAAATTCTTAAGTGACAGGCTGATCACACGATGCTGACAACCCACTCAGCTTCTCAGAACAGGGAAATCACGATAGAGCCAGCTCAAAGCCTCATTGCTGTGAAAAAATACCATCACTATGGACTTCTAATAGAATGACATTCTGATAAAAACGCTATGAATAGCAGAGATGAGGATAATTTGATATAATCTGTTCTTACTGCTTTCATATTAAGCTGTGGTGATCACAACTTACTTTTCTAAGTGCCAACAAAACATCTATTTAATAAAAGCCTTCCACAAATTTGCTAGGGGTTGCAGTTGAGCTGCTTGAGCTAGAAGAGTATCTTTTTAAAGTCCCATGACACATTCCACACCAAAAATGTTTTCATGGTCAAATAACATTTCACAATGCTCATTAGCACATTAAAGTATGAGAATTTCCACACAAAAGATGCTTGTTTAACTTCATCTAATCCAGCATTCCAGAAACTTATTTGATTGTGGAGTCCTGATTTTCCTGTTTCATTCATGTAACACTTCTGTACACTTTTCTAAAGTATACATTGATTCACTCAAAAATATCTATTTCTAGGTGCTATTCTAGGAGCCAGGGATACGGTAATGGACAAGACAAAGCCTCTGTCCCCATAGAGCTTATATTCCAATGGGTGATGCAGAAGATAAGTAAGGAAATGACTATACATTCTAATTTTGGATAGAAATAAGTGTCCTGAAGAAAAACATAACGGTATAAGGTAAATACTGAGCACTGGGCCACTCTAACGTTTGAAGTTTGGGAAGAGAAGCAGGACTCAATTTAAGGCTGTAGTAAGGAAAGGGGCAAAATCAAGAGAGGGTAAGTTCCAACAGCCCAGAGAACAAATTTCAAAGAGTGTATCACTAACGGTGTGAAATGTTTTTGAAAGCTTGAATTGTTTCAGTAAGGCTAGGAGAACAAAATTTAAAACCCCATGAAAAGATGCTCCACATTATTAGTCATTAGGGAAATGCAAATCAAAACCACACTGAGCTACTACTTCATACCCACTAGAAAGGCAATAATCAAAAGACACACAATAACAAGCGTTGGCCAGAGTGTGGAGAGCTGGAACCCTCCTACACTACTGGGGATGTAAAATCACACAGTTACTTTGGAAAACAGTTTGGCAGTTCCTCAAAAAGTTGAACATGGAGTTACCTTGTGACTCAGAATTCTGATCCTAATACATACCCAAGACAACTGAAGACATATGTCCACACAAAAACTTGTACGCAAATGTTTACAGCAACATTATTCACAATCACCAAAAAGTATAAAAAACTCAAATGACTATCAACTGATCAATGGTAAACAAAGTGCAGTATATGAAGACAATAGGATATGATTTGGCCATAAAAAGGAGTGATGTGCGCTGAGTGAAAGCATCATGCTCAGGGAAATAAGCCAGACAAAAACGGCCACATATTGTACCATGCCATTTACATGAAAAAGCCAAATGAGGCTGATTCATAGAGAAAGAAAGATTTGCGGTTGTGAAGAGGGATGCAGGGTAACTGCTAATGGGCACAGGGTTTCTTTTGGGTTAATGGATATGTTCTGGAATTATATAGCAGTGATGGTTGCACAACTTTGTGACAATACTAAAAGAATGAACTGTATATTTTAATAGGGTTTCTTTTATATTATGTGAATTATATCTCAATAAAGCTATTACTTAAAAAAAAAAAAAAAAACTGAAGGCCGGGTGCTGTGGTTCACGCCTGTAATCCCAGCACTTTGGGAGGCCGAGGCGGGCGGATCACGAGGTCAGGAGTTCGAGACCAGTCTGACCAACATTGTGAAACCCCGTCTCTACTAAAAATACACAAAAAGTTAGCCAGGCGTGGTGGCACATGCCTGTAATCCCAGGTACTCGGGAGGCTGATGTAGGAGAATCGCTTGAACCCGGGAGGCGGAGGTTGCCGTGAGCCGAGATCGTGCCACTGCACTCCAGCCTGGGTGACAGAGCAAGACTCTGTCTCAAAACAACAACAACAACAACAAAAACCCAAAACTTAACTGCAGTGGGTTTCAGAGCAAGCAGGAGGTGAAATAGAGACAGCATGCAATGCCATCATTTTTAGAGGCTCTGCCTCTTCTGCGCTGTCTCTGCTCCTTCCACCATCTCTTTGAACACATCTCTTCTGCCCATACTCACCTGAGGATTGCCAGTGTGGTTGTATCGATATCCTTTTTCCTTGTCAGAATATATTGTAATTCAATTCTAAGGGATAGAAACATGGCTCATGGCGGGGGAAAGAGCAAGGAAGGCTGAAGAGCTACCCTGCTCCACAGCTGGTGTCCTGCAACCTCCACCAGTTGGCCCTGTGTGAATCCTTCTCCCTCACATGTGCCAATGAGCAACTGCAGAAGGCAGGTCTGATTCTAAAGAACAACAGACGATACTGTGGTAAAACGATAATGGCCACCTTCAAAGTTATCCATGACCTAATCCCTGACCTGTGATTATGTTAAGTTACAAAAGATAAATTATGGCTGCAAATGAATTAAGGTTATTAAGCAGCTGACCTTAAGATTGGCAGAGGTATCATAGATTTTCCAGGTTGCCCCAATGTCATCAGGAGTCCTTAAAACTGGAAGAGGGTGAACATCATCAAAATTGTAAACTTTCTACTTCAAAGGCCACAAGCAAGAATGTGAAAAGCCAAGCCAGAGACTGGCAGAAAGGATTTGCAAATCACCTATCTGATAAGGGAAGTATATCTAAAATACATAAAGAACTACTTACAACTAAGTAATAAAAAGACAAAAATCCTAAGTAAAATGGGCAAAGGATATGAATAGACATTTCTCCAAAGAGGATGGATAAATGAATACATGAAAAGATGCTCAACATCCTTAGCCCAAAACCACAAAGACAATACCACTTAACACATACTAGGGCAACTGTAATAAAAAGGACAGATAGGCCGGGTGCGGCGGCTCACGCCTGTAATCCCAGCACTTTGGGAGGCCAAGGCGGGTGGATCACAAGGTCAGGAGTTCGAGACCAGCCTGGCCAATATAGTGAAACCCCGTCTCTACTAAAAATACAAAAATTAGCCAGGCATGGTGGCACACACCTGTAATCCCAGCTACTCAGGAGGCTGAGGTAGGAGAATCTCTTAAACCTGGGAGGTGGAAGTTGCAGTGAGCCGAGATTGCACCACTGCACTCCAGCCTGGGCGACAGAGTGAGACTTCATCTCAAAAAAAAAAAAAAAAAAAAAAAAAAGGACAGATAATAACAAATGCTGGCAAGGAAGTGGAGAAATTGGAACCCTTGTACAAGCTGGTGCAGATGTAAAATGGTACGGCTGCTTTAGAAAAGTTTCTGCAGTTCCCCAAAAGGTTAACAATAATGTTACCATATGACCCATGCACTGTTTCCAGCAATTTGTTATAGCAACAAGTAGAGAATGAATACAGATGCCTTGATATTTTTAATGCATAGTTTACACATTTTTCTTATCTCTACAACACCTGTATGAAGTATTATTCTACCAATTTTATAGGTAAGGAAGAGACAAAATTTTCCCTCAGCAAGACTCAGAAATCTTCACGTATTGTTTTTTTGGTTTTTTTTTTTTTTTTTTTTTTTTTGAGACAGGGTCTCACTCTGTCACCCAGGCTGGAGTGCAGTGGCACGATCTCGGCTCACTGCAACCTCTGCCTCCCAAGTTCAAGCGATTCTCCTGACTCAGCCTCCTGAGTAGCTGGGACTACAGGAGCACGCCACTATGCCCGGCTAATTTTTTTTTGCATTTTTAGTACAGACGGGGTTCCACCATGTTGGCCAGGCTGGTCTCAAACTCCCAACCTCAGGTGATCATGCCCAGCATCTATTGTTCTATGTTTGTATAATCACCAACAGCTCTCAACTTGGAATAACCAAATGTAATGTAACAATAAGATTGTTTCCATTTGCTGAATATCAACATCAAAAACTTACAGCATAGAAAATCTGGAAGAGACAGAAAAACACATAGGAGAAAATTTAGATCACCAGTTAATCTCACTACCAAGCAATAACAATCCTTTTCTTCATGTAGAGTGATACAAATATGATACACGCTTTTTTTTTTTTTTTAGTCTCAATTGCCCCAGACAAAAACCCTGAAGCAAGGATGAGAGTGCAAGTAGTTTATTTGGTGGATGATCCCTGGAAACACGAGTAAGGGAAGGAAACAAGAAAGGAAAGGAGGCCAATATAGGATGTGTGATCAAGTGAGTTATTATTTCATGTGACTGGAGCTTATAAAACCTGCTAGAGAACTCTGAGAACCAGTGAAGAATATGCATCCCAGAGTTATCCCAGCCAAGGTGTGAGGGAACTAGCGTATTCATACACCAACTTTTGTCCTCACTGGTTGAGAACTGCTCCTGGGGAGACATCAATACTCCAGCACTTCTGCCTTCTCCCACCTGGAGAGTGAGAAAAGCCAGGTTTCCAGGGCCAGTCAGATGCAAGTCAGGCTAGGTAGGATGCATTGCAGCCATGGTGGGTGGGGGTAACACAATGTGGGCAGAGCACAGACCCCACTTGTAGCAATGCTTTGCACAGTGCTGTCTCATTTCTGACACCTGGAGTCTCATAATTTGCTGCTGAACCGAAAGTTCAAGTATTTAGTCTCCTTTTCATGGGTGAGATACCAGACAGATAAAGATCTGGTTAGAGGTTCTTAAACTGCAAATCCCAAAGCCCTAGAGCTTCCAGAACAAGCCTGGTATGGCCAAGGAGCAGCTCATGATGGAAGTAAGAATGGGGCACCAGAAAGGGCGGCAGGCTTCAGTTCCCCCTCCGTGATTCAAACAGAGCAGCTCTGTTTTATCTGTTTCTATGTTGGGATCCCATGCACGATTTCATTTGCAAAAAGAATTTATTACTAAAACAAACAAACAGAAAATCTTTGAAAACTACTAGGATTAGAATTAGGAAACGTTGGGGGGTGGTAAGAGTGATTAATTTCTTCATTTCACAGAAGAGGAGAGTGGCTTTTAGAAGACCAATAACAAAGCAATGGCAGGGCTGGGACTGGAACCTTGAGAACCCCGAAACCCTGACTTGTGTTCCAGTGCTTTCTACCTCATCTTGCCCAACCTACCTTTCCCAGATCTCAGAAAGGTAGAAGCCCCTACAATTAAGCAGTTTGGTGTTCAGTCACTGGAGATGGGTGGCCAAGGTTCAGATCCTACCTATTCTTTTGACTGAGTCAATTCCTTAACTTCTTTCATATTCCCTCATTTATCAAGTGGGCATAAAACCAGTATCCCAACGCATAAGACTTTTATACCGATTATGTGAAATACATAGGTAAAGTGCTTAAGCTAATGCTGCACATTCTGAATATTCAGTCAATTCCAGCAGTGACTATATTACAGGACATTAGTTTTAAAAATAATTTTGACAACCTGCTTCTGTTCTAAACCAGAAGGCTTAATTCTACGGTGAGCCTTGCTGAATGTATTCTACTTCATCCAGACCATCACCAACCCCAAAGCTGTGTGTTCTACATGGCTGGATTTCGCCTTTCTTGATTTGGGGAGGCCTCATCTTCTGCAACTAAGTCGAGTCAAGGGTCAGCATGAAATTACTGACAGCCACTTAGTTCTAAAATAAATGTCACTGGAAGTAATGCCACTTACAGGACTTTGAGGATACCTCAGCATGATCAACTCAAGAATCAAATTAGTGGCCTGTCAAAATGCACAGGCACACTGATGGTTTCTGATGCTACTGTCAATGAGCTCCTTCACTTAGAATATTAGCAATGCTCAGGCAGTTGGTATGCCTTTCAGGAAACAGAGGAAACATAGTGCTTTTCATGTGTTCAAAGTGTCCCAATCAAGTTGGGAAACTTCGAGGAAAAAAATAAAATAAAAAAAAATTCAGTTTAAACAAAAAAAATAAACAGAAAACACCTCCTAGAATTTGTGGAGACTCTGTTGAGTTTCGTGGCTTAACAATTGTGTTTTTAAGCCATACATCACTGGTGGTGCTCCAATTGTGAGTTATAATAATATATCATAAGAGGGATGGTGATCTCCTGATATATGGGTGCCATACATCATCTAAGCACCATGGCTTTGATGATGTATTGCTCCAAGCCACAATGAGAGTTTAAAGGAGCTTTTAGCAGCCAGACAGCTTTAAATTTCAAATTTTCAAAAATTAAGATCTTTTCAAGTAAAAAAAAAGCAAGATAATGGAATGTGATGCTATATAAAGTGTCACTGAACTCTGAGAGCCTGGGTATATGCCTTTTCCTTTTGGCTTTGAGCTCACAAGGTGGAAATCATTGGCAAGTTCTTCTTCAATTCCTCCTCCATGAGCACAGAGGTGAGCAAGTGTCAATGCATCCATTTTGCCAATCAATTTCCCCCATCTTCCACACTGCAAGCCTGAGTAGCTCATCATCATCCCAAAGACTGGATCACATAAAATGCTGTGATAGGCACTGGATAAACCCAGGAGAAGTTATTTTTTATTTTTTATTTTTTGGTTTGTTTTAAAGAGCTCTTCCACTGAGATTCAGAACAAAAAGAACAGATAAAAAGTAGATAGACTTCCTTCCTCATTGCTCTCAAACTCAAAACAGGGCATGTAGGAAGAAAACATGCCTTGTCTAGCATTTGTCTTTGTAAAGCAAAGGAAGCATTGATTGCAGATGAGGAGAAAGAGGGGAATGGCATATGGGCTTCTCATCCAGACTAGGAAAGGGAGCTGTTGTCATAGTTCTGTCACCTTTCCTATTTTAACGATGGGTTTATAAGACGGTAATGTGGCTTAAGAGAATGTACCCACTTCGTTTAAAAGCCACTCACTTTTGGGGGCAAAGTAATCACAATCAATTAAGAAAACAGGTGTTGAGAGAACTCCTCCCTTTTTTTTTAAATCCTACTGCAATAAACAGAACAAAATGAGAAATCTTCCTACTGTTTCTGTAATAGACCTAAACAGGAACAGTGAGAGACGATTACACTTCAAGTGGCTTCTTCCATTTTCCTTTACTAAGTGAATTAAAGGAAAGAATAAGAGTAGTTACTGCCATGTGGAGGGAAACATCTGGGCATAAGGAATTAACAGTCTTCCCTCCCATTCTCCTATCTCTAATTTTTTGCTCCTTGGGCTTCCTCCAGTAGATTCTAAGTCCCAAATTACTGTAGATATTTTGCACCCGGCTCCCTCCTTGACCACTTCCAAAGGGCAAAAACATCTTATTTCCACCAAAGAAAACCAATGGCTGTCTCAAAAAGAAGTCCCAGGCTTCTTTTCTCCTGTAGTAGTAAGTTAACTATATAATCTGGGTAACAAAGACATGGAAATAAATGCATCACCCACTATTCTGAGGCTGTCAGTTGAAAGATGTGAATGAGGCAGGCTTTGCATCTAGAGAAATGTGGGTTCTTTCACGGGCTGGTAAATAAATCCCCCAAATTCAGTCCTCTTCTTCTCTATAAAGAGAATACTGACACAACACTTAATTATTTCTTTCACATAAGCCAAAAAGCTTTACTTACGTATTTATAGTAATAGCACACCATTCATCCACCCACCATTTTTAAGTCATTATCAGTTATAAAACTTGCTGCCATTTACATAAGAATATTATATGTTGGAATGGTACTTAGTACTGTATATTATCACATCCTCACCAAAACACTAAAAAATAGAAACTGTTGTCTCCTTTTTTTTCAGTAAGCACACTGATGCTTACTGGAATTAAATAAATTGTGCAAGCTCACCAAGCTGGCAAAAGTGGCCGAGTTAAGATTCTAAGTCAGGTTGATAGGATGTCAAGCGTAATCTGTATTTTGCTATGCTCCTTCCTGAGTAAATAACTAATGTCTGGGTGACCATATGCCCCAGTCTGTTTGGAACCATCCAGCTTTAGGCCTGCAGGTATGAACAGGCCAGTGTAATAACAAACAGCATCTTCTTTCACTCTCCTAAGTTCTGCTGTGGACAATAAATTATATGGTCTCCCTAACTAGTAGTATAGTTCATGCCAGGAAATTTTATTTCTGCTCATTCTAACTATTCTCATCTGCAGATAGCAGGGGAAAAACAAAGAAGAAAGGAAAGAAAGAAGGCTCTGTGAAAGTTTTTAAAGAATGGGCTACTAACTCTTATCTATCAATACCTTTCATGAAACCTCCAACATGTTCAGAGTAGAGCTCTGGGAGGGAAAAGAAATACTTTAGACTAAAACAGGGCCCCTCAAGCTCTAAAGAAAAAACCTCAAGCATGCTAGAAACCTCTCCAGTTGAGCATTCTTTACTTATTATCATCACAAGAGGCAACGGTAATAGCTGTTGCTATTTATTAAGCTCTTACTATATGCCAGGCACCATATGCCAGGAACTGAGCTAAGCACTTTCTTTGTAAGATCTCAATTATTTATCATAAAACTGCATGATAGATATAATCCAAATTATTATCATCATTAATTTATAGATGAAGAAACTAAGGCCGAGGAACGTGGAATGAGGAGGTCTGCCCGATTCCAACATCCAAGTGTGATACTACTATCAACACTCTGGTACAGTTGAACACAGCCTAGTAAAAGTTCTAAGCCCACTGCCCCTGCACCCCCTGCTATTCAACCTTATGACAGTAAGCTCTTCTGCAAGAGGGGCCCATTAGAGAGAATGGACTTCTAACAAATTGAGATCAATCTTGTACAAATATTCTGTATTATCTTTTGGCTTCTGATTGGTTTTCAGTGACATAACAGCTTTAAATTCTTAAAGCTATTTAATGAGAAGAGAGTAGATGTATTAGTCTGTTCTCACACTGCTAATAAAGACATACCTGAGACTGGGTGATTTATAAAGGAAAGAGGTTTAATTGACTCACAGTTCCACCTGGCTAGGGAGGCCTCAGGAAACTTACAATCATGGCAGAAGGGGAAGCAAACATATCCTTCTTCACATGGGGGCAGCAAGGAGAAGAATGAGTGCCCAGTGAAGGGGAATCCCCTTATAAAACTATCAGATCTCATGAGAACTAACTCAGTATCATGAGAACACGATGGGGGAAACTGCCCCCATGATTCAATTTTCTCCACCTGGTCCCACCCATGACACATGGGGATTATGGGAACTACAATTCAAGATGAGATTTGGGTGCGGATGCAGCCAAACCATGTCAGTAGAATTTATAATCACTGCCTCTAGAGAAGTTGACAAACCTAACCAACAGCTATAAAACCAGGATAACTCCAGATGTAGGGCTCTCAGATGAGGTCATCTCTACTGCCTTGGGTTATGGACAGGTAGAACCCTGGGAAGACCATTCCAAGATAGAGTCTTCCTGTTCAGTTAGACATGCAGGAGCTCAGAGGTTCTTGTAAAATTGGTTCTGCTTGCTGCTGGGTGGGAAGGGACAGTGCCTTAGTAATGTCTCCATCTGAAAACGTATGAAAGTTTCAAAATGACTTTTAGGAGATACAGAGGATGTTTCAAGATTTGTCACCCTTGTGCTTCTCAGCTGTTGTTGTAGTCATGGAGTTTATAGTACATGTGCTTGGTAGAAAAAATTATAAGTGTTCTTCCTTCCATGTGGAGTTCCTTTCTCTTTCCTTTTCTTCCTCTGAGTTTTAAAGAGCATGCTCAAATGCCACCTCCTTTGTGTACTCTTCAGACTCTTTCAGGCTTTTCTGATTCATTATACATATGTCCATGACAGCTTTTTACCACAAAGTATAAGTAATTACAGGTTTTCTCTTCCACTAGTCTGGAACTCTGGGCTATTTATTACTTATTTTTCCCCTGATTATTTCTTTTCCCTAACCCTAGGTTCCTAGGTTAGAAGACATATTTTCTAAATGTTGAATGGATGGATGAATGGATGGATGGGTGGGGTGGATGGGTGATGGATGGGTGAATGGATGGGTGGATGGATGAATAGATGGATGAGTGGGTGGGTGGATGGGTGGGTAGCTAGGTACATGAGTGGGAATGTGGACAGATAGGTGCATGGATGGATGAATGGATGGTTAAAAAATAGACAACTACACTGCTCTTAATTTCTTAGCTTGCTTAAAAGAAGAAATATATGCACTGATTTTCTTCGCCATTCTTGTCATTTTCTTTTGCTTGAAAGTTCTTGTGCATACAAAGATATGGTCTATGAAGAGCCATTATGATCACATTGTACACACCTTTCTTCCCCACTGAAAAGTATCTTTTTACCAAAATGTAAGTTTGAAGTTCTTGTGTTTCTAGCCTCACATAAATCCCTTTTAAAAAACTCCTCAGATATGCTCAAGTGTCTGGAGAAATAGCTTATCCTAAAAACAGTCAGCATTGCAAGGGTTGCCAAGGGGATATATTTGTTCTTCAGTATTAACTTCATTAAGAGCTACTGTGGTTCTCTCTCAGGAGAGAAGAAGAAACCTAACCTTTCTTTGGATATCTTCTGATCTTTACAAATTATTTCCAGGGTGCTGTCTTTGTTAGACAAAATATGAAGAATATCTATTTTTTTATTTATACATCATATCAGAACATTAATTTGTAGAGTGATTCCCTCTGGGTGCCTTTCTGTTGGGTACACAAAAAAGGATTTGGATGCAAATGAAACAATGATAGCATTTTTCCTTGTCTTACTCATTTTGTGACAAATGCACATTGCTTTACTGTTTGCTATACACATAATTACAGTTCTTTAATTTATGTTTCAATAAAATGTATAATAATAAACATTTACTGCTCCATGAATAAACATTCGAGTGAAGCCTCTAATGGAGGTTACATGTTTCGAGGCAGCTCTGTGGCTTTTTCAGAAATCTGCCTTCTACTTAATGAGCATCATTTCCATAATCTGTGCATTATTGCTTAAGCCTCCCTTTAAAACATTTCAAAATGCAAAAATTTGTGAAATATGATCAGTCCAAAGGGGAAAAAATGTTAAGGGAATTAGCAACTTGTCCTGTTAAAGGGACAGGACAAGCTTTCATGTCCCTCCAGAGACAGTAACATAGTAATTATGGAGACAGCACTTCCTAATTATCTCACTAGCTGAGCGCAATACTACTGTGGTTTTTGCCTCTAAGATCTGGTTTAAATAAAAGTGATAAGAAACCTGGAGAGGTCAGCCATGAAGGACAAGCTTGTGCTAATTCTCTTTCCAGTGCTAACAAAGAAACCAGAAAGTAGAACCAGAAATTTGGGGAAGGTCAAGATACCTGTGGTATGGACATTCCTGGATGTAGAGACAGACAAATGGTTTGATTAAAACGGTCACCCCAAAGTAACTGAATTCAGACAAAAGCCTATGCTGAGCTTTATGTCGATGGTGTCACACATTATTTTCAGTGTGTTATTTCTTAGGAAAATTACTTACATAATTTTATGTCATTATCACTTTAAAAGGTTAATCTATTTCAGATAATCTTTGCAAATTGTGTTCTAAAAAGCAGGTGCTTTTAAAAATAACTAAAACATGATGACATATTTCTTTTTTCTTTGTCCAACAGCCATGGCTGGGTTGTTTAACTAGAGAGAAAAAAAGATGCCAGGAGAAATGAAGGAACAAAGGACCCTTCACAGTGTGATAAGATACAGATAGTCAGCCTCTGCAGAGCGGTGATGAAATGTGTTAAAAGTGATGGCTGTCACTTCATGACATGTCAGCGTGCTTTATTGGTGGGTTGGCACAATTTATTTAAACATCGTCAGGAGGGACTCATTTTGGTGTAGTTAGAAGTTGTGTTTCTTTAGTGTGAATAAATATCTCTGGGCCCACGTGCAACATTTTAAAACTGTGCTGTTGTTTACTGTGGGAATTGGAGCAAGGAGCTAAGAGTTCCAAAGTGAAGCTCTCCTTCTCCCACCATTTTATGATTTGCTATAAGTAATTTGCTCCTTGCTTTGACCGTTACTACAAAATCTTTCAAAGGAACATTATTCTCCTTAACAGGGGCTAAATTTAAGATTTTTCATCATTCAATATTGCTATTTTCACATGTGACTTCAACAAAATAAAACATTCGGCATAAATAGAATTTAGTGTAATCCAAATCCTGCTTTTCTCTTGGTACATATGCTTTGTTGCTTCTTGACATTCCTGAATTACAAAGTATTAAGCAGAATCATCTTTTTAAGGGTTACATTTTCCTTCTAACTCAAGTGAGCAGGTATTTACGTCAAAGTCACACATTTAAAAATGACATCCTCTTCCAGCATGGGGCAAATCTCAACCTACAGGGCTGCCAAGTGGAGCTGCAACTTTTTGCAAGGGTTCTACCCAGATGTGCTACAAGTCCATATTACCTTTGAAATCACCATCTTGTAAAGATATCTGCACCCTCATGTCCACTGCAGCATTATCTATAGTAGTGAAGATATACAAACAATGTAAATGTCCATCAAAGGACAAACAGATTAAAAAATGGTATATAATAAATACAATGAATATTATTCGGCCTTAAAAATTAAGAGATTCTGTCATTTGCACCAACAAGGATGAACCTGGAAGACATACACTAAGTGAAATAAACCAGACACAGAAAGAAAAATATCACATGATCTTACTTAAATGTGGAATCTTAAAGTAAAATATATAGAGATAGAGAATAAAACAGTGGTTATCAGACTGCGGTGGAGGTTGGGAGGGCAGAATGGGGAGATACAGGTCAGAGAATAGTAAGCAGCAGATTTGTAGGAAGAACCAGTCTAGAGATCTAACATACAACATGAAGACTGCAGGTAAAACTGTACTGTATTTGGGATTCCTGCCAAATGAGTATACTTTAGTTGCCCTTGTCACAAAAACAAACACCCAAAAAAGTGAGTAACTATGTGAGATGATGAATATGTGAATTTGCTTCATTATAGTAACTATTTTACTATTTTGTATATATGTCTTAACACCATGTTGTATACCTCAAATACACACAATAAAATTTATTTAAAAACCAACGAAAAAGCACATTCCCTTCATAAATGAGATTCTTTTCAAAATAAGTTTGAAAATATACATTGTAAAATATACTAGAAAAACCACCCCCTAACTAACTCCCCACAACCCAGGAGCTCTGATTTGATAGCTTAAGACAGGATAAATGACTCCGATTAGGACAATGAGCCCCAGTTTTATGGGGACCTCCTAAATCATATCTCGGTTTGGGTCTAGAATGATGGTGCTGGGAGCACCCAGAGAGCTGCATATCATCTCAGCCTGGCTTCCACACAGGGAGCCAGAGAGATTTATGGGGCCCTGTCTGGTGGCTTTGAGGCACAAACGATGAATACTGCTAAAGCAATAACAATAAAAGAGGCAACAGACAGTGGGGGAAGCCCCAGCACCAACCCTCATTTTTCTCATAATATACTCTGTTGTACAATGAGACAGAGTGATTCCATAGGTACCAGCCAGAAATTACATGAAAAATTGATCATGTTTCTTTTTCTGGGTGATATCAGTGATTGAGGCCCTTGATTTATGCTGGCCAAACTTTTTCAGTGCAGAATGGAACCCTTCCTAACTTCAGTCTCCGTGGCTCACACAGACTGGCCATTAACAGAAGACACACTGCATCATACCATTTAGTCAGGACCCTACACTAACAGAGGGAACTGCAGCAGAGTCTTAATAGCAACTCCAATTTGCCAGGAATCTCACCACAGATCAGAAATTTACAGTGGCGGAGACCTTTTAGGAACTTTCAGCATGGATGCTCCCTCAAGGTGTGGGTCAGAATTTGCGGCGCAGGAGGTGAGGTGAGGTGAATAGTTTATAATGATTTTTCTATGCCTTTTAACCTTTGGAATTAACATTTGGTCAAGAAAGCCAATTGAAGGCTAAGTGTGTACTTGACATGTGAAAAAATGAATGTGTCTTCTAGGCGTTGGCTTAGGACACTGCTGAGCCCTGGCTACAGCCAACTCAGGCTTAACTCATTAAGGTGATTAGCCAACAATCAATTCTTTAAAATTAGTAACATAAAACAGGCCATACCAGGCTCATGGATATAAAATTTGGGTATCAAGTTTTGCTCCAGAGAAATGTCACACCCTCACCGGCAAAAAGTCTATAGAGGTAGGGAGTGTCACAGGTAAGGTTGAGTTAATGAGACATCCTCTAGCTGGCATGAATGTGTAAAGTGCGCTCCATGGTCATACATCCAGCAAGTCAGGATTTCACAGCAAGCATAGCTTTCACTTTAAGCTAAGTGACATGGAAGGTTCAGGTCCTTAACCTTAGGTCACGGGATGACAATATACAGAATCTGCAGCTTGACAGCCTGGGCTTAATTCCTAGTCCTGCCACTTTCCAGCTGTGGGACCTGAGATAGTCAACACCTCAGAGCTTCAGATTTCTTGTTTGTAAAATGAACCCATCTCAGAGGGTTGCTGTGAGGATCAAATTGGTTAGTACTGCAAAATACCCAGACTAGTACTTGGAACTTAGTAAGCATAGATGTAAGGTGTTTGCAGCTATCATTGCTGCTGCCGCTGCCACGATTATTAGTACTACAACTACTTAACCACAAAATCTGTGCTACTTGACCACAACATCTTTCAGTTAAAAAAAATTCACAATTTATTTTTTTAATTTAACTTTCTCTTAAGGACTTTACCATTGTTTTAAAAATTACTCTACTGAAGTCTAATTTACTAAATGGGAACAGGTAGAAGAACCATTCTCCTAAAAACTAATGTGGAGTCAATATACTTATCCTGGGCATGAAGAAACCCTGGAGCTTCCAAAGAACACAGTGTGAAAAACTTTGCTTGGGGAGGGAGATGGAAGGCAGAGAACGAGGGTTTCTCCCACTGGGGTACAAATCCTTAGGAAGTGGAGCTTGGTGATTAAGAGCATCGAGCTCTAAAGTCAGATGAGCTGGGATGAAATCCCCACCCCAACTTTCATTTCCTGTGTGACCTGTGAAGGCAGTCGAATATCTTAATTCTTTGGGTTCTATATTTATAAAATGCAGATAATAAAGTCTATTCTTCAAAGGGCTTCTGAGAGGATTAAATGAAATAATACATGAAAACCTCTTAGCACCGCCCCTGGCACCATTAGAAAATGCCTTATAAATGTAAGCTGCTCTTCTAGTTACTTTTACCCAGATCTCTGCTCAAGTGTTACTTCCATAGAGAGGACTTCCCCAATTTCTATATTACATATAAACAGTTCCGGTCCTATCTCAAATTAAAATCTGCATTTATTCACTTTTTCATTTTTTGTTCCCATACTCACGGCCATGATCCCAGCATCTGTGACTATGACTAGCACTTAGTAGGCACCCAATAGGTATGTGTTAAATGAATGAGTTAAAAAGGAGAGACAGGAAGTATCTCTAACTCAATGTTAAGAGACTGCAAAAACTCTATTAGGCTGAAAACTAGGAAGTATAATTCTTCAAAGTAATAACAGAAATAAAACTTGAAGACATGTTCTTTTGTGTATGCAATAGTGTATGCTGATTGTTCTCAAGCTGCCAACTACCCTTAACAGTGCTCTGCTGTGAAGACACAAAAGGGGCAGGAGGGTGGATCAGACAGACTTCATATGAGCCACAATGCAGGTCCAGCCAAAGTAGCAAGGATACAGTTGGAATATAAATGCCTTTACCCACCTCTCACTGTTTTCTTCTCCTGAAAATTGCTCTACATTATGATCTCTCTCTCTTTCTCTATCTCTTGTCTCATACTTGGCTTTCCTCTGTCCATGCAAAGGGCCTCCTTGTGATATCCCACATTCTCTTTTATCCTGACACATTGCATAGACTCCTGTTGTGGGTACTGTGTAGTTATATAACCAGAGTTGGGATGTTTTACTGCCTTGATGCTTGCGTTGTGGGTCTGTGTAATCTTTGCATTCAAAGTGTGATAACAGACACTGGACATAGCGCATAACACTCAGAGCTGCACTCCAGGTACTAAGATGTCATGAGGCCCACGAGAGAGATGCACATTTCTGCAAGGGCGTCAAGGGACCCAGGAGAGGAAGGTAAAAGCCACTACGAGGTCCTCTGAGGGCAAACGCTCCCTGCTCTCTCCTGACAATGATCCCCAATGCATGAAGTAGGATATAGTGTGTTAAGGTGATAAGGGCTGAGGATGAAGTGGGTTGGCTCAACTGGCAAAGCACTGTGAACTGGAAATGTGTTAGTGTGTGGAAAAGCAATGTTACCTTGGATGAGAGCTCACTCCTCTCGTGAACTAGACTTTTCCCTCAAGTGCCTTCCCCCATAATACAGTCAGTAAAATCTTCTAAAGCCCTGAGAACTGGAATCATCTCACGATCTATAGTAACCCAAAGTGGCCTAGCAACTAGGGGTGGACCCTGTTAACTATTCACATCGCCACCCTGACAAAAGTCTTCCTGCTCCCATTTCAAGGCTCTCTCCACACTTGGTTTCTCTGACCTTTCTGAACCTTTCACCGTATCTTGCTCTCTGGACTGCAGCCCCTGGCTGTGAATACATATTTAGTCTCTCAGCCTGCCCTTCCTATAGACATATTATTTGATGCTTATGCAAAGATCACCCTTAGCCTTCATCTTTCCATGCCTTTGCCATACACTACCTTCCTCCTCCCCACACTCCTGTAGTCAGATGTGATGCTTCAAACTCAGCTTGAGCGCAGGTCTCATTTTCACCCTCCTCATACGCCTGTGGACAAGTTTGTCAGACCATTGGTTAAATATTCGACCAAGAGTGAGGTTGGTAAAAGGAAGGCATATTTACGAGACAGAACAAAGGCTTTGCATTAAACAAAACAAAATGGCAGTTTTCCTTCTTGCTGAAACCCTCACTTGGATATTCCTCCAGAATCAGAGCTTTCCAAGACTCCACATGATTCATCCCCTCTCCCATACTTAGCTGTCTGGATTACAGCCCTTAGTTCTTTTTTTATTTTTTAGAGACACGGTCTTGCTCTGTTGCCCAGGCTGGAGTGCAGTGGTGCAATCATAGCTCTCTGCAGCCTCTACCTCCCAGGCTCAAGTGATCCTCCCACCTCAGGCTCCCAAAAAGCTTGGACTACAGGCATGCACCACATTGGCTAATATTTTTTTAAATTATTTGTACAGACAGAGTCTCACTATGTTGTCCAGGCTGCTCTCAAACTCCTGGGCTCAAGCAATCCTCCCACCTCGGCCTCCCAAAGTGCTGGGATTACAAGCATGACCCACTGTGCCTGGCTTCCTAGTTCTCTATAGGAGTCTCTAGGTTGTTCTGCCTGAGAGATTCTGATAGTTCAGCTAGTTTCAACCAGAATGCTGAACCCATTATTTTGAGCATGAATCTGCTCTCCTGTTATATTACTAAGAAGAAAAACAAGGTATTCCATTAAATCTGTGGGCACATCCTCAAAAGCACATAGTTTTGCCGAGATCTTACACCTGACAATGGAAGTGCTTGCACGATGCAGGTAGTAAAACGGAAAATAGGAATCAGGAAGCTGATCAGGAACCAGCTCAGGGCTTTGAAAAGGAGAAGGCCAGTGAGCGCCCACCATTTGCAGGTTGACAGAGTCAATTTTTTTTTTAAACCTGGGCTCAAAGAGAGATTAGGCAGCTGGATGGGGAGCAGACTAAAAAATATGTTCACCTTTAAATAAATCAGCAACGAAATTGGAGGAGGATTATACCTCAGGGACAAAAGAGGAAGAAGAACATGAATACCTGCTTTACTTGAAATGCCTCCCTTCTCCCAGCCTTTCCTGCATGGAGTATGACAAGAGAGGCCCTTGGTAACCTTCACTTTAATTAGAATCATTAACTGCAAATGGAAGTAAGAACAACTCAACTCTCCTTGTCTAATTACAGGGGCTACCTTACTCCTGTCTGTAAAAGGCACCAATATTGTCCTATGAGGCCCTGGCATGAAGACTTTGCTACTCTCTCAAGTACCAAGAACAGCCTTGGAGTGGAAGAAAGAACATATTTGACTCTACCATGGAAATTCTTCTATACCTCAACATCATTCCTTCATCATACTCACATCCTGGCTTGACAGAACTTATGTATCCCTGAAAGCCAAAGGCAGCTTAAGGGACAGGATAGTGGAGAAAAATGCAGCCCTGGAACTAGACTCCTTGTGCATGCATCCTCATCACACCACTGACTGCTACCTGGAGCAAATTACTTCATATCTCCAGATTCCAGTTTCCTCATCCGTAAGAAAGGCACAACACCACTGTCTACATCTCATCATAGTTTTTCCCTGACAATTAATAATACATTACATAAAATAAATCTTTAATAAAGTCCTAGGACTCAGTACTAGGTACTGTCTAAATACTAGCTATGATTTAACATTTTTATTGGTAAAGTTTTAGAAACACTTGCTTTGAGATTATGGATTCAAAGGAAGGTACAAAATAGTACAGAGAGATCCCTGGTAGTGTACTCTTCATCTAGTTTCTCAAAGTACTATGCTGACATAGTTTATAAAATATAACATACCTATAGTACAATATCAAACCCAGGACACTGACATTGGTACAATGCGTGTGTATAGTTAGTTCAATGCCATTTTATCTCATGTGGAGATTGGTATAACTACCATTGCGCTCAAGATACAGAATGAATCCATTACCACCCAAATCACCATTGTAATCCTTTGGGGAGGCACTCCTGTTCCTTCTCCTCCATCCATTACAAGACTGGCAACCCCACAACCACTAATCTGTTCTCCACCTCCACACTTTCGTTTATTTTTCTTGAATGGTGCAATAATATGCTGCCCTTTATTAAACATTTTTTTCTTTTTTTTTTATTTAAACTTTTATTTTAGGTTCAAGAGTTTAAGCGCAAGTTTGTTATATAGGGAAATTGTAAGTCACAGGGGTTTCGTATAAATATTTTTTCATCACCCAGGTAACAGGCATAGTACCCAATGGGTAATTCTTTGATCCGCTCCCTTCACCCACCTTCTACACTCAAATATGTCCTGGTGTCTATTGTTTCTTTCTCTGTATCCAAGTGTACTAAATGATTAGCTCCCACTTATAAGTGGGAATATGCAGTATTTGGTTTTCTGTTCCTATGTTAATTTGCTTAGGATACTAGCCTTCAGCTCCATAAATGTTGCTGCAGAGGACATGATCTCATTCTTTTTTGTGGCTGCATAGTACTCCATGGTGCATATTTAGTACATTTTCTTTGTCCAGTCTACCTTGGATGGGCTTTTAGGTTGATTATATGCCTTTGCTATTATGAAAACTACTGCAATGAATATGTCTATGTATGTGTCTTTATGGTAGGATGATTTATTTTCCTTTGTGTATATACTCAGCACTGGGATTGCTGGGCTGAATAGTAGTTCTGTATTAAGTTGAGAAATTGCCAAACAACCTTCCACAATGGCTGAGCTAGTTTACATTCCCACAAGCAGTGTATAAGCAGTCCCCTTCCTCCACAACCTCACCACTACCTGCTATTTTTTGACTTGTTAGTAATAGCCATTCTGAATGGTATGAGATGGTATCTTATTGTGTTTTTGATTTGCATTTCTCTAATGATTAGTGATGTTGAGCATTTTTTCATCTGCTTGTTGGCCTCATGTATGTCTTCTTTTGAGAAGTATCTGTTCATGTCCTTTGCCAACTTTTAAATAGGGTTGTTTTTGCTTGTTAATTTATTTAAATTCCTTATAGAGTCTGAATCTTATACTTTTGTCAGATGCATAGTTTGCAAATATTTTCTCCCATTCTCTAGGTTGTCTGTTTACTCTGTTGATAGTTTCTTTTGCTATGCATAAGCTCTTTAGCTTAATTAGGTTCCATTTGTCTTTTTTTTTTTTTGGTCACAATTGCTTTTGGCATCTTTGTCATGAAATATTTTCCAGAGACCGTGTACAGAATGGTATTTCCTAAGTTATCTTCCAGAGTTTTTACATTTAAGTCTTCAGTAGTTTTAGGTTTTACATTTAAGTCTTTAATCCATCTTGAGTTTATTTTTGCATACATTAAAAGGAAGGGGTCCAGTTTCAGTCTTCTGCATATGGCTAGTCAGTTATTCAAGCACCATTTATTGAAAAAGGAGTCCTTTCCCCTTTTGGTCAGCTTTGTTGAAGATCAGATGGTTGTAGGTTTGCAGCTTTATTTCTGGGCTCTCTATTCTGTTCCATTGGTCTGTGAGTCTGGTTTTGTACCAGTACCATGCTGTTTTGGCTACTGTAGCCTTGTAGTACAGTTTGAAGTCAGATAATGTGATGCCTCCAGCTTCACTTTTTGCTTAGGACTGCTTTGGCTATTCTGGCTCTTTTTAGATTCCATATGAATTTTAGAATAAATTTTTCTAATTCTGTGAGAAGTCACGTTGGTAGTTTGATAGGAACAGGACAGAATCTATAAATTGCTTTGGGCAGTGTGGCCATTTTAACAGTATTGATTCTTCCTATCCACGAGCATGGAATGTTTCTCCATTTGTGTTGTCTCTGATTTCTTTCAGGAGTGTTTTATAATTCTCAATGTAAAGATCTTTCACCTCCATGGTTAGATGTATTAGGTATTTTTTTGTGTGTGTTTGACTATTGTGAATGGGACTGCATTCTTGATTTGGCTCTCACCTTGAATACTGTTGGTGTATAGAAAAAGCTACTAATTTTTTACATTGATTTTGTATGCTGAAACCTTGCTGAAGTTGTTTATCAAATTAAAGAGCTTTTGGACAGAGACTACAGGGTTTCCCAGGCATAAAATCATATCATTTCCAACAGATGGTTTAACTTCCCGTCTTGCTATTTATATGCCTTTTATTTCTTTCTCTTGACTGATTGCTCTGGCTAGGACTTCCAGTACTATGTTGAAAAGGAGTGGTGAGAGTGGGCATCCTTGTTTTATTACAGTTCTCAAGGGGAATGCTTCCAGCTTTTGTTCATTTGGTATGATGTTGGCTATGGATTTGTCATTATTATTTTGAGGTAAGTTCATTCTTCCAATGCCTAGTTTGTTGAGGATTTTTAACAAGAAGGATGTCTAATTTTATCAAAAGGCTTTTCTACATCTATTGAGATAATCATGTGGTTTTTGTTTTTAGTTCTGTTTTTGTGATGAATCACATTTATTGATTTGTATATATTGAGTCAACCTTGCATGCCAGGGATAAAGCCTACTTGATCATAGTGGATTAGCTTTTTGATGCGCTGCTGGATTCAGTTTGCTAGTATTTGGTTGCGGATTTTTATATCTATGTTCATCAAAGATACTGGCCTGAACTTTTCTATTTTTATTGTGTCTCTGCCAGATTTTGGTATCAGAAAAATGCTGGCCTCACAGAAGGAGTTAGGGAGAAGGTCCTCCTCCTACATTTTTCAGAATAGTTTCAGTGGGAATAGTACCAGCTCCTCTTTATATGTCTAGTAGAATTTGGCTGTGAATCTGTCTGGTCCGTGGCTTTTTCTAGTTGTTGGGCAATTTATTACTGATTCAATTTTGGAAATGTTATTGGTCTGTCCAGGGTTTCCGTTTCTTCCCGGTTCAATCTTAACAGGTTGCATATTTCCAGAAATTTATCCACTTCTTGTACGTTTTCTAATTTGTGTGCATAGAAGTAGTAGTAATAGTCTCTGGGGAGTTTTTTGGTATTTCTGGGGGGTTGGTGGTAATGTCCCCTTTGTCATTTCTAACTTTGTTTATTTGAATCTTCTTTTTTCCTTATTAGTCTAGCTAGTGGTCTATCAATCTGATTAATTTTTTCAAAGACCCAATTTATGGTTTTGTTGATCTTTTGTATGGTTTTCCATGTCTTAATTTCATTCAGTTTAGCTCCGATTTTATTTGATGCTCTGAGGGTTTGATTATGGTATAAGAGGTTCAGTTGATGAGCTTCATTTCTGGAAGATTTCAGGGGGCCACGGCTTAGCTCAGCACTCCTGGGGGAGTATGCTGCAACCCTGGGGGGGCTGGTACCAGTCCCCCAGCTTTGTTCTCTGCCCCTCAAGGTTAAGAACCTGCTGTGCTGGAGGGGCATAGGTGTTCCCCATCTTCTGGAAACAACACTCTGACAGAGGATGCTGGCCAAAGCACTTCACTGGGGCAGTGGCAGCAGGATCCATGCTTACTAGCATGTGCTGGCAACAGTGGCAGAATGGTGGGTGTATGCCAATTTTGTTTTTTTGAAAATCTATATAAAAGACTCCTATATTATCTGACCTTTTAAAGTGGGCTTTTGTCATTTAACATTAATGCCCTTGAGATCCATACAAGCTGTTTTGTGTATTAATAGTTTGTTCCTTTTTATTGCTGGGTAATATTCTATGGTATAGATGTACCACTGTTTGTTTAACCATTCACCTGCTGAAGAACCTTTTGACTGTGTCCAGTTTTCAGCTACTATAAACTACCTGTGAACATTCATTCATGTACAGATTTTTGTGTACACATAGGTTTCCCTTTCTCTGGGATAAATGCCCTTGGGTGCAATTGTTGGGTCCTATGATAAGTATACGTTTGGTTTTTAAGAAATCACTCGGCCAGGCGCAGTAGATCACACATGTAATCCCAGCACTTTGGGAGGCCAACGTGGGTAGATCATAAGGTCAGGACATCGAGACCATCCTGGCCAACATAGTGAAACCCCGTCTCCACTAAAAATACAAAAAAAAAAAAAAAAAAATTAGCCGGGCATAGTGGCATGTGCCTATAGTCCCAGCTACTTGGGAGGCTGAGTCAGGAGAATTGCTTGAATTTGGGAGGTGGAGGTTGCAGTGAGCTGAGATCATGCCACTGCACTCCAGCCTGGGCAACAGAGCGAGATTCTGTCTAAAAAAAATAAAAATAAAAAAAAATAAATAAATAAAAAATAAATAAATCACTATTTTCCAGAGTAGTAGTTGTCTTCTATATTTCCATCAGAGAGATTTGGTTTCTGTTACCCTCACCAGCATCTGGTGCTGTCATTTTAAAAATTGTCCTAATGTATGCAGTGATAACTCATCATGGCCTTAATTTGCATTTCCCTATGGGCTGGTGACGTTGAGTATCTTTTCATGTGCTACGTGCCACCCTTTATTATCTTCAATGAAATGTCTATTTATGTCTTTTGTCCACTCTACTTGTATTGTTCATTTTTTCTATCATAAAGTTTTTTTTTTCCCCACAGTTCCATGAATACTATAGACTTTTTTTCCTTTTTCAACTTTTATTTTAGACTTGGGGGAACATGTGCAGGTTTGTTACCTGAGTAAAGGTAACTACTGTGTGAAGCTGAGGTTTGGGGGATGAATGATCCTGTTACCCAGGCAGTGAGCATAGGACCCAATAGTTGGTTTTTCAACCCTTACCTCCTCTTCCTCTCCCTCTACTCAAGTAATCCATAGTCTATATTGTTACCATCTTTATGTCCATGAGTACCTGATGTTTAGCTCCCTTTTGTGAGAACACACATATACCAGAGTTTTGAGAATTCATTATATCTTCTAGATATGAGTCCTTCATCAGTAACTTTTTAAGTTTCAGAGATCCTCTCTCATTCCCTTCAACTACGAGTGATCTCTTCTTTCCCTAACTTCTTTACAAATTTTCACATAGGACCTTTTATCCTGTCTATCTTGAGTCTGCCATAGATGGCCCTCCCTAACTGCCTCACTCATCTATGAACAGGCTCTATTTCTGATTTGTCATCACTCAGTGTCTTGCTAACATTTGGGCACCTATCTGGCATTCCACTAATGTCCACCAAGTGACTGAATCAACTATACCTGGATTTTCATTCAGTTACTATAAGACTTCAGCCTAAAGCAAAAGCCACGGTTACCATGGATACGCAGGCTTGGGATAGATATGTATCCTAAGCATTTAATACTTTGGAAAGGATAACTAATTACAAAAAGAAATACACACACTCAGATGTGTTAGTGATTAATTTCTTCTCAGCTACCACACTTCTAGCTAACGCTGTGACACACTAACGTTTATTGAGGAGTTTCTATTTACGCCAACCTGGGGCTCACATTTGGCTAATTAAG
This sequence comes from Homo sapiens, assembly GCF_000001405.40. Lineage (NCBI taxonomy): Eukaryota > Metazoa > Chordata > Mammalia > Primates > Hominidae > Homo > Homo sapiens. The sequence goes on from NC_000003.12 coordinate 59,949,719, forward strand.
AACACATACATTTCAGAACTTGTGATCTGTGGGCTGTGTTTACATATGAACATCATATTCAATACACAGGCAATTGTTTAGCACCTCTAACCTATTTCTAGCCTTATATTTAATTAGTGAGAATTGCTGATGGGGAACGCAGGGTATGACTTTGCATTAAACAAACAGCTATCCTCCTTACAAATCACAACAACAATGCATAATTAAACAATGAGCTACCTGAGCTTTATTCAGTCTTTCTTCCAAAGGAATTAAATCTCTAATGAGGACCAGGCCTCAGGAGGAACTGCAGAAGGAATAGAGGTAAGGAGACATAGGGGTCAATTCTAGCCCTGCTTCCTGGCCTTTCTGGGTCTTAATGTCCTTATTGTGAGATGAGGAAATGAATACTCCTCCCTGGCTCCCCATCCTTCTCTTCTTCTCTCTGGTATGCATGTTCTAAAGATCACATGCAATAACAGAGGCAAATCTCTTTGCTAAAGTAAAGCATAATATAAAATATAAGAATTGTCACTGCTGTGAGTTAAGAGGATTTCATTATTTTTACACTGGAGAAGAAAAACAATTGCCATTAAACAGGTTCTCCATGACCTGTCCCCATCTCTTCCCTGCCCTCATCACCTGTCCTTCCTCTCCCTGTTCACATGTACCAGCCACCTGACCTTGCTTTGCTCCTTCCCATCATATCAGGCACATGCCAGCCTTGGGCAAATCCCCCTCCTCATCAAAGCCTTTCCATGACCGATCCTCCAATTGAAACTATCACTCACTCCCCTCTTATATCACTTCTTTTAATACAGTCAGAGTACTTGCCACTGTCTAAAAAAACTGTTTGTTTACTTGTTTTCTTTTCTTTTCTTTTCTGCTTTTCCTACTATTCTCTCCTGCTTTTCCTACTACTCTCCACCAGAATCAGGAGCAGTAAACTCAATGGCTCTGTCTTACTTCCATGCTACAAACTCAGGTGAGTTCACTGTAGCCTCCAGGAGGGAAATGTACATTATGTTCTCTGGGACAAAGCTCCCAGGCAACAGGCAAAAATGTTCCTTTTATTCTACACAACTTTGGAAAACACCTCTGAATCCAACGTTGAGAGCCATCATCCTTATGCTGAGTACTCAAGAGCTCCCAGGATTCTACAGCCCATAAATGAGACAATTTGACAAGAGTCACTAGTGGTGACCACAGTAATAGTATTAGGATGAACCACATGAAATCACTGAGATTCACTGTTTTGGCCCTAACCACTTTCATATGGTTTGGCATAGTAACAACAATGGCAGCAGGAGCCCTTGCTACATGCCAGGCTTTGTATTAAGGCTTTAATAGATACTAGTTCATTCACTTCCCACCACAATCTTATAACCTAAGTATTAATTACCTATGTGTTATGCATGGAAACAGCAAGGCTTAGGAAGGTTAAGGGATTTTTCCAGAGGAGAGGTGGTAGCATCAGGTCACAAACTTAACCCCGTATTATCCTGGAAGAGCTAATGTGTGTTCCCTTCCTAGGGACCACCATGAACCCACCTGGGTTCTGTGCATGGAAATAACACAGAAATGGAAGTTGCTGTTTTTTGCTTTATTGCCTCCACGACTTTGTAGCCATTGCTGTTGACTGGGAATCTCTAAATTACACCAACACTCAGGGTCATCTGAGTTGACAACTTTCATGGCCACGGCCACTACGCCCAAGAAAAAAATAAGTTGGAGGTAAAATGGGGTATAAAACTATCTTCTAGCACTTTCTGCTAATTGTCTTTTACCCAGACAAGGAACTCTGAAGGACTCTGACATCAGTTTGCGATGCCTCAGCTACCTCTGTCCTTTGGCCATCTCTGACCCTTCAGCCAACTTGGGACCCTCAGTCCTGGTAAGAGATCATCAGGCCTTGTGCCCCCCACCCCACCATCTTGGTGAGCTGACTCTTTCTTGCTCACACCATACCTAAGTTCCAAATAGAACTTTAGGGCATCTGAGATCCCACACAGGCCTCCCCACTGCTGGGATCAATGATAACCATCTCATGGAAAGCCTCTTCATTGAGATGTCCCCAGTTACATCACCCCACCAGCCCAGCATTCTCCTGGCTCACCTCTCTCCAGCCACAGAATTTGCATCTCACAGCTGAGAAATGGGATTGGTCTTCTCCTCTCTCCATGTCTCTGAAAACATCACTCAACCACCTTGGCTCAATAGTCTCCTGCTTCAACCAGTGCCACTGAGCATGCCAATCTCTTTTTGTCATGTTGACATCATGTGTGGCCTTGATTTGCCTCCCCCAAATTCCTCCTAGGATGGCCCTTCTCACAGCCTTGATCTCATCCTGGGCACCTAAAGGGGTACTGAGAATGGTCCCTCCCACAGCTTTGACTGAAAGTTCTTGGATTCCTTCTATATCCAGTCAATTTCACTACCTTCTACTTTAGCTACTTAGTCTTGCGGATGTTTGAATTTTTTGGACACTGGATTTTTTTCATCGTATAAATGATTTCACATCCCAAATCTGACATTATGTAACACCTCTTTCCTGAACAACCTGCCGAGTTTGTCTATAAGACCACCCACACTGTGCATTAAGTTCACCAGGTATAAAACATAGGTGGCCATTGCACCACCAAAGCCAGTATCCCAGACACAGTGGGTTGGAGACCCTCGGGACATGCAGACATCTCCCCACTCCCAGTCAGCCATCTGACTCTGTGGAGTCTCCTCCCTCTCTTGTTACCATTCCTCAGTTGTGCCAATGTGACACGCCACTTCCAGACTCTCACCTCCCCTGACCAAAGCTAGAGGCATGGCCTTTCAATGATCTCGGCTTGTGGTCTCACCATAGAGTCTATATGCCACATTCCTGCTCAACATCTAGAGGTGTCACTTCAAGCTACCCTCCCATTATAGGGTATTAAGCTCTGAAGTTAGCCAGTAAGGGGGAAAACATGGTTAAACCACTCTGGAAAGATCCCTTAAACTGACCAACCTTCAACAAATCTGAAAAGTCTAATTTCTTTTTCTTGGAACCAAGCGCTGGTTCTGCATTTGAACACAAGTTGGAGTCCTGGTTAGGATTTGGAGGGCTAGAGGGTGCAAAAACGTCCTTATCCATTAGGGTCACACTCATCACAGCAAGATGCTCCCCTTGTGGACAGCTGTGTGGGACGGCAGCCAGTGAAGAGGAGACTAGCCACTCTGAAGCCTACGTTCCTTGAGTAGAATGGTCCACAATCTAAATCTAGGGGTTCACTCCTTCTCTCCCTCTGCATTTGTCTCTCTTTCCATGTCTGCTTGTGTCTGTCTCTCCACCCCCCGAAGTGTGTGTCTGGGTGTTTCTCTCTGAATCTCGGTCCCCTAGCGTATGTTGTGTCTGTCTTTATGTACGTATCTGTGTGTACCTGGCTCTGTGTCTCTCTCAGCATGTTACTGTGTTTCCATGTGTGTAAGGGTAAATCTCCCCTGTCTCTATCTCTTCTTGTCTTTCTCTGCATCTGTCCCTGTCTCTACGTGTGTACCTCTTTCTTGGTTTCTCTGTGGCTGTCTCTCTGTTTCTCTCTCGGTCTTGATGTCTCTCTGTGTGAGTGTCTCTCTCTCCTTATGACTGTCTTCATGCGTGCATTGGGTCCTTGTGTGCATGTCCTCCTCCTCCAGTGAGTGTCTCCCTATGCACACATTTCTTGAGGTGTAGGGCTCTGCAAAACACTTAGAGTTGACCCATTTCAAATATGTTAGCCGCACATGATTCCCGGCCAGGTATGCCAGCGCTGCCCTCTTCTGCATTGCCACGCAGACGCCTACCTTGGTCGAAACACTTGCAGACATATCTTTAGCAAGGTATCTTTCCTCGTTTTTCCCCAACAAAACTCATGCTGTAGGAATCTCCAACATATACAATGAAAGAGTATTGAGCTGCCATAGATAAATTAAGTACTGTGCTCGGCCTCCCACTCAGCACCAAGAGGCCAAACAGAATCTAAAACCACTGCTGACACCTAGCACACCAAACCTTTCCAGCCTCTGCAACTGGCATTCTCTGCATGTCAAAAACCTCTGAATCATTCTGGGTCAAGCACACATGCCTCCTTTCACAAAGGTTCTGCAAACAGGTAGCATCCTGTACCCCGAGTGTGTGCCTGGTACCTACTGGTGTACCCCCTTCTCATTGAGAGGTCCTGATGCCTGTGGTGTGAGTCAGTTTGAGTGTGTTAATGGAGTGTTCTGCTTTCAAGGCCAAACTGCATAAGCAGAGCCCATCCTTTTCCCTTCTTTTGTGCCCAGATGGGAGGAATTTGTGAAACTTGTATTCCAGTGTTAATGCTGAAGTTGGGAAATGGCTCAATCAAGCAATGGCAGTTTAACTTGAAGAGTGCAAAGGAGAAGAGCAGGGAGAAAACCAACACTGGAAGCAAATCAGAAGGCCAGAAACCTTCATGGGCACTTGCACTATTGTTTACAGCCACAATAATCATGTAAGGGAACCCAGCATTTTTCAGAAGTTATTTTGTTCTGTTTTTTTTTCTTTTTTTTCCAAATGTGTGTTTGTATTGCTTTGTTTAAATATAGGCCTGATTCATTCAGGCTTGGGTCTGAAGATCCCAGGCTTTCAGAACTCAACAAAGCTTTCATCATTTGCAAATAATTCAACTCAACAAATATCATTTGAGAAAAGCTCTGTGCTAGTGCTTCTTGTAGAGACACAATGAAGAAAAAATCACGGTCCCTGCTCTTTGGAGACAAATAACTTAGGGGAAAACACACACACCTCTCAACTCTCACCTAAGGAGTGCTGTGCAAAGTGCTGAAGGAGATGGAGACTCCTCTCCTGGGAAAATCTGCAATTCGAAACTCAAAAGAAGATGAGGCTAAGGGCCCTCCAGGTGGAGGAACAGCCTGAGTAAATGCCTAGAAAGGAATGGCACATAGTAGGCACTTGCAATCAAAGCTTTGCTAAATGAATGCATGTTGAACATGTTCCAGAAAACTCAAGACCAGAGTAGCACTGAGAAGTAGAGGTGTTTCAGGGCTTCCTTTTAGAAATTTCTTATACTGAAGGTTTCAGAATGCTAGGAGGGACCAGGGAGATGGTTTATTCCAACTGGTTTCTTTTGAAAACGAAGAAACCAAAAACCCAAGCTTACATGCTAGGGCCAGAAATGAGATGAGAACTCAGAACTGTTCCAGAAGGTAATCACTTTGAATTTAAATGCCTACTCTTCTGATCTCAATTTAAGGAACTAAAACAAAATCAGCAGTACTGTTTGCTAGTTTTCTGTGAATCATTCAGACCCTGGAGAAGCCAGCTTCACTTTTGAAAGCTGAGCTGATCCACTTACAACTGTGTGGCTAGGTTCCCATTACTGAGTCTCAGTCTTCACAACTGTAATATAGGAAAAACAACAGTAGCTATCGTACAGCGTAGTTGTAAAGATTCAGTGAGATCATGTACAAAAACAGCTCTTAACAAGGTCATCAGTGACCTTCACTTTGCCAAACTCAATGGACATTTTTTGTCCCCATCTCACTAGACCTCTGGGCAGTGGCATCTGGCACAAAGGGGCTGCTCCTTCCCCAAAACACCCCGGCACCGGCTCCTGGGATAGCCTTCTTTCCTGCTATTCTTTCTTTCTGGATGTTCCTCGGTCTCCATTGCCAAGTCCTCTTCTATCCAATTTCTAAATGTTGGCAAACTGCAAGAGCTCAATTCTATATCCTCTTATCTTCCCCAGCGACACACTTTTCTCATTGAACCCATTCAGCCCCTCCGCTTTACACACCATCCAAATGTTGCTGGCACACACTTTTATATCCCTAGCTCCCACTTCTCCGCTGGTTGTCAGACTCAAATATCAAACTACCTGCTTGAGATCTCCATGTGGAAGTCATAGAAGAGTCTCAACCCAATATGTCAAAAACTGAACTCTCCATTGCCCCATTCCCAAACTTAGTTTTTCCTCACCTGCTTAAATGGTATTGATACTCAACCATGACTTAAGCCAGAAATCTAAGAGTCATTCACAGCACCTCCTCTCCCCCTCTCCCAACATCTGCCATCAGGTCCTAAATTTCATTTGTGATATATATGTTAACCGTATACGTTTTTCTTTATTTCTACCACCAGCACTGTCTCTCATCTGAATGACGGCAATCACCTCCTAACTCCACTCCTGTATCTCCACAGTCAGTTCTCTGCCCAGCAACCGCCATGGTGTGTAACAAATGAAACTGATCCCAGTACTCTGTGTTCCATCCATCAGTGGCTTCCTCTTGTTCATAGAATAAAGGATGAAACCTGAAATACTTCTTCAAACTTCTCCAGGATCTACTCACAAAAATCCTCTGGCACAGCTCTCTTCTTCTATCATTTGGCTGCATTTCTACTTGCCTATTTTTCATACTCGGAACAATCATGCTTTTTGTAGAGCCAGGGCCCTCACATGTGTTGCTCAGGTCTTTAGTCAGCAAACTCTTCTTCCTTAATCTAGTGGTTAAAAGCCCCAGCTCTGGAGTCAAACTGACAGGGGCTGGGTGACTAAAGACAGTCTTCTGGCCAGGCATGGTGGCTCACATCTGTAATCCCAGCACACAGCCTCCCAGGAGGATCACCTGAGCCCAGGAGTTTGAGACCAGTCTGGGCAACGAAGCAAGACCTATTTGCCAAAAAAGAAAAAGAAAAAAGGCCGGGCATGGTGGCTCACGCCTATAATCTCAGCACTTTGGGAGGCCGAGGCGGGCAGATCTTGAGGTCAAGAGATCGAGACCATCCTGGCCAACATGGTGAAACCTCATCTCTACTAAAAATACAAACATTAGCTGGGCTTGGTGGTGTGCATCTATAGTCCCAGCTACTTGGGAGGCTGAACCAGGAGAATTGCTTGAACCCGGGAGGGAGAGGTTACCGTGAGCCAAGATCGCGCCACTGCACTCCAGCCTGGTGACAGAACAAGACTGTCTCCAAAAATAAAAAAAAGACAATCTCCTTAGTAAAACTATGTACCTTACTTTAATCATCTGTAAAATGGGGATAAGAACAGTAGCCACCTCACATAGTGGTGAATATTCAATAAAACAAAATGTGTGAAGCACTGAAACTACTACCTGGCAGAAGAAAAACACTCAGTAAACATTATTGTCAAAAATCCCTATCATCCTTTAGTTCTCATCTTAAATGTTTCTGCTTAAAGCACTCTCCATTACTCTAACCCTCAGTTTTAATCCATTTTATTTCCTAGTACTAATCTAAATTGGTCATCAAATATTGATTTTGAGACTTATTGTCCATTTCTGCCTCTCAAATTACACTCTACAGAACAGGGACTTTGTCTGTGTTTCCTTCAGTCCTGGAAACCTGGCAGAGGAGCTGAGGAACTGAGCTTTACAGGCTGAGTTCTGTGACCCTGTGATTATTATGTTGAAGCCCTCATCCCCAGTACCTCTCAATGTGACTTTAATTGGAGGCAGGGGCTTTAAAGAGGAAAGTAAGTTAAAGTGAGACCATCAAGTTAAAATTATGCCCTAATTCAGTCTGTCTGGTGTATGTATAAGAAGAGAGGGAATTTGGATACACAAAGAGAAACCAGGGGTGTGCATTCGAGAGAAAAGATTGTGTGAAGATAGAGCAAGAAGGTGGCTAGCTGGATGCTCACAAGAGGGGCCTCAGGGGAAATCAACTCTGCTGACACCTTGGTCTTTGGCTTCCAGCCTCCAGAACGGTGAGAAAATAAATGTCTTTTGTTTACACCACCTAATCTGTAGCATTTTTGTTATATCTACCATAAAAACTAATGCAGTCAGTAAAGACTGATGAGTGAATGGATGAATGTGTCAACCCAGTGCTCAGCACAAGGTAAGTATGCACAAAGGTTGACTCCTATTCCTGAAATAATGATGATGAATGTAATAACATCTCAGGAGCAAATCTAACCAATGCACATTGACCAAGTCACTGAGAAAAATATGTCTCAGTGGCACTTACAGTGCTTTTCACCTGTAATACTGAAGTGAAATGTGATTAGCTATGAAGATCTGAGACCTTCCTTTAGGAGCCAGCACATACTACTCTATGACTTCTGTTTACTTAATTTGTACATGTTGGAACTTGACTGTTTTATGGTAGACTCTTGGCTATACAACATGGAACACTAGACATTTCCATACTCAGTAAACAAATATTTCTCAGACATGACAGCAAAACTAGAAATGAGAATATTAGATTAATACTTCCAAAATAACAGCCTCATCGTTTTAATCAACATGTCCTTGAACACGTTTGAATGTGTGTGTAACTGTGTGGGAATGTGAGCTACATGTGTATTTTTCCACTGAAGGTGACCATACCATATGCAAGAGCAGGATCTCAAATTAGATATTCAGCATAGGTAGCCATATTATCCACATCTACCAACTGTCTTCAAATTAAAGCCCTTCTCTAGCTGGAACATGTATCTGTCACTGGAAAGTAGGCAGTGTTGAAAATCATGACAAAATTGGCACATATCTTGATAGTTGCATCATCTTTTCTGTGGCAGTCCCCAGTAATAGAGCTTCATCTAATTCAGCAAACTATTAGCTCATAATAAGAAACAGCATGTGTATTGATTCTTTTAATAGATCTTGGAATTAATACACATGATTCCTATAAAAGGACTGTATAAAAAAAATCACCAAGTTGATTATTGCACAATGAGGTCTCACTCAAATGGCATAGGCTACGGCAGAAAGGTAGGCAATTCCTCTTTTGAAAAAAACTCTCCATCTTACAGACTGATTCTCTCCTGAGGAAGAAAAAATATAATGAAGTGCTATAATTAGGTATCTCACATGTAAGGGAAGATAACAAAATCAGGAACAGCAAATAGGTTTTTACTGAGTGTCAACTCCATTCAATTAGCTGCAGCTACCTAGAGGGTTGTATTAAGAAGCCCAAGGTCGACAGTAAACAATGCCTTGGTGAAATAATGATGTTGGCTAGGGTTGCAAAATGATGAGTAGATGGCCGCTATGTAATTTCTACTCTGAAACAGATGTCACTAAAGTCTCTTCCGGGGCCAACCTTCTATGACTCTCTCCTTTTTTCTCCTCTTCCCTCACTCTTGCTCTTGGAGTTGGGATGAATAAGTTAGCATCTCCTGAGAATCCCAACTTTCTCCTCTTATATAAAGTGGTCAGGCTCAGTTTTCAGTATCAGGATTCAAAGCAGCAACCTCTGTCATTACAATCATGTGTCGCTTTGGTATAGGCATTGAAAAGCTGTACCAGGGTGCTGACTGTCACTTAAGTAATTAGACTAAACTATAATAAACAAGAAGAGATCACTGCTGGAGACCCACATTTGTTAATGACCTCCAGGGTCCTCTCCCCTGGCAAGAGATAGACAGATGAGGTACCAGGAGTGCAGGCCTCCTTGCACGTATAATGACAACAGCCAGACAACAATGCAACAAAAATGGTCCCATGTCCTGTTCTGTGTGTATAGGGAGAGTGATGACAATCATCATTACCACCAGAACTACCAAATTTCCTCTCCAGTTCTTTGATGCTTCTCAATCATTGTCGGAGCTACCCTTTAAAGATGTCTCACCATGAACAGTTACTATGACAAGATACTAAGAAGAGAGTGTTTCATTTAACCCCTTCCATCACTACCCCTATGAGACATGATTGCCTTTACTTGACAGGAAAATGAGGTTCAGGGAGGTTAAATGTATGTAGAAGATTTTAGCAAGAATATTCTGACTTGAAATCTATGTTCTTAATGATTTAGGATACCAGCTCACAACTCAAAGCATGAAGCATGTGGCAATACTATAGGAGGTAAGAGATCTCATGACAGGAAACTCGGGTTATTCATTCATTCATCCATCTAGTCATTCATCCATGCATATATCCATCTCTCCACTCAGTCACTGTGTCAACAGATATTTACCATGTAACTATCTCTGTACTTGGTACTGGGGCAGAGGTGAGCAAAACAGATAAAGCCCCTGGCCTCACAGTGTTCACAGTCTAATGAAAGCACAAACATCAATCAGTGACATTACTGTGCAATCACAAATTGAGATAATACTTGAAAGGAAAGTAATGGGAGCCTATGACAAAGATCTGGATTTGGGGTAGGGTCAGATTTAAGAAAATGAGACCTGAGAGCTGAACTGATAGGCAAGTTGACATTAATTAGGTGGAAGGCAGGTGAAAGAATGGGGCTAGAGAACTAATAAGGAGATAATAACATATGTAGAGGTTCATGGAGGAAGGGAATATAAAGTATTCAAGGAGCTATGAGCCAGAGCACATCGAGCAGGTCAATGAGGGAAAGAGTGGTATGAGAAAAACCTGGAAAGGCAGAGAGGAGGTGGACCATATTAAGGTGCATAGGGTGGCAGTGGAAACCACTGAAAAATTTGAGAGAGAGGAAGACAGTGGGTGGAAGAAAGGGGACAACTGTGATTGTTCAGACTTCAGTGACCACAAACAATACAGGGAGCATGGTGAGATCAGAATGGAGATGCAGCAACCTGTAACAGGTCACTTAGTTCAGATCAGAGACACTTGGTAGCTTTGATTAGGTGATGGTGGTAGAGATGAGCAGAAATGGATGGATTTAAGAAATATTGTGGGGTAAAATCTAAAGCACTTACTGATAAATTGGATTTGGGAAGATGAGGAAGCAGGAGGCAAGGATAATCCCTAGATTTCTGACCTGACCAGATAGATGTTGCTACTCACTGGCTGGCAACTTCACAAGGTGGCCTTGTTGACTTTGGAATACCTTTTGGGCATCCTAGTGGAGTGGCCTAAAAGGGAGTTAGGTTTTACATGTTAGGAGTTCAGAAAAGAGGTCTGGGGTGGAGACATTATCTTGACAGTCAGTTTTATAGCTAGAAATGGTTGAGGCTTTGGGATAGATAGAGAAGGGGTACTTTGGAAAACAATGTTCATGGAAAGCAATAAACATTCTCGTCAATCACTATATTCTTCTAATACACTTCTTCCTTTTGTTATGAGCATCTGCATCTTTCTTCCTCTTGCGTTTCAATAAAAGCTTCTATTTTTAATTACACTTCCCTTGGTTCTAATTTTTAAAAGTATTTTGCATATCTGTTTTATACTATGTATCCCTATAACCACTCCAACTTTTGTAGAATGAGGAGAGAGGACCAATTACTAGTTTTCAGAAGATCCACATGAGACTCCAAATGGTCAAATTATCCTGACAGCGAACCCAGCAAGGAATAGATTAAATTTGAATAGTGCACTCAAAAGGACTATCTTTGAGACTCTAAGACGATTCTTGATTCATTCATTTCGTGAAAGCCAAAATGTCCGAAAGTGGTTTGCGGATGAGGGGACTGAATCGTGAATTTGAGGCCTAAAGAATTTCCCAATGTTCAGCCTTATGGTGGATTAAATTTACCATGACTAATTGGAGGATTCAAAGCTGTTAGGAACACTAGCTATTAGGGCCATTTTTCTCATCTTCGATCTTACTGCTTGACTGATTCATAGCTGGAACTGCTAGGCCGTTATGGAAATGGAAATGCAGAGATGAAGCAGTTCCCAATGTCAAAAACTTCCAGGGACATGTAAATACAATACACGTACCAAGTAATGAGTTTAATTACTTAATTATTAGATACTGAGCACTAAAATTTAACTAACACCTGGTTCCATAAGGAAAAAAATACTTCATTTCGCTGTACTTATAGCTCTTTATTATGCCTTTTGAATTATCTGAAATCCACTGATGTACGGGTAAAAAACTCCTGCAGCTAGCTCAGTGTCTGTCCAAATGGCCACCCAGTTTTGTGCTTGAAATCCAGGACCCCACTGGTGTAGGCATCTGTGGGGAATCTCCTGGTCTGTGGGTTGTGAAGACCATGGGAAAAGCGTGGTATCTGGGCTGGAGCGCACCATTCCTCAAGGCACGGTCCCACATGGCTTCCCTTGGCTAGGGGAGGGAGTTCCCTGACCCCTTGTGCTTCCCAAGTGAGGCGACACCCCACCCTGCTTCCCCTCGCCCCCTGTGGGCTGCACCCACTGTCTAACCAGTCCCAGTGAGATGAGCCAGGTACCTCAGTTGGAAATGCAGAAAGCACCTGCCTTCTGCATTGATCTCGCTGGAAGCTGTAGCCCAGAGCTGTTCCTATTCGGCCATCTTGACAGCCACCACCCCATTTTTCAATTTTTTTTATGACAGGCTAACTGTGGGCTTTCCTAAGAGACATGAGAGTAGTATCCTTCCCCTACAATCCTCAGGCCTAGCATGGTGTCTGGCATATAACAAATAAATCAATGCAGCCTCTCAAGGAATCCTCAAAATACAGCAGAATCATTCTAGAAAACAATTCATTTCGATTAAAGAAATGAACACCATAGAGATGTTCCATTGGAAGACTTTTGAACCAAAACATTTAATTCGCCAGTCCTGACCATATCTATAACAAAAGGAACTATGTCTTTAACGTATTTTTCTTGAAAGCCAGTTCATATGGTTGAGAGAGCTTATAAGGAATACTAAAATAGGGAATATAATCAGCCTTCTGTTTTTGAGCAAAAGTGCTGTCAACTAGAGATGGGGCTCTTGGAAAATACTTTATACTGCCTGTTCTCAGTTTTTTTCTTCTTAAGAGCTACTTCATTTCATTGTTCAAAGTTTAGTGAGAGCCAAAAGAAAATACAATCTATTTACAATAAACCTATACTTTCCAGAATCACCTTAAATTATTTCTGCTAACTCTAAGCATAAATCAAAAGTTCTGAAAAGCAGAATGGCCTAAAGAGGAAATATGTCATTTGTGTAGTTTTGGGAGGGGAGGGAGTCTGTTAGGAAAGATAAATTATTATTGTCCTAAGCAAAAGGACAGCTAATGAATTCCTAAATGACAGGGTTTAATCCTCAGGCTTGTTGACTACAAGGTTATAGAGCTTTCTTCCTTTCCATTGTTAAGGAGATATTTAAATGTAAACATCTTTTCTAACCTTGGAAGGAAACTGATGGAAAACAGTGAGTATTTTCTTGGTGCAATTTAAATATTAAATTCAAACTTAAAGCAATTGTTCACACATGCATTTGCTAGCTCAAGAACACAAACATAATCTGTGGGAATAAGAATCACAATAAATGAAATAATAATAGAACAACTGAATCCATCAATTTTTCTAGCATATATACACTAAGCAAATAGTTTGCACTTTGCATAGGATTCAGCATTGCCAATATTTTATTTCTAATAAGCCAGGTATAATAAGAAAAGCAAAATGTATTGGCCAGGTGCAGTGGCCCATGCCTGTAATCCCAGCACTTTGGGAGGCCAAAGCGGGCAGATCACGAGGTCAGGAGATACAGACCATCCTGGCTAACACGGTGAAACCCCATCTCTACCAAAAATACACACACATAAAAAAAAATTTGCTGGGCATGGTGGCAGGCACCTGTAGTCCCCAGCTACTTGGGAGGCTGAGGCAGCAGAATGGCGTGAACCCAGGAGGTGGAGTTCGCAATGAGCCGAGATCACACCACTGCACTCCAGCCTGGGTGACAGAGCGAGACTCCATCTCAAAAAATAATAATAATAATAATAATAAAAGAAAAGAAAAATGTATTGTTAGTCTTAAATATTTTCTGGTTTTAAATTGAGTCGAAAACTCATGGCTCAAGTTCATTTAAAGTCCAAGTCTGAATTCTAAAGGTTAAATGCTAGTACCGTTAGTTCCTCAAATTATTCACTTGTTTTTTATTTTTGTTACATGAGAGAGAGAAGGAGGAGGAGAGAGAGAGAGAGACAGAAAGAGATATCACAGAATTAGAACTTGAATCTCATTCAGTGGATAGGGATGAGAAGAAAAATGAACATTCACAGAGCGCCTAACATGTTTCACGTATCCAAGTATCACATCAGGAACTTTCATACTTATGATTTCATTTATTCCTAAAAATTAAGTAACTAAGTTTCAGAAAAATAGAGTGACTTGCTAAAGATAATTCAGTGACTGAGTGGTGGAATCCCAGTTTTGAAGATAGAGCTCTTTGACTCCAAGAAGAATTCTCAATCCATAAAGCTTTACTACAAATTAGGGAAAATGGCTTATCTTTAAAATAGCGTGTGAATAAATAAATGAGTAAAGTTTCCATGGGGACATAGGCAGCAAATTAACAGAACACAATTTAAAATGTTGGATGTAAACTAATAAACAGATGCATGTCACTAAAACGTCACATTTTTCATCGTAACAGTGTATTATCTGTTGGCAAAGACCTCAGTAAAGCTGTTTTTATACAACAGAAGCACAGCTGGCTAAAAACAGAACAAATGTGGTCAACCAACTAAAATTTTCAATTCGTTCAATGCCAAGAATCTGCATGGAATGACGTTTTAAATAAAACAACCTGAAAGTAAGCTGACCCATAACAATTTGGTTTTTATCTTTAATAACTTTAAATTTTTGGTTAATGTCTCTATAAACAGCCTACATATTATTCAGGGTAAAGGCTCAAATATATTATACTAAAATTGCTTTTAGACCCAGAAAATTCCTTTGCATGGAGGTATGAAAAAGGAACATTTGAAATTAGCTTGAAATTTGGGTGTATTTCAGATATGACATGCCATTCACATTCATGTGTTTCCATTCCCCATGAACAATGGGCTGCGTGGGCCAGTATCAATCATCTATTAATCCAGAACTTTCCATACTACCTATTAGTTAATAAAGTACATTGACATCCATTACCCCATGTGATGGGATATTTAACACACTTCCAGAACATAGAATAAAAATAAAGGGGTTTATACTTTACCTAGAAGGCTAGTGACTTAAGAATTTTGGTGGGAAGTTTCATCCACTAGAGGAAAAGTCTTATGATTATGTGGAAATTATTTATCACATGCCCCCAACAAACCCCACAACATCACAATAGACAAATAGTGGTGCTCAAATAGTGAACATTATGGAAATAAGGGAGAACATACATCTCTACCCATTCCCAATAGTTTTGAACTTAGGTATTTATAAAATTAATTTCATGATGCTGCACATAAATCTTAATTCTAATGTGCATAAACAGAAAAAAGCAAGTTGTATAATTATTCTGTGTTATTATTTTTAAAAGCCCTATATATCAAACCAAAACAAATCAATATAATGCCACCAATGTGAATATCATTAGGCTCAGCATCTTAAACTCAGCATGATATCCATCGGGCCATAAATTTGAAGGAAAATATTCAATACCAGTTTCATAAATCATATTAACATTAGGAGAAAATCTATTATAGCACAAAGTCTTATTCAAGGGAAAATCATGTTCATAGGAATTAAACAAACAAAAAAACACTTGTGGCCCTCTGCTCTATTATCCTTAAATTTTAGGAAATAACTAATTATAGGAGAGTTTTCAGTCATGTAAATCAGAGAGTTAGCAAAACAATGGTTATATTATGACAGCAATCAATAATAGCATGCATTTTTATTAAAACATTACTTTCTAAATTTGTAGGGCTTTAAATTGTCTAGCAGAACACAGCTTGAAGTATGATATATGGATGGAGGTTCATAGAAAATATAGTGTATGGGAAATACAGACTCCACTCAGGAGATATATCTGATTTAAACACATGCATATATATGTGACAATATATATCTAATTATATACTAAATCTCACAGAACTACATAAATATCTTCTTGCTTGCTTTCTACAGTTTCTTTAAGAAAATATTATTTAAGAGGTGACAAGTTTCTTGTTGTTGTTGAGCAACTTGAATTACTTAGTTTCTTGCAGAACTGTGTCTTCTTCCAGCTAGAGTGTAAAATCACTTGGAATCATAACATATTCAAAGAGTTTTGTCTTAACAAATCCATGAGTGATCAACTTCCTTCCATCCTCAACAAAGCTGAGAGGTAGACCTTGCCAGTTCTAACCTAGCACTGGAGTTTAGGTTTATTAGATTTAGCCAGAACCTTCAAGTGATTCTTGAAATGAACTTTTTAAAGAGAATTAATTAAGCCCAATTTCTAGCCTACATGATTCCCATGACTATACATTTATATTAGAATTGATATTCAAAACTAACTATAAATATTTAAAATCCTTTTATCAACAAATGAAACTAGATCAGCACAGAGAAAGTTGAACTCAACTTCTAATTTCCTCCTCTTGGCTCTATCAAACAAGAGCAAATCAAACTGGCTGCTAAGAGAACTGATGACCAAGACAGACTGGGAAATGAGACTTCTAGGGAGTATGTCACCGTCTTAAAGGCCTTTCTAGACTGGATGAATAGAAATAACTGGCAGATAAAACTGATAAACTGATTTGAAAACATCTAAGTAAACATGGCCACATGCAAAGGTATCCAGAGAAAGATAATTCTAGAATTTGCAGATAAAACTGCTGAATTGCTTTTTGGAGCCTGTGAAGAATTACAGCAGAGGTATTCTAACAAAGCAGAGGTATTCAAACAAATAAGACTCTTAGTATTCAACCTCCCATTGGGCAAAAACTAGAAGCTGGCACCCAAGAGAGAAAGCACCTCTTTCTTGTCCCCCAAGCATGTGGCTTGGACTGGATTTTACCCCAAGTCCCACTGTAGCCAGAAACTTTCATGTAGGGCATAACCTGTGCAACTCACATATGGTTGTCCTGGATCTAAATACTGTATAAGAATAAATATCTCTTTATCAAAAGAACTAACTACAGCTAGCCATGTGTTACTTAACAATGGGGATACATGCTGAGAAGTATACTAGTATATTTCACCCTTGTGCAAACATCATAGAGTGTACTCATACAAACCTAGATGGTACAGCTCTCTGCACAGCTAGGCTATATGCTATACCCTTCAGCTCCTAGGTTACAAAGGTATAGAGCATGTTACTCACTTAATACTGTAGTTAATGGTAACATAATGATAAGTATTCATGTATCTAAATAAATATAGAAAAGATACAGTAAAACTATGGTATAAAAGATAAGAAATATGGTATTCCTATATAGGGCACTTACCATGAATGGAGCTTGTTGGATTGGAAGTTGCTTTGGGTGAGTCAGTGAGTAAGGGGTGACTGAATTTGAAGGCCTGGGGCATTACTGTACATTTCTATAGACTTTCTGTACACTGTATACTTAGGCTATACTAAATGAATCTTCTAAATTTATGTAATAAATTAATCAGCTTACTGGAACTTTTTAACTTTATCAACTTTAATTTTCTTAACTTTTTGACTTTTGTAATAACATGTAGCTTAAAACACAAATACACTGTACAGGTATACAAAAATATTTTCTTTCTTTATTCTATTTTTAAAACCTTTTATTTTTTACTTTTTACACTTTTGTGTTAAAAACCAACACACACACACACATTAGTCTAGGTCTACACAAGGTCAGGATCATCAGTATCACTCTCTTCTATGTCCACATCTTGTCCCACTGAAAGGCCTTCAGGGGCACTCACCATGGAGCCGTCTTCTCCTATGATAACAATGCATTCTTCTGCAATAGTCCCTGAAGGACCTGCTTGAAGCGGTTTTAAAGTTATCTTTTTAAAAAAATAATAAATACACTCTAAAATAACAATAAAAAAGTATAGTATAGTAAGGGTACAAACTAGTAACATAGTCGTTTATTATCAAGTATTATGTACTGAACATAACTGTACGTGTGATACTTTTATACGACTGGCAGCATAGCTTTGTTTACACCAGCACTGCTATGAACAAGGGAATAATGCAATGGACTACAACGTAAAGACAGCTACGACATTGCAAGGCAGTAGGAAATTTTCAGCTCCATTATAATCTTATAGGGCCACCTTCATACATGCGGTCTGTGGTTGACTGAAATTTTATGCAGTGCATGACTACTATAACCTTACAAGCTTGATAAAAGGCAGGTAAAATTCTAAAATGCACTGTTTCAGAAGGGTTGGTGGAAGCTTGGCAAAGGTGTTCACGAAGAGCCAGCATGGCTCCCAAAGGCACCTCAGTTTCTATGTTTGTTGGATAAGCCCAGTAGATCCAAAGAATGCTACAAAATACAACATATAGTATATAAAGCTACCATAATTCTGCTTTAGGGGAGGATGGAGAAGAAAAGATTAGATGAACAAAGGAAGAAAAGAGTGAAGAAAATGAAGAAAAGGAGAAGGAAGAAGAAAGTCTAAGAAACATAAAAGAAAAAAGAATGGAGAAAAGATATCTTAGAAAATGGAAAATGAAGGAATTAAGAAGAATCAGGATATCTGCAAGTTATATGACATACTCTCTCACAATACCTTTGCGAAGCATGTCATTTTCATCTAACACAGCAGGGCTCAAGCAAGAGTAATATAGTAATATTCAAAAAGACCAGGGGTAGGTAGTCAGTTTTCCACCTTTACCAATATGGAGGAACACTGATGTAAAGAAAACTATCACCTATCTTTTTAGGGAGGCATTTTTAGTGTATAATCAGGACTTTAGAAGGCAAACTTTCTTTAGGCTGTACCCACCATTGACCTTAACTGAGAACACCTCTACCAAGGTCAGGGGGCCAAGACTCTCCACTCCAGGTGATGAAATCATACAGTTTCGATATGATTTCACAATATGAACTGTAGATTTTTGATAAAGTAAAGGCCTGGCCAGAAAAAGGGCAGAAACCTATATGAACTTTAAGGTGGTCAGAAAGCTCAGCTCTACTTAAGAAACACTTTTAGACTCACTTTAGTAGGCTATCAAAACAAAAACAAAAACAAAAACAAAAAAAGACACAAAAAGGAAAAAAAAAATAGTTGTACCTTCAAGATATCTCTTGCAGGAAGCCTAGTCCATCAAGAAATAAACCTTCATCTCCCGATTCCAAAAATCAGATACCAGCAGTTCTCACAATGCCTCTAGTGGTAATTCTGTGGTTTTATATCAAGTTCTCTATCCTCCCCAGAGACTCACAGAAATGGCATCTCAGCACTTTTAATCCATTACTCCCCATTAAGTCCATTAGTTACATAAGCCTAGAAGATACCAGTATAGGTCAGCATGTGCCAAAGTGTGTTTCCACAAGCACTCAACGCTGCTAGATGCTAAAACACGCTCTGTGAACAAAAGCGCTTGCTGTCAAATGCTTTTGAGAGATGCTAGAGTTAAACAAAGCTAAAGTTGTTTATTTGCTGCCAGATTTCTGGGAGCCTTTCAGATGCCAATGCAGCCTGTGGCAGTGCAGGAAAGAGACCAAGAATGCAACATTTCCCACACATTCTTCACTAGGGTCTCTTCATCTTCGAATTTTGCTGAGCATCATCACAGTCAACTGCTCTAATGAACATATTTTGGGAAATATACAAAGAAGAGGTCAGCTAGGTCATGTGAGAAATCCATGTTTCGTTCATTGCTCACACATTAAATTTTCTGCACAAACACATTATTCTCTGTGAAATTATCCTTCACTCGTAGGGAAAACAACAATAGAAGTCCTCTGCATCTAAATCCAAAGGGATCTGAGCTGTTCTACGCATATTTACTGTGTTGCTTAAGAATGTCTCATGGTTCTTTCCTATGGCAATCTCCATTCCATTATTCAAAAATACAAATTAATCACATTCTAAGCAATTGTTCAGTTTCCTTCATTTGTATGTGGTTGCAGTCTGTAAGTGAAATTCCTTAATTTCTTTTCTCAAAGAAAGCTTCTATCCATACAAAACAGTCCCCAAACCCCCAAATTTTGGGCTCTAATATGAGTTAAGTAGAAAGGTAAATGCTAATGTTTCATTAATCCTAACGCTTGAATTTCACCCCAACCTCTGCAGTGTTCTGCTCTCTCTGAAGTGCTTGTTTGCTTTTCAGTTCCCCAAATTTGGCTCTGGTAAAAACAAAACAAAACAAACAAACAAACACTAATGGGAACAGTAACTGTGTTTTGTATAATTTGGGGCCATTACCAGCTACTTTATGCTTCATTTGCGTACTTGCGTGTATTAGATACATTTTGTTAAGTTCACCTAAGGATATTTCCCTCAATGGGCACAAATTCATGGTGCCTATAAGGTGACTTTAGTACAGCTTCATCATCTACACTAATATTTCCAGCAGCCCCTCAAAAGCGAGATATTTTCTTGAAAGTAAAATAACAAAACTTACTGTATGTCTGATACTGCAGAGGCCACTTAAATTGTCTATAATAAGTCCAAGGAAAGGATCGTTGAAGTTAACTGGCCTTGGGAATTTCAAGTACACCTCCCTTTGAAATAAAACCATTTCCAAAGAACGTCATGTCAAATGCACATCTCCCTCCAGAAAATTGTGTTTTCTTTTCACCCCACCCAGAACATAACTGAATATCATTTTGCTGGGTAGGGAACCTCCCTAACCTGCCTTAAGTCTCATCTATTTCCATTTAACCATAGTTCCCAGCTAACACTACCTCTTTCCCAAGTTTACCTCTGGCAAGACAAAAAGGATGGTCTTTATGAACAGATGGTCTTTTCAAGGTAAAGTAGTTACATTTAAATACAGATAAATGTACTGTAAAAAACGGCTTTAAAAGAATTTAGGTCTTTAAGGGGGAAAATATGAGAGCACAAGACACTATTCTTTAATTACATGAGATTTCTTTTTTCTTCCCTTGAAGACAAAACCAATTCCTAATGAAGCATAATGAATCGTAAAGAGGCACCAATGCTCATCCCAACAGATGTTTATTGATTGGTGTTGACTGAACACAAACACAAGGGTGTTGCTTACTATTGTCAGTAAGTGGTGGGAAGCAGCACCAGTTCCCCCTGGTTATTTTACCTTTCAAAGACAAGCTGACAAATTTATTTTGTCACGAGCAGCTGTGTTCTTATTTTTATAAGGGTTGGCTTACAACTAAGAAAGCAAGCGGAGGGAACAGCCTTTTGGTGTCCAATGTGTTATCTGGCAAGGACAGATTGTTTTAGGGTGCAATGGAAAAGATTTTTAATGAAACTACATTTCAAACGAGCAGCATATGCTTGATTTTCCCTTCTGCTACTCATCCTGCCATTTGTTAATTTTTGTTATTGTTGTTCTCCGGGACTCCTAAATTTTCATACAAGCTGTCTCGTCCGGCACTAACACAGCTTGGGGCGAATTAATGCTTGGGATGCAAAAACCTGCACGTCCCACTCCAGCCATTTTTTTTTTTTTCATTTCTAAAATTTCTACATTCAATCAGGGTTTAACCGGTGAACTAGTTGACGGAACAAGCAGGGATTAAAAAAAAAAAATTCCTCCTCTTTGTGAGTCCTTGGAGCCCCAGAGCCAGAAAATGTGACTTCAGAATATGTGTGGACTTGTCAGCAGCTCAGCTGCACACAATTATGGGGTCAGAGCCCAGATTGGAGGTCTGGAGAAACTCTGAAATTGGGAATTAGGACAAAATTTTTTTCTTTTTAACACCGTAATGCCACATATTAATTTAAATGATTCTCTCAGAATGATTCTGTGGCCCAGTTAAATGAAGTTCAAGGAAATGAATTTCAGCCTTTGACACTCTGAGTCCTATTTGAAAGTAGTCGGCTTTACAAGATTAAAAACAAATTACAGGGAATACGAAATCTTTGATTAGCAGGTGCTTTGATAGCTGCAAGAATATTTTTTCTCAAAAATGTGAACACACATGGGAGAGGCACCACTATTATTATCTTTGTGTGGAAGGCCTTATAATGAGGATTCCATTGTGTCCAGAGACTGAGGACATGAATTGCTATGTCTGAAGGGTCCTGGTTCAAGAGGTGATTTCAGTAAGACACAGCTGATAGATAGAACCTAAGGTTTCATGGGTTCATAAACTCTCTTTTTTTGCTAACCTCCCATAATCAATTGAAGAATTTAAGGGACTCACCCCTTTCTGTAGGATTCCCTTCATAACTAATGGGAGGCAGAACTTTTCAACAGAGAAAGAGAATGCTCGACATTTTTCAATACCATGTGCATCAACCAATGGGAGAAAAGGGTCTTGGAAGTTTAGACAGAGTCTTTGGTCAGCTCTGAGCTCAGGAAGACTGAAGTCCATGTCCAGGTTGCCCCATTCACTCATTGTATGACCTTGGGCAAGATACGTCAATTCTAAGGAGTTCAGTTTTCTCGTCTATACTGTGGGCATTTCAAGGGTCACTGTGCAGATGAAACGAGTTACCACAGGGTGTGGCATACAGTAAAAACAAGTTAAATGGCAACAAAATATAATCAGAAATTGCACCAACGTCAGTGCCTTATTCCATCTCATTTCTCCCATTCAGTTAGTTTCCAAGTTATAAGGGTTCAACCCCTTCATGCTAGGCCCTGTGCAGACATGCCTTGCTCCATCACATGTTCAGCCTTGAATGGATAGGAATGTCCACTGCTTGGTCACTGTTACAGAACTACACATATGAGATGCTCCATCATTATGTAACTCATGGACCAGCTAGCAAGATGGCACTAGTGTCCTAGTGAGGATGGGTACTCAGAACCAAGATATTAGAGACAGAATGTGCCCTGTTAAGTTCAGAACATATAAAGTAAATACTCTAGAGTTTCAGACTAACTTGATGGAATATTCAAGAGGCTTGATAAGCCCTGAATGGGGCCTTGTGAGACATAGGGCCACTTAACCTTGGACAGTAAGAATATTATTGCCAGCAACTCAAGTGTGTCTCTCATGAAGAACTGGGGCTACCTGTGAAGCTTGGTTCACTAGCCATCCCCAGACTATTCCTTGGCATGTTTGGCTGGGAAGGTATCCTTGGCGCTCACTGTAGTATCATACATTTCAGTAGCTCTATGGGTCAGGGTTGATATTCTCACCAAGCCTCCAGCCTAAACCTCTGAGGGTGCCTATTCTTCATTCCTCCAGTGTCACCTGTCTCACACGGGGCCAGTCAGCTTTTTCCTGCAGGTTCCATCCTGCCCCAGATTCTGAACCAATCAAACTCCCTGACAAGTGGAATCCAAGTCCTATGAGTTCACAGCTTAAAGTCTTCACAGCAAGTCAGACCAATGCCTGACCCTGCTCTGCTCCTGCAAGTGGCTTATACCCTAGTTTAGCTCACTGAGTTTCTCTTGTCTTATTCAGTACAGGTCTCAGTAGTACTCCTGTTCATTTGGGATTGGTTTTCTACCTTGTCTCCTCGAGGTTCTCTGGAAAACAGAAGCAAACCAGTATTTGCTGGCCCCTACCTAGTGCTTTCATCAAATTGATCTACATGTTGCTCTTCAGTCACAGGCTCCCTCACTTCCGTATTTTTGCTCCTGACTTATCTCTTCCTCAACCCCATTCTCAATCTCAGCTCCTCTACTGATAAAATCCCTCCCAGTTGAATACCAACTCTTCCATGAACCTCAGCTAGACAGGGTGTGTCTCCCTCCTCTAACTCTTAAAGTACTTGGTTTCTCAATTCTGGTGCTTCTCACTGCTTCCCATGATGGCAATTACTGACATGTCTTCTCTTTCTGGTTAAACTCTTGACTGTCTTCCAAATGCATCTTGCCTTATCCACTCGCATTTCCTCTAATCTGTCTTCCATCCTAACCGTATAGTGACGCTCTTGAAACACAATTCTGATTCCCTCTGTTTCTGGCCTTCAGTCATTTCCTACCATATTAAAAATAGAGACTTGGATCCCAAACGAAGCCTAGAAGGCTTTAGTTGGCCCCATTATCTTTACTGCCTTATCTTGCATTTTTGGTCTTCTCTTGCCTTGTGCTCCCACCACACCAACCTCTCTCTTCTGCCACAGGCCCTCTGCACATGCTGTATCCCTCCCCAACCTCTGTCTCTGCCTTCACTGACACCTATTCATCCCTTACAACCCAATTCAATCATGTTTTAAAGAAGATCTCTTGTGGTCTTTCCAACTAGGCCAGTTTTCCCTAAGATATCCTACCACAAACATGTCTTCTTTATAGCATAAAGATGTAATTTTAAGTTTTTTATTAATTTCCTGCTATCCCACTAGATTGTAACCTCCCTGATGGCAAGAACCATGTTAGATTTTGTTCAACATTTCATCCCCATAAGTTCTGAGAATATTTATATAATAGTTGCTCAATTAAATATTTGCTGATTGAAGTTATTTTGGGCCAAAGACCAGGTTTCATTTTTCTTCTCAGCCCACTGATTTCTGGCACAAAGGAGAGGTTCCATAACTAACTGTTCACCACCAATGAAAATACAGGTATAATGTTTAAAAGCTTCCTATTTCTTCTTGTGGTACTATTAAGTAGGACCAGAGCAGCAGTACTTCACAGGGGTAGTGTGGCATCTTCAAGTACAATGATTTGTAGGGGATAAAGAAAAGAAAAAAAAAACCCACAAAACTAGTTTGTGCCACATATAAGGAAGAATATGGTTCTCTTGGGCAAAAATGGCATTGTTTTCAACAACTGATATGGACTGCCTCATAATTGCTATAGCCTTAGCAATCTATACTGGCCATAAAGGCAAGCCAAAGGGAACTGTTATGACTCCAGAGAGTTACCATTGCCTGTCTATTAGGCCAAGTTGTACCCCAACCCCAAAATGACAGATGATTTGCTACACAGTGCCCAAGAGAAGGAAGAATAATAAAAGAAAAGCCGTGTTCTCATTCTGTGCATAGTTTTGCCTCACTTCGTACAGTAAGTCCAGGAGTCTTATTTTCCAAAGTAAAAATGGTGAAATTTGTCTTTAAACACTGCTTCTAAATGTGTTGGTTAGATGCTTCATTTCTACAATTAAACACCTACCTACTGGCTTCAGCACCAGGTATTTAGGCCATCCTGGCCTAGTTCCACTGACTATTCCAGTGTCTATAAAACACCTTCACCAAGCATGAGAAACAAACACAGACTTTATTTTCTACCTCATCTGTCTTGCATTTCCTTGTGCTTAATACTGTGACATTTAAGTGGCAGTGACACAATCAGCAAACCTAGTGAAGGATGAGTCTATGTAAAGGCAACCATGTTTGCGGGCAGAGAATATCAACTTTATACGTACCTAAATGACTGCTGTGTGCACAGCAGCCAAGCCCAATAAATGTTAAATCACAAAACTCACACTATAAGCTGAAAGTGCCTTTAGGTGTGTGAATTCCAGTTTCATGTTGCAAAGCTACCTAATATTCTAAGGTTGTCGGGGGAGATATGGAAATTGAGTCTATAGTAGAGAGAAAAGTTCTACACCAACTCCAGACCTTATCAGTGGTCAATATACCAACCCAACAAAAGCAGGTTGCATTCTACCACGGCTATTCATTACAAATAATTTTACTTATATTCAGTGCCAATGCCCAGCCTTCTCTAGTCCCTGTTCTAGCTTTACTTTTCTTCATTGCACTAATCGCCACTTAACATGTGCATATTTTACTTATTTTTTTGTGGGCCCTCATTCCCCTCAACCAAAATGCAAACTAAGAAGACAGAGATTTTTATCAGTTTTATTCATTACTGTATCCCAAGAAGCTAGGATACAGGGGATTCTCTCTGAGATTATTTGCTGGCAAATGAATGAGATTCTTGGCATTTGCTAGGCACTGTTCCTTTCGCTTTCCATGAATTAGAAGAAGGCAACATAAATGAATAGCCAAAAGCTTGGGCCTCAGAGTGAGATAACCTAAGTCCCAAACCTTATGAAGTGTTTATCTTGGGCAAGTCTCTTAAACTCTCTGTGTCCCAAGTGGCTACCTCTAAAAGGGAGATGATAAAAAGGACACTACATAAAAGGGCTACTATGAAATGTAATGAGATTATAAATATACTGTAAGATGCTTTGCATAGTTCCTGGCCACACAGTAACTAAACAACAAATGTTAGCCATTATTTTTATTTTCTTTCTATTATTTTTATAATTATTAACTATTAAAATAAAGGTAGGAACTATTATCATTCTCTTTCTACAATTGACGGTACAAAGAATGCTTCTGCTTGAAGTTGCAAAATGTTACAAATGGTTAAAAAAACATTAGAGAAAGAGAGCAGGAGAGAAGGAAGAGTAAGAAGCGTTACAGGAAGAATCAAGAGATACTAGCCTAGAAATAAAAAGACTCATCCTGGAGAACTTGGTTAAGGTGGGTTCTGTGAGCATGTGGGAGCCTGGTAGGTCCAGAATAGACACTTCTTATAGCAGATCTAGAACTGGCAACGAACTGTAGTAAGCCAAAGAGTGAGGTAGGACCTAACAGATTGGACTAGGAATCCAACCTACATGACCTAGATTTCTGATTATCTGGCTCCACTTCCTTTACCGTCACAGAGAGTAAGGTCTCCAGTTCCTCCCCTGTACTAGAATGCTCCCAGACAACCTAGGTGATTAGTGAGAGTTTAAGTTCTCTACTCTGAAGGACTTGGGTTCAGACACAACTCAATCACTTATAAGCTTAGTGACCTTGGACTGACCCTTAATTTCTTCATTTGCAAAATGAGGAAACTAACTGCATCTTATCCCATAGGGTTGCCATGAAGATAAAATGAGATGGCTCCCAACAAGTACTGGATGCTGTCTGGGGGGTAAAGGAAGCTTTCAATAATCACATAAACAGAAGTAGCATTCAACCTGGCTGAGCAAATGCTTTAGATAAAATCGAAGTTCTTTCTCTTCCCTGCCCTGACTCCCCAGAAGAGAATAATATATGGTATAAGCAAATCCAAAAATACCCGCTAAAGGAAGTTAACAATCAGCAACTATCATTCTTAATGTCTTGGGCAAATCAGCATACTTTTCAAATACAAAAAACACAAACAAACAAACAAACAAATAACACCTCAAATAATTAAGTACTTTATGAAAATAAGTCAAAGTTTCTTTAGAAACTTTGTCTTAAGAATCAGACAAAGGCCAGCCCACCACCTATGTCATGGAGGGGTCATAAGGAAAGAGAATGAAGAAAGAGAAAAAGAAAAAGGGGTGAAATTCTAATATTTAACATCTCCAGGCACACGCCCCAGCCTCTCACGCAGCCCTACCTACCACAACCAACCACCACATTTGATGCTTGAAATCTACCTAAATCAAATCGATATTTGCCTTAGCACTTTCCAAATATCTAGGCTTCCCCTAGAAATACTTACAAGGGAGATGATATTCAGTTTAGACTCAAAGGCCAGTTGTTTCAAATGTCAAGTGAAATAATATCTCCTCCTCCTTCATCGTGCTCATAAACTTATACAACAAAGACATCCTGACCCTCAGAGGTCAGAGAACTCAAGCAAGAGAACGAGAATGCAAGATATCTCCAAGGTTATTTTGGAACTAGGCATGGCTTGAAGACACATCTAATGGTGAAGGGCTTTTAATTGAGATGCTGCACACCACCTGGTTGGGGTTGGGGTCTCTGGGTGGGTGGATCAGGCAGTGGGGGACAGTGAAAACTGGTGAAATTATCTTGGAATGTGCTTTTATCCATAGAGCTTGGATATACCCTTCCTTAGCTGATCAGAGAGGGCCCGGGAACCAAAAGACATTAAGATCTTAGAATGCATTTTCTACTCTCTCATTTTATAGATAGCACAACTGAGTCCCAGATAAAATAAAAGTGTTTTTCCCAATATCATACATCTGCTGATGGTCCTGACTTAGCCACTAGGCAAGTCCCCCAGACTCCAGCCTGCGGTTGCTTCCATCTATCAAGGCCTCTTTTCAAGCTACTTGGAAGGCTCTCCTAGCAAAGATGACTACAATTTATGCTCCCTTCACAACATTTTGATTGATTTTTGGTGGAAAAGTAGGCATCCCTGAAGCATTTCTTTAAAATAAATCCAGCCTGCCAAACCAGCACTGATGTACAACCCTAGTAGAAGAATCCACCATTGGCCACAATAATAGCAAAAAGGGTAATGAGAAATAAACGTATTTAAGTTTACAAGCCTCGAAGAGGTTATCACACACAATGACAGGAATCTTTGTGTCAGGACTGAACAAGTAACCCTGATTTAACTTTACATTTTGATAGAGTCAGCCGCGTTGCAGTCATTGTTTCGTCTAACAATTAAAAGCGGAATTTGAAACTATTCCTGTCCATAGTTCCCCTTAAAAAATCTAAAGCAAAGAGATTCTCTCATGCCAGGATTGAATGAATTTATAATTATCTATCTGTAGCTCCAGGACAAAAGACTTAAACACAAAAAAGCCAAATAAACCAAGGACAAATTTCTGATAGTTCTAGTTACCCTGCCTATTAAATGATAGACACATTAAAAGAAAGAGAGTGATATTTGGAATATTCAGAAGTTGGTGGTCCATTTCTCATGCTTTGTTTTAGTATCACTCTTTCTTAGACGAAAGACAGTCATGAAGTTGTTTGTGAAGACTCTCATCAGACAAGAGTACAGTGTTAATAAATGCATTTAGCAAGCATTTACTATGTGCCAAACACTATGCTATGTATGGGCTGTCATGTACAATCTCAGTTCATCCTCATAATAAACCTGTGGGTAAGTATTATTGCTAATTTCAGTTTAAAGAAATTAGCAATAATACTTGAGGAAACTGAGGCCTAAAACAGGCAAAGTAACTTACTCCAGTTGCATGGCTAATAACTTGCAATTTGGACTCAAATTCCAAAGCCTGTATGTTTTTACTCGCTAAAGTTTGTGGTCTTGGCCAGCAAATTTCAAGAAGGCCTGTCATAAAGCCGTGCTGAGAGGGCCACCTTACATGCCAATTACAACCTTATTTAAAATTTAAAGTACGTTATTTCTTCCTGAAATGGAAAATAAACCATTAGATATCTACAATATTACTATGCTTTAGAGTCCCAAAATCACTCATGTATAATTAGTTATACCCATGATGTAAATATTTTAAATATTATTAAATGCCTTACTATAAATATTAGAGGCTGGAATAGTTAAACAGCCAATTAACTAGCTAGTGGCCATCTCTTTACCTCTCAGCATTTCTACTCTGTTATCTGAAACAACCCATACAAGTATCTAAGTAGAAGTTTAGAAACAACGGGGCTTTGGGGAGCTGCTGAGGAGGGACACTTTGCAACCTCCAAAATTACTGCAAAACTATGTGCATATGCCTATCCAATAGTTTTTCAGTAATTTTGGAGGTTTCAAAGTGTCCCTCCTGCCCAGCTCCCCAAAGCCCATACAGAAACCTATTTGAGAAGCTTTCGATCTAAGAAATGGGATCTGGGACCTTAAAAAAAGGCTAAAACTCAATGGTCTGGATATTTGTGAGACTATATTCCAACCAGTACACCAGGTTACTGCTTCCCAGACTCTGTTCTTCAAAAGACAATGTGTCAAGTTTCCAAATTATGGGGGGCAAGGGTAGTGAAAAGTGAGTGTGAACCTAACAGACAACTAACTGAATACTTCCCTCTGCATCTGGAGGCTTAGGAATTCAGCAGACAGACATAAGCAAACCATTCTGTGAAATTGTTAGGGTGCTATTCTTTCTGACATTGTGTTGGTTTCCTATTGAACATCTGAAGACTGTTTTAACATGTGTGCCTAAAAATGTCACACTGAGGCTGAGAGAGCACAGAGCCAGGGGCCACCCAGACTTTCAAATCAGCTCTCAGAAGCAGCCAGGGAAATTCCAACCTTGGTCTTGTGGTCCTCAAGAACTACAGAAGCATGGCAGAATTTTAGATTCACAGGTTGTTTGTACAGTTAGTGCATTTATACCTAACTCCTCAAAGCCAGAGATATTTTTTATAACTCAGCATTGCCCTCATTGCTTTCTTATCACATATTTTGCATGTGTTTCCATCTCCAAGATTCAGGGAAAACAAGATACTTAGTTGGGAATGTCTAGAGTGGAGACCTTATAAAAATTACTTGACAGACTTGGGAGAGGAAAGCATTTTGCAAAACACCAGCTATGAGAATAAACAATTTTAGAGAATCCCTTGGGGACATTTTTTTTCCTATGGATCCCAAAATCTTTTTTAAATAGAAACATCTCAGGCAGGGGTAAGAAATTATTGGTTAAGCCCATTTAGAACGTGTACGCTGTCATGGAACATTCCTATCAATGGGGCACATTGAAACTCTACACTAAGATATGGTGGGGCTGTGGTGCTTTACTGGATAAATAAGAAGGGGTTTGGTCGCTATACTCCCACCCTGCCCATAAATGAGTAAGCCCGTGTGACAAGAGTACATGTTTTCGAAAAGAAAGAAACTGTGAAACTGAGCGTCACCATCCTGCCACATAAAAAGCAACAGAAATGAGAATTAAATTCAGCACTTTCTTAATGGGAGACTGAGGAAATCTGGGAGATGAAACAGTAGCTCTTCTCCAGTCCTTCCCAGCATAATAAGGTCAGCTGACAACACTGTTCGACAGAGAAGACTTAATGTGTCTGACAGATGGCAAATACACCATATTGACTTTTCTTCCTAATTTAACAAATTTGAATCTTTTGTCAATTTTCTTTCCCCAGTGAAAAGATATTCTAAAACACCACTTAAGCTTACATTGCTCTTTTCCCCCTCTCCCTCTTACACATTAAGTTTGACACTATCTAAAGAAACTGAAGCTAACTCACTAAATTAACTCACCTTTCCAGCTCTTCATGATCATCACAAATTTGGGCATTGGCATGAATGTTAATTCCTCATCTCTGCCAACTGTAAGGCAGATACTCACTTCAGGCCAGAGGAAGGTGGCTGAATGGACAACAAGGATTCCTTGAACTCTTAAAAATAACACACAAAAGTGTGCATCTATATTCTTCATACTTCAAAACTATGTATCTATGTTCTTCAAGAGTCCCCAGTTTTGCCCAGTTCCTGAAGGTATAATGCCTCTGGCTTTAGCTATAGGTTGTTATAATTAGCCCTCATTCTACAGTTTCTAACCGGACTTTGGAATTTTATGGGGTTTGTCTATATAAGATGGATGGGATGATAGCAGAGAAGAGCTTCAAACTAGTGGAGCTCCTGGATCACAAAGCTGTGTAAGTCATCCCAAGTGTGACTCAAGTTCAGCCTGGAGAAGCCATGGCCAGGCCAAGGATAGCTTGTCCCACAAGGAGGCAAGGGGCCGTTTCCCACCACTGCCTCATCCCTTCCACCATGTGAGGACACAGGGAGAAGATAGCATCTATGAACCAGAAAGTGGGCATTCACCAGACAACAAAGCTGCCAGTGTCTTGATCTTGAACTTCCCAGCCTCAAGAATGTGAGAAAAAAATGTTGGTCGTTTATAAGCCACCCAGTTTGTGGTATTACCTTAGAGCATCCCAAATGAACTAAACTACTGTTTTCATAATTTACAATGTGTCCTAAAATTAATTATAATCCTAACTATGAACATGAAATTCTGCCAATGTGAAAATAACATTAGTTTCTCTTGACAACCTTTGTAGTTATGTTACCCAAAAGTATCTATAGACAAAGCATCTGAAGATTTTAGTGGTTATTCACTATTATAAACAACAACCACAAAAAACCCACCACCAACAAAAAAAACACTGGGTCCATGGAGAAATAAGTTTGAAAAATATTTCATTATGCAAAGTAAAATGGATTTATTACAAAAACCTTCTTAGAGCATCTCATGGAAATGGAGTTTAGAAGAATACTATGCTTTAGATTATTCCTGAATCCAGACACATTTTTTTTAAATTTTAACTCAAAGGATTAAAATTTCCACACTTGGAATGCCCCTGTATGAGGAAGAACTGAACGCTGTCCTGTCTTGTCTAAGTTTCAGAGTAATCCCTATGTTTCTAGCTGATTAGCTGGTTTCATAAGGCAAAGGGCCTTCTGAAAATGGGCCATTGCTTCTGTGACAAATTCAATATCCAAATTCTATTGCTGCCCTTGAACTGTGCTCTCTGATTTCCTGCTGCAAAAATGTAGGCCATCAGTGGGGACGTGAAAAATTTGTTCATTACACACAGATTCCCACAGTGGCAGTGCCTGGCCACATTACCGAACCTATAGATAACATCACAGCACCTGACATCCAGCCCACATTTCCTCAGCCTCAGAGTAAAGAACATACCACGGTGCCCGCACATTAACGCAGAGAGATGCCCTTGATAATTAACAGTTCTTATGGAGTCTCTCGAATGCTAAATGGTCAAATAGAGAAGTTAAACACACATAAAACATTTAATGTGAAATGAGGCAAATATGCCAAATTAACCTGAAATGCACACAAAAGCCTTTCAGCTCTGGAATCGATATTAATCATTTTCTGGAATTCAAGAAAAAGTCTGATGTGGTTAATTTAAAATTGTATTTTATGATAGAGAACAAAAATATCCCACAGGATTCAAGGTATCAGTTTACACTACTGCCACTCCTTTTTGCTGCCAGGGTCAGCAAAAAGAAAAAAAAAATTATTGATCTGGTATTAAAAATCAGTTGACTTCACTTCTTTCTGAACAGGTATTCTTTGACCACTAAGCACTGGCTAGTCTTACCTCTCTCTAGTGACAACATGAAGAGATAAATAGACTATTCAAACAGAGCTCTTCGCGTTACATTAGCTGAATAAATAGTGATGTATGGTCTCTTTTCTCAAGCACTGCCTTAGCTTGTGAAGATGAGAGTGAGGAAGATGGGGCTTATGAATCCTATTTGAATATTTAAATAAACACAAAATAACATCCCTGAAGATGGTTGTTTAAGTGGAAAAAGAAGGTATGAAAATCTGTCTTTTAATTGTAGCTTTTGGGGCAACAAAAAATCCCCCAAGAAACTTTTGAGATTCCAGTGTCAAGTGAAATCACAGAAGAAAAAAAAAATTAATTTGTGGTTTTATAAGCAGTATCCAGAGGAAATGGGATGCCAGTCCCACAGGGTTTTCAAAGGCTGCAAAGCTAGCACAAACCAATTCACCTAAAGTGAAGTATATTATCAATAACTAACTGTGATCACTTTTTGGCCTTCCAGCTAAGATCAAGTGTAATAACTAACTTTACTTTGGGAATATTTCACAATGAATTTTTGCCCTCTTTAATCTGCTTTAAGATTTCTGTGCTCAATTTCCGGTATATGCCGTACTTGCAGAAAGGGATGAAGTTCTGAGCTAGGTTAAGTGCTTGTGGCTAACTACAAATGTGTTAACACAATGTAATTAGGTCATCAAACAGCATCATGTTTATTAGGTACCAATAGATAAAAAAAGGGAGCAGGCCTAGACCAGCACATCAGCCCCAGTCCCTACTGTCTTGGAACTGGGATTCTGAGACATCTCCGTGGCTTCTACACATTACTGGCATAATTACTAAATCCAAAGTTTTCTATTTGTAAATTAGAGATTCTAGCAAGGAAAAGATGAAGTCCTATGCATCGTGCATTAGCCAGGATTCTTTTTTTGATTTTTTTTTTCATTCTGTTGCCCAGGCTGGAGCACAATGCCACTATCTCAGCTCACTGCAACCCCCACCTCCCTGGCTCAAGCGATCCTCCCACCTCAGTCTTCCAAGTAGCTGGGACTAGAGGCATGTGCCACCATGCCCAGCTAATATTTGTATTTTTTGTAGACATGGGGTTTGGCTACGTTGCCCAGGCTGGCCTCAAACTCCTGAGCTCAAGCAGTCGGCCCACCTCAGTCTCCCAAAGTGCTAGGATTAGAGGTATGTGCCACCACTCCCAGCAGGTCAGGACTCTTTTGGAACAAAAAGAAGGGGTATATTTATTGGTTCACATAAACACATCCTCAGGAATGTTAAGGCAGAACCAGTACAGTCCTACCTTCCTATTGGCAGTTTTACTTTCTATGGTTTCAAGTTGCCTACAATCAACTATGGCCTGAAAATAAGTGACTAGAGTACAATATTCTGAGAGCAAGAAAAAGACCACAATTATTAACTTTGTACTACAATATATTGGTATAGTTGTACTATTTTATTAGTAGTAATTGATCTCTTACTGTGTCTAATTTATAAATTAAACTTCATCGTAACTATGTACATATAGGAAAAAACAGTACAAACAGAATTTGGTACCATCTGCAGTTTTAGGCATCCGCTGGGGTCTTAGAATGTATTCCCTTTAGATAAGGCGGACTAATGTATAGTCCTTTCCCTCTCCAGTGTTGGCTTCATTCTCTCAGAATAAAGATGACAACCTGGCTGTGGAAGGTGGCCTCAGGAAGCTCCCAACCTAGTAATCAGAGAAGAATGAGAGGATTGCCCCATTAGTACCAGAAAATCCCTATATTAGCAAAGACAGGGACCTGATTTGGTCAAGTCTCCATTCCTGTATTACCCCTGTGGCCAAAGGGGATTGAGTAACTATAATTAATCCAGTCATGAGGGAGGAAGAGTTGCTGCATAGACCAAAAACAAGAGCCTCTACGTACTGAAGTGATAGGGCAAAGAACATATATTTACGAATTATAACCAAGTCTAAATTGTATTCGAATTCCTAGAAGATCAATGTTACTTAACTTTCCTGTGAATAATACTCTTGCCTCTTACTAAGTAGCACACTATCCCTAATATTCCAAGGTGAAACTCAGTCACTGAGAATTGGGCATGCTGCACCAGACTGTTTTCCCAGTAGTAGCAGGAGATATGCTGAACCTCATATTCTTTCTCTTTACTGCTTTATTATCATTAATGCCTTAGACTGAATTTCTCCAGAACTGATCATGAGACAGGAATCTGAGTACAAATGGATTATTTGAGAGATGGGCCCAGGAAGCACCATTAGGGGAGAAGTGGAAGTAAGACAGGGGAAAAAAGAAATCTACTACAAGAAACATTTATAAGAATATTAGTGCTTCAAGCAATTGGGGCTCAAATCCACTGGGGGGGGCTCTGGAAGACAGCGTGGAACATGCTACCCTCTGAGTTTTCGCACTTACGACATAGGAAGCTGGGGAATTTATCCTCAAATTCCCACTGGTATTGGCTAAACATTGTTCCTAAAGTCAATAATTCCTGACACTTTAGGCCTACACTCTACACCAGCAAGAGAAAGCCCCAGAGTGCAGAGTAAAAGGCATGTGAAATAGAATAACCTTAGCACATATGAGAAGGGTGAGTCCCAGAGAATGGAACCAAGGCACACAGCCTTGGCTAATACCAGTAACACACACTTATGAAAATGTGCCTTCATTTATTCAAATACTTACCAAGCTCCTATTAAGTTTGAGTTTTCTTCTAGATGATGGGCATACACTGAGGGACAAAACAAAGATTATTGTCTTATTTAATACCCAGCACAACTGGGCGGGGCAGGGGCAGATTCCAGGGGCTACATGTCATAATCCTCTTCACAACAGCAACTTCAAATGTGGTCCCTAATCTTAAGAGTAGCAGCAGGGTCAGCAGTATTGGGCTTCACCATTACTAAGCCAGGTGTGTTGAGGTCTATGATCCAGTAATGAACCTGAATCAGAAATGGAATCTCAGATAGGTATTGGAAAAGTGGGAGAGTTCCCATCGTAGGACAGTGAGTTACATTTTGTTTAGGAAACTCTTCAGGGACATCTTCTCTGTGGTGGCTTGTGTCCAGAGGCACTGCAGAGTTGCCTGCTCTAACTCTTGACAGTTGAGTGGGGCATGCAGCTTCTGGACATGGAAAGGACTAAAGTTAATTTGCCCATCTGGGGATTGAACTGGCATCAGTGACTTCAAATGTGCCCTGCAGAGCCCAAATGATCTCCATTACAAACACAGAATGCTCCGCCTTCCAAATGCCACAGAATTCCATTTTATCTGCACTGGCAGGGTAAGGCAGAGTATTTGCCAAAACTCCAGACATAGGGGGTTATTTGTAAAACCTTAGAGTATTATCAGGTGTTGCTTTCAATAAACCATTACACTTGTATAGAAAGTAACAAACTACGTGGTCTAAGGACCAGTTATCCCTATTCCAAAAAATAAAGTGTAAGTAAGTAAAGCAATTTTACATTGAATCTTGAACATCTATGTACATAATTTAGAATTTGCTAAAAGGTAATTTTATCTGTGCTGATTATCTTTACCATTTGGCATTTCCCATCTCAGGGCAATGAGTACAACTTCACAAGTCCAGCTCCGCTTAGCTGTGAGTACTCAATTTCACTAAAGACTTAAACAGAAAATTAAAAATCTGTGAGAATTGGGATGAGTCCTGTCTGTCTTAAAGCAGGGTGAGCAAATATATGTGGCACATGCCCTTAAGAGACATTATTAATTGATCACCTCTCACTTTCACACTGAGCCTAGGCTGAACCTTAGAATCCGTCACAGCGCAGGTGTCCACTCAGTCATGACTGGCCTTCCAGAACTGGGTACTGGAAATGAAACCTACTTGACACTTAGGATACATTTATAGAGCCTGGTCCCCTCAGTACTATACTCCCCTCTCACAAACAGAGAGAGAGAAAAAAAAGAGGAAGAGGAGAGCAGAGAAAGGATGGGGGAAGGAATGAGAGGAAGAAAAAAAACTCTGAACCAAGTATCACTTCCTTTGCGGTCTGCACATGTCAAGGAATACTCCATTTTAAGCATATTATAACGGCAAAAAGAAAAAAGCACTATCAATAGCGGTTCACACTTTATGGCTGCTCACCCTGAAACTGTAGCAGCTAACTTTCTTGGGAAAACTCAGACAGACTCATTCTTTCCAAAAACAAGGAAAGAAGAAAAAGAATTTCCCACATCCTTAAGATAACTGAGAAGCTCTCAGTAGGAGTAAACTGTCCAAATAAAATTCAACGGCACCCCCTTTGGAAGGATAGTTAAGAAACACCACATGTACAAAGAAGGATTAAGATTCCAAATACTGTCTTTTCTCCAACTCGATTTTTCCTTCTTGTGCCCTTACTTCTCAAACAGTTATTCCCTTTGCTATATCACCCAGAAGTCTGTGATTGGATCTCCCTTGGACTCCAAAGGGCTCTGGGTATGAGAAAGTAGTCCAAAATATATATATATATATATATATATATATATATATATATATATACACACACACACACACACACACACACACATATATACACACACACACACACACACACATATATATGTGTACATATATGTCTAGGATTTACTATAGAAAATTTTTAAAATATTTTTATGTATTTATATTTATAATATATTTACATATTTAGTTTTATATATATTTATATAAATATATACATATATTTATATAAATATATACATATATTTATATATATATAAATATATTTATATAAATATATAAATATATATATATAAATATATTTTGTATTATATATTAAAATATATACGTATATATGTGTATATATGTATAGGATTTACTATAGAAAAATATTTCATATTTTTATATATTCATATATTTTATATTATATATTAAAAATATATGTACGTATGTATAGGATTTATATACATATATGTATATATGTATAGGATTTACTATAGAAAAATATTTTATATTTTATATATATTAAAAAATAAAAAAATAAAAATATAAAATATATAAAATATATAAAAATATAAAATATATCTATATATATCTATATTATATATAGATATGAAGATATAAAAAATCTATATATTTTATATAGATATAAAATATATAATTATATAAATAATATAGACATAAAAATATATATTTATATATTTTTTCTATAGGAAATCCTATATATATTTATTTATTTATTTAGGACTGCTTTTCCTGAAACTCTGTAAAAGTTTTCATCATACTAGCTATTTCTTGTGATGAGCCAGATCATCATTCACCTGGTATAAATGAGCTTGGCTGTGAACACGGTTAGAAATTAGAGCCAAGGATGATCTATTAGTTCATCGTGTGTGTCTCATGGGACAAAAGCAAATGTGTTTCTCTAAAGAGTTTTCTTGAATGGTTTCCCAAGTCCAACTTGAAATCACATTCACAATCTTGTCATTTTCCTCTTTCTTGCAGCACACCAGTAATTAGATGTTTTAACACGTCATGGCAATGATATCTAACATGAAGGCAAACTGTATTAAGACACAGCATCACCCAGTTTTATACTGTAAGCTCATTTCCAAACATTATTTGTTTTTATAAATTTGAGCGAGGCTGACTCTTTCCTCTCTGCCTTTAATTAATAAGGAAAGCTTAATATGCACTTTTTTTTCATCAATCTGGCACTAAAAATCCTGAATTCCTTTTGTAGTAATTTGAAAGAAGAGTTTGGGGCTATTAGGAGAAATTCACATTAGGCATTTCCCTACATGGCCTACTTATGTTTTTCAAAGTGAAGGGATATTTCAAGGAAAGAAAGACTTGGGGTACTAGAGATGTCTGCCCCATCTAAAGTCTTATTTTTCTATTTCCTATATCAAGAAGCCTTAGGTACATTTTAGTAACATAGCTTGAAATATATTTTGAAAAGGGGAACAAGACGTAACCTGACCCACTACAGAAAAATGCCTCATGTAGATCCTTGAATGAATTTATGACTGTAAAAGTCCCTCTCTTTTGTTTCCTGGGTAATTATTTCACACATTTGGGAGGTTTATAGGGAATGCGTATCAGCTTTTCAAGTAAAAAGTGTGAGTCTCTGACTCTTCCTGGAAATCTGGAAGCAACAGAGAATGAGAAATTCTCAGGCAGCCTCCAAAATTGAGCAAGAGATACTGCAGGTCACCTTCAGTGCTGAATATTCCAAAGTTAACTTCGTTAAAAATGCACAAACAACCTGATAAAATATCTGATTTTACCTTTTAAAAGTAGGATTAAAAATTTAGGAAGCTTCGTGACTTACTCTCGCATCTCTCTTTGATATTTCTTTGTTTGGTATTTCTCTCACCTCTTATGCCCTGGTGGAGTCTATTGTTGGTTTATGTGTAACATGATCGAATAAAGCAAAATTGTAAACATTTTCTTTTTAAATAAATAGACTTTTACCTGAACATTATAATCACAGTATCTCATTCATCCATTCACTCATTCATTCATCCATCTATTCATTCATTCACCCATTCATTTATTCACTCAGGTATTTTCTGAGTTCTTTCTGTGTATCTGGCGCTCCTCTAAGCAGTGGGGATACACATGTCCCCTGTTCTCATGAGCTTACAGTCTCCTGGTGAAGGATTTTAATCAAATCATCACACTTGTGCCTAAGGGTTTCAAACTGAGATAAGGATCTCAAAATAAAGGAGCAAACACCCGAAGGATCAAGGACGACTTCCCTGTGGGGGTGGTCCCTGAGCCAAGGGCTTCAGCAGAAGCAGAGGTTAAGTAAGTAGGAAGTAGGACAAGCCCTCCAAGATAGGGGAATGCAGTTAGGGCCTCGAGCAGGAGGAAACAGGGGCAAAGCTCTGAAAGTAAAGGACAGGTAGTATTTGCTGAGCTACTCTAAGACAGATTCTCCCACCTATGCTGACAGCATGCACAATTTCAGCTCAATGAATACAAATGAATGCTCTAAGTATTTTTTAGATTCTCTAGATTATGCACATTGAGGAGCAGTTTGGGGTAGGGATGATGGAGGTCTGGCCATTAGACTCAGGCTTTAAAGAGGTTCTGGGAAGGGGAGCCAATCTGAAGTACCTGGAAATTGGAAAAAATAGATGAACAGTGATTTTATCTGGCTTCCAATGGCAGATAAATTTCCTTTCGGGAAAGGCAGATATTCTCATTTCAAGCCAGGCTCCTCTGCCCTCACTTTAGCATATGAGGAAACTGAGCTCTTGAGTTC
Source organism: Homo sapiens (assembly GCF_000001405.40). Lineage (NCBI taxonomy): Eukaryota > Metazoa > Chordata > Mammalia > Primates > Hominidae > Homo > Homo sapiens. The sequence continues at coordinate 59,989,252 of NC_000003.12, forward strand.
CTGGAAACCTTTGAGAATATGGAGACAGCCTTTTCACTAGGTCAGTTTAGCTTCAGAGGGAATGAGATGGCTGACTTCCCCCACACATTAGGACTTTCATTCCAACCCTCGGCCAGCACCTAGGGAACAAAGCAAGGCCCCAGCTTTAGTTCTACTTAAAGTGAGACACTGCTTGCTCTTTCACACTCAGGTTAACATTCACTCCAACAATGAGTTCAGAAGTGACCATGGGAAGACAAGAGGCTTTCCAAATAACTACCTCACCATGGCACAGGGTCTCTGAGGGCTGGGCATGTTAGAGTCTGAGATATAAAACACAGTATAAAGAACGTTCTATTTTGCAAAACAATCACATTCTACAATCTATACCTAAGTAACAGGAAGAGAGCAGATCTCATTATGTCCCTTCTACAAGAAGAACATCTGCATTGAGTTGGGTGTCTTCATAGGGAGTCATTCTCAGGGAACGTGAAGCTTCCTCCCCATCACCCTGACCTCCCTTCCCCTGTAAATTTCCACATTGATTGATTGTAAACAAATTGTGTTCATCTGCCCAGATTCCATTATATCAAAAAGACATACTCCTCTCCACAAATATCGGAGATAGACAGACAGATAAAGAGGATTACTTTCCAGTAGCAGGGGTTCCTCCCCACTCTTCCTCCACAGAGAACTTTATTTCTAGTACATAGTAGAAGAAAGAGTCAAGAGACGGATGAGAAGACAAACTCAGCAAAGCCTTATTTTTATGCTGCTGTTGTTTTTAACCTTTAGTGGGAAGTAATAGGAGACCTCATACTTTATGAAGCCTTTTTGTATCTGGTGGTAGTTTTTAAAAAGACCATCAGCTAAAATATAAATATAAATTTAACCATGGATGATTGTAATTTCCTGCATTATATTTTTATGTATTTTCGAAAAGTATCTGTAATGAGCGAGTATCATCTCTGTAATCAGAAAAGAAACTATGAAAATATCCCCAGTGAGATCTGTGTTTGCTCACAGGGCACTATTTGGCATGATGAGAGTGAGGGGAATGATCTGAATGTTTTCAGTGCCAAGCACCATGTTGGCCTCAATCGGTAGCAATTCTAATTCTTTTTCCTGTGGATTTGTATCAGTTGCTGGTTCATTTAAATCAGCTATTAAAGGAATAAACATGAATCTTAAAAATACATTTAGAGAAAGTATATTGTTCTAAATTAAGCAAGCAGTTGGCATTTCAAATCATATGGAAGCAGATGAGGGGAACCCGCTCTCACCAGATCTCAATCCACTTTGCAAACTGCTTACTCCTTAACTTGGCTCCCTAATTAGGGCATTTTATCTTTGTGAGCATTTACCATTACTGCATCATGATAACTCTTGGCTAGTATTCTGTGAAGAAATAATTAATAATAATCCACACCAGCCAAAAGTAGATAGAGCAACATGAGCAAAGAACTAGGTTGGTGTGATGTGGCTCAATAACCACTTGGGGAAAAACAATGAGAGGGTTTTTATTGACCAAAGTGGTTTAACAAATGACACTTAAGTGATCTACTGGCATTTTAGAACAGAGGCAAGACTGCTCACTCATTAAGTCATTTTAAAAATAGTCATTATAGAGCTTTTGCCATAAATCAAGAACAAAAGATTCCAGGAAATAATTTTTTATAATTCATAAACACATAGTAATGTGGAAAGAAGGACTCTATAGAGTTGAACAGGGTTATCAATTACATTTTCCAGTTGTCTATCCTAGAGACAACATTCCTTCCGTGAGTTCAAACCTTAAACATCCAGATGAGGTATTGTGGGTAAACTTGAGGATTGACACACTTCAGCAGACTACCAGCTCCATGAGATCAAGGGCCACATCTGTTTTATTTAGCGAGAAGCAGAATTAGGCCATGTGTGACAGTGGGTGTTACTCAGCAGGTGCTCAGTGAATAATGAATGGATTAATGACATTGTATAGTAGTGTCTGACTTTGCAAACAGAAAATCACAGCCTTTGTGAATGTAAATTTACACAGTAAACCCAATACCATATAGACTTTTAGTGATATTTTGGTATTTAGAAAAAAGACTAAGATCTTCTCCAGGTAGAAAGGTATTTTGTCAAGTATTTGCTGTGTGTGTTTGACTTGTTTTGGCCTGCAATGTAAATGATCCTGATAGACATCTAGTTCTACTGGGTTCCACAGCACTTCTTTAGCCAGTGGGGTCTTGTATTCAACTTGTATTTATCACGTCCTTCTAATTTCACTTGTCTCACCCTGGCTGTTATTATAATCCCAAACAGACAGATACATTAGTACCCCAGGCTTAAGTCTCATCCTATTCATTGCTATCGGGTTATTCTCTAGGAAGCATCTTTCTTTTCATCTTAGTCCCTTCTTCCTTCCTTCCATCAGTCCTGAATGCTTTCTGAGTCAAATTCCGAGAGCAGACCCTGGCTCCTGAATCTTTTTATGCTCAGACCCTGCAACTGCTCAACAGTCGTTGTCTCCCTGATCCTCTTCACACAGCCATATGTCGGCCAAGATGCTCAACTCACTACTGCCACCTTTATACCTAGGCTCATGCCAGTCCCTTTGCAGAGAAAGAGAAACACAGAGGGAGAGAGAAACACAGAGTCTTGAGTCCCTGGATCAAGCCATACCTGAAGTCAGAAACTTCCCTTGAACTCTTTAATTATGTGACCCAATAAATCATCCATTTACTGTAGCCAGTTTGGGTTTTCTGACACTTGCAACTGAAAGAGTCTTTAACGTATGCAGGGAAGAGGAGATGAGGAAGAGAGGAACATAAAAATGAAGTAAAACGAAACAGAGGAAGAAAACAATGAAAGATTTGTCCAAGGCTGTAGAACTAAACAGTATTGGATAAGAATATAGAACATGAAGCCCAGAGCCCAAGACTCTTTCCCCTACTACTTCCCTTCAGAAATTAGTACTATTACTCATTGCCACACATTGTTACTTTAAACCTAACCAAATGAGAAGTGACCTGCCATCAAGCTCCCGCAGGTTTAAGACATATATTTGTCCTGAGTAACTTATATTGTTTTCCTGGCGTAGTACATTTAAGAATTACTTTTACAATTAAGCTGCCCAAGGGGTCTATAGATGCCCGTTTTAATTTAAATAAATACTAATGCTAAAATCAATTTGTAGGATATTTCAATTGGACCGATAAGTACAGTCTTCACTAAATCCAAAGTATTTCCCTATTAGCGCATCTTTAGAAGCGTATACCAACAACACATCAGGATTTTCAGAAACCTGCTACAAATACATTACTCCCAGAGACTGGATCAAACAGCTGATGATCAAAACATAAGGCAAAAACTAGTATTTCATCTTTGAATTCGGAGTACCTGATTTCTACTAAATATTGATTAGAGTTTTTCCCATAAGAGATCCTGCTTTGTGCCTCCTTAATTTTCTTGGTTTCAATAGTGCTTTGTGCAGAGAACAGCAGAAGTAAGGCAGAGGATACAGCTGTCATCTGTGCCACAGACATTGACATGCAGCTTAGTCACAGAACAGAGAGAACACGTGAAAGTCACCATCACACCCTCGCAACAGTGTCAGTGTAAAGACTCAGGTTCCAGATATGAAGACAGGACTGAAAATGCTTCTGGCTACAATGAAATGAATCTACCACACACTTGCCAACTTTATTCAAACTGATGATATTTTTCTTTAAACAATGGATTTAGTTATTCTACCCGTAAGAAGTCCAGGTCGTTAATGAAATGATAATTTTCTACAAACTAAAAACAAACATATCTCATCCTACTAATGGTTCCTGCCTCTCCAATATTTCACTTAGGCCATCTCCCTTTTCTCTTCTGGTAGAACAACTTCAATAGGTAAGAAAGTTTTCTTACATCCGGGAAATTTCTTTAACCACCAAAATCCATGGTGTTTGCTTTTCATCTTCAACTCACTCCTTGGTCGTTACGACATGTTGCCTCCTATTTCTGGTTATCTATGTTAGTTTCCTGCTCTTCCTACAGAATTGCAACCCCGGAAAGAGAGGTACTGAGTCTCACACACCTTCTTCACCTGGAGCTTGTAACAACATCCTACAAAGCAAGTAATCAACATGTGTTTTACAGAGAAAACTGGTTATCCCTGGACTGTATTAAAACAGTGGTATGGGTACTCTAAAATAACACCAATGTGAGTGTAGAATGCATTTCTCATTTAAGAGAGGTGTTCATTCAGCCTGAGGATGGGAGAATTTACGAAACCTCAAACCCCAATTGGCAAACAGCCTCTCTACCTTCCCAGTTTACAAAACCCTACCTGAGAGAAGGTGTCTTCTCTCAAATGAAGACTTCCAGATCCTGTTCTCCACAGACAATTAAATGTGGTTTAAAAGTTGCTGCTGGGAGCTGAGGTTATTACCCACTTTCTGATGAGGCCGGCGCCACCAAAACCAGCCTGTGGGAGCTGATTTCACTAGGACTCCCCCAACATTTTCTTGATGTTGGAGGTGTAACGGGGTCTCAGTTCCTGTTCAACTCTGCCTCTGACTGGATTCTAGGTCTTGAGCAAGTCACTGCTTCCCTCTGAACCTCAGTTAACCTCATCTTTAACATGGGGATAAAATTCCTGGCACCATAGCTACCTCACTCAATGCTGGGGAAAATTAATAATATTGATAGTGTTAATAATTAAATAATAGCTAACATGCACTGAGTTATACCATATTCTAGGCACTGTGATAAGTCCCATACCTCCCTTAACTCTTACTATTCTCATAACTACTCTATGACACCAAGCACCATCATTATGTCTCTTTTACAGATGAGGAAAGTGAAGCTCAGAGATGTTAAATAACTTGTCCAGGATCACAGAGCTAGGAAGAAGCAGAGCAATATTTGAACACTGGCATTGTGGGTTACAAAGCATTACTCCCAGAATACTGCCTTACAAAAATAAGATAAGCCATGTGACACAAAAATCTTCACAAACTGCAAAATATTAAGCCACTGTAAAGTACTGTTACCATCAATGCAAATAGATGCTCATTACATTTATTGTAAAAAGCAGGTAACCACCAACCCGTTTAGGGAAGGTGCATAAACCTCTGTCAGCAATACTCAATCCATCTGCAGAGAAACAATTAGAACTGCATTAGCACATAATCACAGAAGAAGTTCTCTTGACACCATTTCTGCCAAAGAACTCATTCTTCCCTGGAATTTGAAAAGGCAAAAAGAAAAAAATCCCATGCCGCATCTGACAATAGGAACAAACTCTTCTTGCAGCTCTGGTAATGCAACACTTCTGAAAGAACAAGTTAAGGAACGTACTTCCACTGCCCTCATTAGCTGACAACCTCTGTGGGGACTGCAAACCAGCCACACATTCAAAACAAATCCCAGGGAAGAAATCACACCACAAAGCCTGTTTCTATTTGCAAGTAAAATGACGGCCCCAAGTGTCTTTCCATAAAGCTGTGTGGTACCAAATCCAAAGCCCAAACTGGTTACAAAGGGTCGCCATTGATAAGACATGGCATTTCAGGTCCACCCACCATGGGCCAAGGAGGTATAAAGCTCAGAACGTGACATGCAATTTTTAAGCCCTCCTTTCACCTTGTCTATGCACTAAGTTACTTTGACGCCACACCTGTTTCTATTCTGCCTGGAAGCCCTGTCTGCACAACAGATGGCAGAGTGTTTGCCTAACAAATGTTCTTGTGGGTCAGTATAAGAAGGTGGTGGTGGGGATTGTTGTGGGTACGAAAGGAGAGAGGCTCTGCTAGAGCAGCAAAGAACCATCGATCTCCAACTTAGCTAGGGAAACTTCCCACCCAATGAGGGTCTGGGTATGTCTGAGCTCTGAATGTTCTCACCTCTGTTCATCCCTTCTGACAATCTTGTCCAGGATAGTACAAATCTGCTGCTGCAACCGGAAATTACAAAGAAAATCTGATGTAGGCATTTAGAAAAAAAAAACAACAGAACAAAACCTTATCAAATTTAAAAGTTAACTTCAAATTCAATTCTAACTCTATCTCCAACTTAGCTCTCTTGAATCTAACTGAAGATTCAACTTTCTTAACTCTAAACTTAACCCTTGAATCCCAACTCCTAGCTTTCACCTCTCAAGTGTCTTAACTCTAACTTAAAGTCAAACTTAGTCTCTTGAGGAGGTAATTAAACTTCAACAACTAATTGGAATGAGTTCTTGTGAACTGAGAGCTTGGCTTATCAACACATCTGGTCTTCAGAGGTTAAGAAAAAACTCACTTTCTGTTATTGTAAACTTAACACCAGAGTAATGTTTTATTTCAGCTATGATGGTAATATTTTTTAAATTATGCTATTATCCACTTAAAAAATCCATGATGTAAGGTATAAAGTAACATAATGCTCCTTGATGGTGAAAGCACATCTTAGGCACCATGCTTTGGAGAAAAACTGTGGATCTGGAGGGAATCTCCTCCTCCCACCCTAAACCACACATACCTAAACCACACACAGCACCGGGTATACCTCAGTCTTCAACATAAAGAACCAACTCGGCACGTTCCATTTCATTTGACTCACTTGCTTAGATAGCTTAGGAAACCAATCTGCTCAACATTAGTAAGTCTGGGCCCATTAAAAGGGGACTGACACTAAACTGAAATCCATTTCATCTCTTCTCCAGGGTTTTCCTCGGACTCTCTGATCAGCCTTTCCTTCACACAGGGGTGAGGCCAAAACTACTATAGATGAAGAAGAAGAGAGTGAGATGATGTTCTTTTTGAGGGCCAGGATGACACTGGCTTTGTCCAGTGTTTTCATCACAGAAATTGAAGTGGGCATGTAGTAGGTTCTCAAAAAAACAAAACAAAACTGGTGAATAAAGACGATGTGTGCTAAGCACTAAGCAGAGACCTCCCCATTCGTGCTCTTATTTAATACTCACAAAATCCTAACAGCAGGGGGTATTATTATTCCAATTTTGCAACCAAGGAAACACATGCAAATAGCTAACAGTGGACAGCATCAGATTTAAATACTTAAAGCATGCATTTCCCATGAGTGAGAGAGACATTTTGCAAACATGGGTAGAATGTGGCTTTGTGACTTGCCTCAAGATTCACCCCATCAATTTAGGCAAAAAATACAATCTTCCCTGACTATTTAGTTGGAAGATAACAAGTCAGGGAAATTCAGTCTAGCAGTCCATGGGTAAGCCTCAGGGGAATAGGAGGCCCCTGAAATTAAATGCGACATTTTGTGTGTATGTGAATTTTTCCATGGAAAAAGTCTGCAGCTTTCGAATACTTGAAAGATTCTATGGTCCTCCCAGCCCACAAAATTTAATGACTTAGCTGCTTTTAATTAAAGTTATGCTTCTAATTCTCATCCCCAAAGAGTCCAAAGGGCTCCAGACACCCTTTGTATGCCTACTGAAAGAAAAATGATTAGCATGAAAGCCTGGTGGGTATTAGACATGAGAATAGTCAAACACCTTAGGTATGGAAAGCACCCACATAGATCATTACTTAACGAAGAAAAGTAATTGAGAATGTATTCCATTGCTAGCATTTGTCCACAATGAGATTGAGAAGCCATTCTATTGCTGACCAGATGGTCCTGAGGATAGTGAAATGACAGAACCCCTGTATCACTCATCAGATTCACTGCTCTTCAAAATATGAAAAAGAACCAACAAAATCCTCATTATGACAGTGCCTACAAACAAGATCCTTCTGACCATTTCACATTCTGCAAACTTCATCTGCAATAAGAATGTCCAGACCTGAGGCTCTATACTTGGTGAAACCATGCTCATGTTCAAAAAGCATTTATTGAGAGCCTACTATATTCTAAGTACCGCAATAAATACTTGTTCCTATACCATCTGGATGCCCTCATGTGATTCTAGGCAACACGTTTAAAAGAGAACAGTCACCAAATAGAGAACCCTGAGATGGGAGGAACCAGTTTGGGAAAGGGATAAAAATCATGCCATGTACACAGCCAAAGGCATTGATGATTCTTTAAAGGGAAAGTAATACATTTTCTTTCAACTTCTACAAAGTTTCTAGGTAGAAGAAGAAATAGAGAATCAATCCAAATTGCCAGAGAAGTCTGAAAGAGGACCACAAGGTAAATATTTCAGAGAAGCAAAGTGTTGGTTCACAATAATAAAAAGAAAGAAAGGAAATGAAAAAGCAAACTATTATAGCTGGGGTTATTCAACAATGGAATAAGACAGCTGGTAAAATGTTAGTCGTTGCTGGAGGAATTTGAAATGCATTTATATGTTAAAAGCACTAAAGCTAAAACTATAAAACCAAAAGATGGGTTAGTACAAGATGATTGTCCTAAAATACAAAGAAACACACATTGTCAGTATGTGAACCTTAAAAACTAATGTTGGTTATTCTGTTTAAAGAGAAGAATGTGATGTTCACAAATCAACTTATCACAAATTACATGCTTACTCTAGTAATGTAATGACCTTGGGAGCTGACTCATAGTCTTCCTTGACCTAATGAGCATGCTGAGTATAATCAATTAGGTTTGCAATTAAAATTGCAATTTATCTAACACCCCCCTCTACCCCCACCTTTTTATAAGGCTCAGGAGACAGTGGGGTGATAAATATAAGCCCTTCTGCTGTGGCTATCTTTTATTTTTTAAGCATTTCTATTACGTATAATTTATTAAACCTTAAATTTCTTCCCTATTTGTAAGTTTCAGCAAAATTTAGTCAGGTTTCAACACAGGGTATCAAGGGATAATTAGGACAGTTAGCAGTAATTTATCATTTCTCAGCTGGGTTTTCATGCTTTCGCTGACTGCCCGTAGAAATCTGTTAGCCACTTCTACACAGATCACTATGAAATCTGCTTTATCTTTGTGCAAATTGCTTTTCTATTTTCCTAAAGTGAGCTGAAAGATGAGCCAATCGACTCCTGAAAATCTAGCCACCGGTGTGCTTGTCATCAGAGTGCAGCTGAGGCCAGGGCCGCAGATGAAGGGCTACAGTGGCTAATGGATGATGCAATGCCATGAGAGGCTTTTTTCCAGCCTGCTGCGGGTTAGAAATTTAAACCAGGCAGCCCGACTTCAGGTTAGATCTTCACAAAATATGCCCAGGAATCTATGAACATGCCAATACACATTTTATGGAGCAAATATTGCCTAGTAAGCCACCAGAGAGGAAAAGCCTAGAAAAGGCAGAGACACTAGTACTATACCACTTCCACTGAAAAGAGGGATTTTATGAAGCCTGAACCAAAAAGGGAGGACCTCGTGTTCTTTAGAGAGATTCATTTACTAGATGGTGAAAAATGAATGCTTCGGGTAATTTCATTTTGAATTGATTTATTTCTAAATGGGGGGAAACTGACACTTGGTGAAGAAAGTAACAAGTGGTTCTCTGGAAAGAGCCAGCCAGTCTCAGGTATAATCCAATTATTCCAACACAGGAAATAAGGACACAGAGGGAAGGGTGGAAGGTCACCTGAGAAAGTCATTCCTTGCAATGAATACCTTCCTGTCCCCTTCCCTACAGACTCTCAGAGAAGTATAAACTGACCCATATTTCCAGTTTATTTCTGACACCTAAACCTAATCAAAGTCCACTATTTAGAAATCCAATAGTTATTCGCAATTAGACTGCACGGCAAATTAAATCATAAATTTCTCTATCTCAGCCCTGGTTGTCACATTCCTAAAACACAACTTGCCTCCCTCCGGCACTTTATTTAAATCTCTGAGGCCGGGCTCCAAAGCAAGTTATGGATTTGATAATTTGCTAATGTGGCCACAGTAATTGTTTTGAGCCATATTTATGATTTTATTGGATCTTACAACAATCAATAATAATCCATTGATGTCCCTGACTCGGGTTTTCTCGCAGTCGACAAATGGGGCAGCAGATTCATTTTTAATGTACTCACTTAGCACTCCCTCCCTGGGAGAGAGAGCCCTGCATATTTTAAAAAAGGGCAAGAAATGAATGGCACTGGTACACATACTTTACTGTGAAAAACTAGCTGCAGGATAAGATTTAATGCTAAAAAGAAAGGAGAGAATAGACTAACAGGGCCCATTTTGTGCAGCACCACCATCGTTAAAGTTAATGGAATTACCGTGTGGTCACGCACTAGAGGGAACCTATTGGAAGTTAAGCTCTTCTAGGGCCATTGATTCACAGACTTTCATTCAAAGATTCCCACTAGCATGTGATGAGTATTGCAGATATGCAGAGGCACTTTAGAAACTGTTTACTCAAACTGCCAGTTAAGCATATTAAGAAACAACAATAACTGAATATTTTAGAGTGGATGATCTAGTGGAACGTGTCTTCTGTTAGACATAGTAAAAACTTCAACTCCGACTGGCTTAAACAATAGAGGACTTTATTGGTCACCTAATTTTTTTCAGGCTGGAGTGCAGTGGTGCAATTTCAGCTCGCTGCACCCTCTGCCGCCTCCCAGGTTCAAGTGATTCTTGTGCCTCAGCCTCCCAAGTAGCTGGGATTACAGGGGTGTGCCACCACACCTGGCTAATTTTTGTAGTTTTAGTAGAGACAGGGTTTCACCATGTTGGACAGGCTGGTCTTCAACTCCTGACCTCAGGTAATCCGCCCACCTCAGCTTCCCAAAGTGCTGGGATTACAGGTGTGAGCCACTGTTCCTGGCCAGATCACCTAATTTAAATGTCTGGAAGTAATGCAGGCTTCAAGTCTGGTTAATTCAACAATCCAATAATGTCACCTAGTGTCCAGCTTCTTTCTGTCTCTGCCATGTCAGCCTCAGCATCTGTTTTGCTCTGAGGCATGTTGCCCTAGAAAATATAAGATGGCTGCTAGAAGCTGTCAGTTACCTGCTTTCTTGTTCATAAGCAGTAGTGGAGAAAACAGCCCATCCACAACTAATGCATCTAAGTCCTCCATGATGATGGGACTCCGATCCTTTAGAGTGTAGGATTCCTAAAGTCAAGGGAATCCTACACTCTAAATAGCTTAGGAAAGGATTAATGAAAGTCATTACTGTGGCAGAGACAACTGACTTAGACTGGGATGGGCAAATTATGGCCCTCAGGCCAAATTTGGCCCACCATCTGCTTTTACAAATAAAGTTTTATTGGAATACGGCCATGCTTATTTGTGACAATTCATTTTCATATATTCTATGGCTTCTTTTGTGCTGTAAAGTCAGATACATAATTATGACAAAGACCATCTGGCCCTCACAGCCTAAAATGTTTACTATCTGGCCTTTTACAAAAGAAGTCTGCCAACCCCTGGTGTGTACCAAACAAGGTCTGCACCTGGAGCTAAAGATGAGTTCAAACCCATCCTAATTTTGTGGCTACTAAATCAAGAGGGAGGGTAGGAAGAATGCTAGAGGGACAACCACAGTGCCTAAGATAGACATGAGAGAAAATCCTTCAAGTCTAGAAAAATGGGCTTAGAAACTAAAAAAAAAAACAATTTAGGAAACCTATCATAAGCACATGTGAAATACCCTCTGCCCTGAAATACACTCTGAGTATCATCAAAACATCAAATATATTTAAAATTGAATTACAATTCCTTACCACAGCATAAGTCCCAGTGTAACGGCTCCCCGCCCACTCTTCCCACTTCTCTCCTGCTGCCACTCTCCCTACACTAAATTTCTGCCACCTGGTCTTCAATTATTTCCTAGAATGTGCCAAGCTCATTCCCACTGCCATTTCCTCTTCCCAGAATGGTCTTTCTTCTCCAGCTCTTCGCTGGCTAGGCGCCTGTCGTTCCCTGTTCTGGGTTTATGGGTTATCTCTTCAGTGACCACCCCATCTAAAGTAGCCATACCACCCCATTCCCCTTCCACCATGTCATTCCATTTCATAACACCTTGTTTTAGTCTTTCTAGTATTAACCCAAATCTGCAATATTTTATTTGTTCCCTTTCACATAAGGGGAAGAAGACAATACACTGAGAGTTTTTCCTAGGCTGTCTTGCCTTCCACTTTAACCCAGTGCCTGGGAGCACATGGCACATAGTAGGCACTCAATAAACACTTATTGGAGTAATATGTTAATATTAACTATAGAATTTCTACAACTTTTTCAGCCTTCCTGCATTATGGTGTTCATTTCAAAGTCTGTACTTGAAAACAAGGACTACGTCTCATTCTTCTTAGGTTCTCAGAGCCTGTGACGATATCTGGCACATAGTAGGTGATAGAAGAATAAATTAATGAATGAATGCCAGATAGAAAAACATGAGTAGGCAGGATACTCATTTCCTGGAAGGGAGGAACAGACTACTTTGGTAGTGAGGAAATCGAGATCAGAGCGATTCAGAACTGGAAGCAGCTACCTCACAGTGCTTTGAGTTTCCAGGTATAGAGGAAGATGAAAGACAGACTTAAATGCTACAGGGGTGATTAACTGTCAAGTAGTGGATGATGCTAATGACTTTTAAGGTCACTTGCTCCTCTGGGATTTTCTTGAATTATCCCGTGCTCTGAGTTTCTTCCTTAAAGAGTGAGATTCATCGATGGTCATCTGATAGTGGAGCAGAGCTTGGAGTCACATTTATTCCTTCCTTGGCCAAACAGTTTCATCAAAATTATACTGCTAGAACCTGATTACGTCTGGGAATTTATACCATTTACAACCAACAGACGAATTTAAACGCAAATAAAAGCCCCTGGTGAGCTGTTTGTCAGGGCACCAGGATGGAAAGCATGATAAGAAAATATTTTGTGGGGGAACACGAACTGATATATGGACCCCAGAGTGGGAGACTTGAATGTGAACGTTAGGATAAATGAATTCCACCACAAAGTAAAAGAATATTTGGTGTGTTCACTTTGTTAACTCAATGTTGTTTATTCTTCTCAACCACCCTAGGCAGGGTCAACATCTTAAAGAATTCCATCTTCATTTTTCATGTAACGTCAGGAACCAGGAAGACTTGTTTAAAAGAATAAACTACCAGGGAAAGAAATGGAAGTTTTCATTACTGGAATCCAATAATATTATCTTTATGTTGAATAAGCCTAGAATTTCAAACCACTGTTTGTGTGTGTTTTTTTGTTTGTTGTTGTTTGTTTGTTTGTTTGTTGCCCTTCCCTCCTGAGGTTTTGGATTAATCTGATGGAGAAGGCTTCCGAAGATATATGTCTCAACTTCCCTGATTTTGGTGAACAAGAGGCTTCTTTGGAGAACGGATCTATTAGACAATAAGGTAGGATGGATGCCTCATGACATGGGAAGTTAAAATTTCAAAATGACCCTTTCCCAGCACTAACATAATTGACTTAGAAGGAGGGAAAGGATTCCTCACCATGTTTGGCCTGAGGGCCATTATAGAGTCTCACCATCCCAACATTTTTCACTCAAATGTCCTCAGGAAGGTCATTATTCTAATTCTTCCACATCTGTGGCTCTGCAGGTTGCCTTGTCTATTATTCATTAAGCTGGTTTCCATCTGACCCTGGCTCAGCCATGAAATCTTTACCTTTTCCAGCTGCTTTTTGTGTCTTGAGACTTACTTTATTAATGACTTTGGCATAAAGGGTAAAGAGAAGCGCCTGAGGGGACTGAATAATTTGAGATGAGTATCAAGAAAGAATCAAGTCCAGGTCATCTAGACCAAGAATCAAAATATATTTATAAAAATAAACAAATGAAATTGCAGTTGATATTCTGGGTAACCATCAGAATCAACTGTGGACCTTTCAAGAAGCTACTTCATGGGCCCCACCCTCAGAGATTGGAAAATAGGAGGCATGAGAACTAGCTATATGCTAAAGATAATAAAGCAAAGAGAATGAATTATAATAGTCATTTCTTAATGGAAAGTGCTTCAAATGGGGCCCTTGGTTTTTCTTTTAAAATGCACTTTAAATAATAGAATCAACAACCATGTACACATTACCCAATTTAAAAATAAAACACTGTAAAGCCGAAACCCTCAGGTACAATTCACATCCCACATTGCACTGCTTCCCCTCACTATCTCCACCCAGAGGCAGTAAGAATGTTATCTGTGTCCTTCCTTCTAAGCCATATATAGATCTACATGTTTATAAATTATATGGCAGCCTATAAGCAACCTGTTCTTTTATTTTATTATTTCCTGCTGTTAATAACTACTAGTCAAAAGTTTGTAGCATTTGGATCTGTTTCAGCTAAAAGGCCCAATTTCAATCAAGGCACACATTATTGTATGGTCTTTCATTCCCCATTCTGTATTTAAGGATGTGGTGTAGTCTAAAACAAATGGTTCCAGAGCACTTTAAGAGGCCAAGGCAGGAGGATCACTTGATGTCAGGAGTTTGAGACCAGCCTGGCCAACATGATGAAACCTCATCTCTATTAAAAATACAAATAATAGCTAGGCATGGTGGCTCGGGCCTGTAGTCCTAGTTACTCAGGAGGGTGAGGTGGGAGGATTATTTGAACCCGGGAGGCAGAGGTTTTAATAAGCCGAGATCACACCACTGCACTTCAGCCTGGGCAACAAAGCGAGACTCTGTCTCAAAAAAATAAAAATAAAACAAATGGCTCATCTACTGAGGTTGAATTGGCCACTAATATTTAATCAAAAGTACTGAATCTTTCTCACATGATTAATTGGGCTGCATTTATTTTACTTTTTTTTTTTTTTTTAACAGAATTGACAGTTTGGCCAGCCAAGTATTTGGATATCACAGGTTTAAAATTTTGAAATTAGAATGAGCTGATTACATGGAGTTAGAGATTTTTATATTTGATTTCCTAGGCTTGAAACACCCATAGCAAAATGGTGAGGCAGAGTAGTGCTCCTTCAATGATTAGTTATTGAGCACTAGTATCCTATAGCAAAATGACAACAGTGAGTAACCGGCCTTACTACATCAACAAAGGTAAGACTCTGACTGAATAATAACGCCTTACATTTAGGTGGTATTTTAGGGTCTACAAAACACTTGCCTTTCACAGGAGGTTTGACTTCACAGTGATTAAGTAGAAATTACAGGCTCTGAGCCTCAGGTGTAAAAGACAGTTTACTGAATCCTATAAAACACTGAATGTCCCTACTATATGTGCCACGTGTCGGCATTACAAATAGCAAAATAAATTAAACAGCCAAATATCCACTTTGCTATATGTCAGGGCCTCTAATTACTGAGGGGATTTGTTTGGTAGTACTAATGAAAAATTAAACACTAAAAGCATATAATTCTGCCATAAATTGACATACAGCAATAAAGCAGCATTTAGGTTAAGCTTCACCTGTGTAATAAACAGGGATTGTCCTCTGGATATTTTTAGATGGAAACCAACATTATTCCAAGCAGAGCAAAATAATACAGATTAATATGTGGTAAGGGTGACAAAATATTTACAAAACCTGTGCTTGAGTTTCTTCTACTGTGATTACAGGATACAACATATTTCTTTAGGAACAGCCTGGTCATATGATATAATGAAGAGTTGAAATTTTGGATAGGCTTGGGTTTGAATCCCAATTCCACTATCTGTCAACTGTGCTTTTCCAGTATGTGATTTTTTTTCTTTAAACCTCAGTTTCCCTAAGTGTAAAATATTAATGCCTACTTTTGCAGGTTGTTGTGAGGACTGAAGTAAGAATTATAAAACTAATGGTGAACATGTATTGAGACTTTACTATGTGCCAGGCACTATTTTACAGGGATTTACATGCATTAATCCATTTGGTCCTCACAACACTCCCAAGAGACAGGATACTCTTAAGACCTCCATTTTCTAAGTTTATGAATGAATGTGGGGGAGCTCAGAAAGGTTAACTCGCCCAGGGTTCATGCACCTGGTAGGCGACAGCTCTGGGTTTGAAACCAAGTAGTCTGGCCCCAGAGTCCTCCCTCTTCATCAGTATGCTTTAACTTCCCTGCATTTTCTTCTCACCCTCATCCCTGCTTCAGGATCTCTCTCATCTCTTTCACCTTAGCTGCCTTTGAGTTTGAATGAACAGGGAAAAAGTAAATAAGAACGTGAAAATACTAGGGAGCTTGGTTAATTTTTCTTTCAGTGCTTTGATCCAAATGGTATCATGCAAATCAAAGTTAACAAACTAGAAACGGAAAAACTCAATGATTTGTATCTACTTAGGAAAGGGCCTGAGGGTTTAGTAGGAGAGAGGAAGTTTCCCAAAGGAGACAGGCAGGCCCCCAGCCCCTTCTGCCTGGAGAGCTGGGGACTGGGGGTTTTGCCTCAAATCACCAGGAGCGGGAGAGGGAGGGGAAGTCAGAGATATTTACATGCCAGAGGAAAAGGGCTTGGAACCTCAACACTTCTCTAAGGCGTCCACTCCCACATGTACACCCAAACCCATCCCCCTGAGCACTGCAGTTGTCTTTGGTTTACCAACCCAGTCAAACTGGATTCATTCTGAGGGCAGAGATGCAAATTTTAAGGCAATTATACAAGATAAAAGCTACAGCATCCTGAAGATACCAATTCTTCATGCAGGAAATACATGCATTAGGTATTAACATAGTCAGGGCACTGTTCACCATGGCTGTAATGAAAGGATAAAAGTCCTATGGCAAATCACATCTCTCTTGGAGTGTCTTTCCAAATGAAAATAATAAGTAACGGTAAAAGAAAATCATTTTCATCCTCAAGATAAGGCTTTCTCTCTTTCTGTACACATCAAATCTTTCCTAGAAATTGGTTTGGGTTGAGAGCAGCAGCCCCCTACAAGTGCTTCTTATCACTCCTTTAGGAAAGCAGCTTCAGAAAAGTGAAGTGTGCATCAGAATCACTTGTGGTGTCTGTTAGGACAGAGTCCTAGGCCCCACATCAGAACTACCGAGTCAGCAAAGCATGGGGCAGGCAGGCTTCTGTCCTATGGCTACCTTCTTCAGGTAACTGTGAAGTACTCTATCGATTTGTAACCGCGACTTACTCGTGATCATCTGTGCATACACCAGAGGCTAAAAATGTTCGGACAGAGAGGGCCAGTATTATTTTCCCCAATTAAGAAGGCAGATTTCTGAATTTTCAAAGTGTCATTTTTATAAGTTCAGATAAGATATTTAAATAGCACAAGTCATATAATCAGAGTAAAGTTTTCTCAAGAATTTAACCAAAAGGCAGTCATTCGTAGCGAGAGAATTCAGTGTATAATAATTAAGGGAATTTGGCAGCACCACAAACCATCTCAATGCTAGTTACAACCCCTTAAAGCCTAGCCACAATCTATTTTATAGATGAGAAACTGAGATTGAGATTAACGTTAAGAAACATGTACGAGGTCCAAGGGCCATGATGTGGCAGGGCCGGGATTTGAACTGGGGTGGACTGGTCAGATTCTATATCCATGTCCAAATCCTAGCCAATCTCTGCTACATATACCATGTACTGAACATCAATACGTCAGTTTTTCTCCACTATCATTCAATATAATAGATAGGGTTTCCGCATTCAAAAAAAAAAAACAAGGAAATTGATGTTCAGAGAGGCTAAAAGGCTGATCCAAAGGTGCACAGTTAGGAAGTTAATATGGCTAATATTCCTAACGGAACCTCTGATGCCAAAGTATGTTAACTACTAGACTTAATTAAGAGATAAAATGTCCTCATTTTCATGAATCTGAAAGATTACCAAATTTTCAGGTGGAAAATTTGTTCTAGAACCACAGAAACTTCTCAGTGAACAGAAGAGCTTCCTTTTTATCTCATTTAATTTTTGAATTATACTTCTACAAATAATTATCTTCTTCTTCTAGAGCAATCTAAAAAGTAATTTCTAATATCTTAAAAGTTATTAACAGCTACTTCCCACTGCGTTAATACTATAAAATTAAATTTCTAAGTAGAAGATTCAAGTACCATAAACATAGAAGAGTGTAAGCAAGCATAATCTATAAACAGTTCTTACAAGATTCCAGATTACCTGCCTGGAATAAATCTGTCCTTAATATACCTAAAACCGCCTCCCACCCAAAGATGAACATACCAATTGTTCTAAAAGATAGCTCACATTTAACTTATTAAGCAGCATCGCTTCTAAAGAAATGAATATTGCCTTAATGGTTAGATTAGATGGAATTACATTTTGGAACATGATTTGAGAACTTGATTCGTGGAAATTTTAGTCTTCGTTAGTAACACCTGGAATATAGAAGACTTTTGATAGAGATTCCAGGAATATTGCTGACTGCATGCTGGAATACACATACATATCGTCTTCTACTTCATGTTAACTAAAGTTAGAAACTTATGAGATTCGTTCCAACAAGCAACAAGCAAAGTTCCATTATCATCATCATTCTCTTCCCCACACAAAAGAGGCATAGAAAATAAACCGGAGAAAAAGCTGTGTCATTTCCTTACCCATTGCCCGGTTCATGGCTCAGACCCCTGTAACACAATACAGATTAACGAGAGGAAAGCCTAACGAATATATTTAATATAAATTTTATGTGCCATGGGAGCCTTTAGAAATAAAGACCTAAAGACAACTGTGTATTTTTACGGACAGTCATGCAGAAGTATGATTGGATGATAAAAGAGTATGACTTGATGGTAATAAATTGGGGAAAACTTAGCAAGGCCTGTGTGTTCAGATTCTTCTTGGCATGTGAGTAGAGGGCAGAACTCCTCTGGAATGAAGGTCTTATGACCTACTTGCATGGGTGTTAGGTCAGAGAATTCTTTTATGGCACACTTGAGGGTAGACAAATGGAAAAAGGTCAGAGAGTGATGTTCCTGCTTCTGTAGTTTTCTCAGTTTCCTTCACCTTAAAATACTCAGTATGCAGAGCTAGCATATTTTGGGGGTAGCGTGTCCTGAGACCTATCATAAACAATGACAAAATCCAGGTCCTCACAAAGCTTACCTTCTCAAAGAACTAGAGAAAAGACAGAGGTACAGGTGCATAGCCAAACAAACAAAAGACAATGAAGAATGCCTCGAGAGAAATCAAATCATGCACCAGGACAGAGAGTAGGGGCTTTAGGAGAGCTACTTCAGATGAAGGGTCAGGGAGGCTGTTTGGATCTGTATGGTTGAAGATGAAAGAAAAAGATTATTTCTCAAGCCTGCAGGACATCAAACTGCTGCAATAATCACCTTGTGGATGGCAGGGTTCTACTCCTTTTAAACCCAAAAAGGAGAGTTAATAATCAATTGTGAAATAAGAGGTCACTTTTTTACTTTGATATTTCCCTTTCCTGACTACAAGTGCCTTACTGAGTAAGCAAGGCCACGCTTGTTCTTTGCAAAGCAGAATTTAAAGCCCCTGAAACAAAAAAACCCTACAGTGGTATCATGTTCAAGAGGCTAACTCAGTGGTGCACCTTCATTAACGATAACAACAGGTGCTCCAGGGGAAAAGACCATTACTGGGCTTATTGCTATTACCACTCAGCATGAGACAAAAATGGTTTAGAACCCAGGGATCAGGCAGAATCTCAAGAATGAGACACAGAGGCAAAGATGAAGAGAACAGTCACTGTGCTTTCCATGGCAGGTTGTCAAATGCTGCCTTAAAATGTGCAACTGTGTGAATTCCAAAATATGAAATGCTCAGAGGCTTGAATTGTAGTATTCACAACTGGACAGCTGAATATTAAAGATGCTGCTTTGTCCCCTAGAGGGGCTGGCTACTGCAAGACTGGCTTCCAGGGGTCATAATTATGTGGCCATTGCCACTCAATATTTTATCATCATACAATACTGAGGCTGGCAAATATCTATCACGGGATGTGCTTGTTAATAATGAAGATTCCCAAGCCCCAGTCACAGTATTCTAAATAAGTAGATTTGGAATAAGAACTGAGAATCAACTTTTTGTTGTTGTTAACTGATACCAAAGTTAATTTTCATGCAGGTGATACAAAGATCGCATTTTGAAAAGCAGATTCAACAACTTTAGATATGGATACTTTGTCTAAAAGGACAGCTTTGGAACCTTCATTGTTCTCTGGGATTTTATGTGTGTGTGTGTGTGTGTGTGTGTGTGTGTGTGTGTGTGTGTGTGTGTGTGTGTGTGTGTGTGTATGGTGGTTTTCTTATAACCACCATATTCTACAAACGAGTCAAGATATCCCCATTATTTCATATCAGGAAACTTCTGTGATCAGGTTGGAAACAACTGAAAGATGTGCAAAACAGCATAACCTGCTGATTTAAAAAACAGAATCGTTTTAAAAAGTTCAACTTAAGCTAAATAATCAGGGTGATGATAACAATAACCACATTCAACAATTCATATATAAGTACTATATGTTAAGAATTAGTCCATCATCATCACCATCAAAGGTAACAAAAACATTACACATTTTGGCCAGATAATTGGGACATCAAAAAGTAATTACTATTGGAGTTACACAATCTGTAGCCATAGTTATCAGCCCAGCTAGGCTCACTGCTTATTTGTTTTGTGTGTGTGTGTTTATTATTTTTAGTCAAGAGATAATTCAAATATGATAAAATTCACCATTTTAAAACGTACAATTCAGTGGCTTTATTATATTCACAATGTTGCACAACCATCACCACTAAGTCCACAACGTTTTCATTACCCTAAAAGAACCTGTATCCATTAGGAATCATTCCCCATTCCTTCCTTGTCCCAGTCCCTGGCAACCACTAATCTACTTTCTATCTCTATTCAGAGCCTGTTGCATAGCAAATATTTTCTATCCCGCTTTAGAATGGCTAAATGAAATTTTGAGATCATATAACCTATCTATTCATATAAGTTTTAGCTATGCTTACTATGCACCTATTATCATTCTGTGCATCCCACTTAATACAGTTTGTGCAT